>NC_000002.12:104762345-105065375 GCF_000001405.40 Homo sapiens
TGGGCACCTCAATGCATAGCCTCAAATCCAAATAAGACCCGTAGACCCACATCCCATGGTCCCCTTCCTCAAGCAGCAGGGCAAAGACTCAACTGGACCATGTCTGGTTGTTTCTGCTGGAAGTTCATGCAAAGTCAAGTGTTTCTAAATCTTCCACGTACCTTTCCTAAGGAGAGAAGATCTTTCTGGCTACTCTAACATAATTAACAAACTCAGGAGAAAACCAAAAAAGCAGGACGGGGGCAAACTTGAAATAATTCATGTGTAGAGGCCTAAATCAGAAAATAAAGGACTTTCTTTAAATATAGTTATGATAGATTAAATTATTGTTTAACAAATATTCAGTACCCCTCCTGCCCCCAACACAGAAACATACTGGCCTCCAATGGGAAGAGTTTACTTTCTCACCCTACTGATGTTGAGCTTGACTATGGGACTCCTTTGGCCAGTGAAATGTGGGCAGAAATGACCATATGTCAATTTGGAGCCTAGGCCTTAAGGCATTACATGTTTACACATACCACTTTGAGAGCTTCTACTTGCACCTTAGAAAGATTGTAAATCAGATAGCCCTATGCCCTGTGATGATCATTGCAGAATGAGACAGGTGAAACAGACCTGAATACAAACTGTGGCTTGAAGCAGAGTTTTTCCAACTGACCCATGCACTGCAAAGCATACCTGGAGGAGAGGTGCCTAGCTGTGCCCACGTAGATCACCCACACCACAGCTGACCTGCAGCCCAGGAAGCATGAGCATAGATGACAGTTAATTTAAATCACTGAGATTTAGAATTGTTTGTTATTCAGCATCATTGTGTTGCTTCATAAGCTTTTGATAGAGATTACCAACAATGAATGCCTGATTATGTGCCAGAGAAATTTTCCCAGCTGTGCTAAATGCCTCCTACAGCTCTGTCGACGTGGTGGGAGGGTGCTTTGGGTTAAATGCTTGTGTCCCCCCAAATTTTATATGTTGAAGCCTTAACCGCCAATATGATAGTATCAGGAGGTGGAGACTTTGGGAGATGATTTCGGTTAGATGAGGTCATGAAGGTGTCACTGTCACTATGAGATTAATGACCTTATAAGAAGGGAAAGAAACCCAAGATCTCTCTCTCTCTCTCTCTCTCTCTCTCTATCTCTATCTCTCTGTCTCTCTGTCTCTCTCTCTCTCTCTCTCTCTCTCTCTCTGCCATGTGAGGACACAGAGAGAGGACATCCATCTGCAAACCAGGAAGAAAGTCCTCACCAGGAACCTTGATCAGCCAGCATCGTGATCTTGGACATCTCAGCCTGCAGAACTGTGAAAAATAAATCATCGTTTAAGCCCCCACCCTCAGTCTACGGTGTTTGTTATAGCAGCCGAAACTAAGACAGAGGGAAAATAGATAGATGGAGCAAATACTCAAGTCAATCAATCAGATTTACACAAAGCAAGACAGGTAACAACTCCATGTTGAACTACATTTTTCAGCTTTTGGTTCCATTTTGGGGTCATGGAGTCAGTCACACTTTGCAATTAATGGAAGTGTAGCTTCAGGAAGGTTGCCAAGGAAGCTCCTTGGTACCAACATTCTTTACTGGTTATTACCTTCTTGCATCTTATTTTTTTTAAAATATTTTATTTAGAGACAAGCTCTCGCTCGCTCTCACCCAAGCTGGGGTGCAATGGTGCAATCCTGGCTCACTGCAACCTTGACCTCCTGGGCTCAAGAGATCCTCTCAGTTCAGCCTTCTGAGTAGCTGGAACTTCAGGTGCATGCCACTATGATCAGCTAATTTTTTTTTTTTTTTCCGTAGAGACAGGGTCTTGCTATATTGCTCAGGCATGGTGGAGAACTCCTGGCTTCAAGCAATCTTCCCACCTCAGCCACCCAAAGTGCTGGGATTACAGGCGTGAGTCACCATGCCCAGCCCTCCTTCTTACATCTTACAGGTGAAAACTAAAAGTAACTACTTGTGTCCATCTCTTTCCCTTGAGTCTGTTTCATTTCTGTATGGCTTCAATCTTCTCTTTCTTCAGTCATAGGAAGACAACAAAAATAAACTGTCACAGAGAACCATTACAAAAATTTACTCTTGCGGGGAGAATCCTGTGGGTGTCTAAAAGCTTACGCTAAGTTATATTTGCTTCATTTATGCTTCTACTGATGAATAATTAGGGCATCAATTAATTTTAAAATGCAAATGAGCAATGGGTCTCACTGTTTTGTTTTGTTTTAAATATCCTTTGTCCTCAGTTCTATTGGTGTCTTAATGGATTTAGTTTAGCAAAGGAATGAAATTATTTTTTCTAATGCTTTATTTACTTGATTGAATCGGGCTTTTTATCAAATATTGACTACAAATGTTTGTTCAAGATCATATGCCATAAAAGTTAATAGAAATAAAAACCTGGAGTAGAGAACCACCATTTTTACATGTCTTGTGGGTGATCTGTCTGAATGATGATCAGTGACAGTCAGAAGAGGTGATGGCCTTGTGCCTGGCTATCTGAACTAATTGTTGTTTCGTAGTCAAAGGGAAAATTCTTTATCTTTGAAAATGTCTCATAGATATTCTTTGAGAAAACTTTCCAACCATAATAAGTAAAATTATTATTTATTTCTTTTATTTCTTCCATTATTGGAAGGATTGGAAACATCATGAGAAGTCCACTAAATATGCCTTTCATTTGCTCATTCATTCAACATTGACTGACATGTAGTATATGCTAACACTCCACTCTATGCTAGATTTACCGTCTCTGCTTTCAAAGAGTTCATAGTCTACGGCGAAAGTCAAACAAGAAAAACCTCTGTTGTATCTTTGTCATGGCACTTCCTGGCATCATTTCCCATGCACGTCTATCATCTTTCTCCTCACCTGGAATGTCAGCCTCAGGAGGGCAGGAACTGTGTCTGTGTGAGCAGGACCTACCAAAGAAGAGGCACTCAGTAAATATCTGTGGCTGTTGGAAAAAAAAAAAAGTGATATTTTAGATATGTAAATAGGATAAAATGGAAGCTCAAAAGGCAGATACCTTTCTCAGCATAGACTGTGGTGGAAGGCGGGTTGATGGGAAAGGTATCGAGGAGTTGATGAGGCTGGGAGCAGGGAGCCCCATGAGGGGATGTGCAGGAGGTTTCCCAAAGAACAAAGTCTGGAAGCACACAGCAGGTGTGAAGAATCATGGAGGAGTGGGCCATCTGGATGAGATTGGGAATGCTGAGGAAGTTTCACTGGAGCATAGGATGCTGTGGGGAATGGCAGGATCTGGGGCTAGATGGGCAGTGAGGCCTGAAGCAGCAGTCATCTTATACCCAGGTGGAGAAGCTGTTCTCTGTAATCGGTGTTGATTACCAATTGACTGAAACATTTAAATGCCAAATTATTAACTAGTGCGAGCATTTAAGAAAAAAGAGTCTGGGCACAGTGACTCATGTCTGTAATCCCAACACTTTCGGAGGCCAAGGCGGGAGGATCACTCGAGCCCAGGAGTTCGAGACCAGCCTGAACAACATAGTGAGACCATTCCCACCTCTACAAAAAAAAAAAAAAAAAAAAAAAAAAAGCAAGAAAATTAACCAGTCATGGTGGCACAGGGCACACACCTGTAGTCCCAGCTATTCAGGAGGCTGAGGCCGGAGGATCAATTGAGCCCAGAAAGTGGACACTGCAGTGAGTTGTGATTATGCCATTGCATTCCAGCCTGAGTGACAGAGCAAGACTCTGTCTCAAAAAAAAAAAAAAAAAAAAACTGTCCACCTTTGACAGAAATCTGAATCCCTCTTTTATAATAAACCTCTAATGCTCTCCACTGACATAGGACTTAGTTTGAGGGTACAGCCAAGACATCATCCACTTTCCCAAAGAAAGCACTTGGTCACTAATCATGGTCACTAATCATACACATCAGCTGTAGCTGTTTTTGTTCCATTATCTAAATATTTAAAGAGAAACCAGCATTTTGGTCTCAATTATCTGAATAATTCCACAACTCACCATTTGTTTTTAGTAGAGATTCAAGGTTAAAATAATAATAATAGGTATCTTTAAGACTCAACATTATTTATATGAAAGTCTATTTTTAAACAACATCCAAATTATTTGCCTCTGTTTTTCACCCATGTAAGAAAATATTTGATACATCAAGAATGAATAAAAGACCATCACATGGGCTGTTCTTTTTTTTTTTTTTTTTTTTGGATTGCTCATTGTTGTTGTTTCATGGATTTTTCTGTTTTATTAGGAAAAAACAATTAAATGGAGCACATATGCAGATCCAATCACTGCCTCCCTGCTGCAGGTGGAGGTCGTGAGTAAGTGGTGGCAGGCTACTTCTGATTTCATTATGAATTCCTCTCATGTGGACACAGGCTTCAGCCGGGGATGACAAGGATTTTTGAACTTCAAAAAAAAAAAAAAAGAGGAATCATAATAAATATTTTACTGTCTAGTCAACCCAATTTATGAAGCCTGATTATCTAGCTCAGCCTCCGGAGATTGCTACCGGAAATCTCCCCAGATGTTCCCCCTTCTAACCCAACTCTCCACTGTCTGGCAGGAAGGCAGCCGGGCATCTGCATTCCGGAAGCCCAGCTGCTTGGGAAGAGAGAGGGAGCGGCCTGCACGTCACTCAACAGCCCTGCCTGCTAACCAGTTAACCAGTTCTCAGTTGGGTTCACGGACCCATGAGCGACCCAGCTTTCTTCCCCTCAGGTTGATATTGTGCTCCAAGCTGGGGATGCCCGGGGACTATGTGGAGGGAGAGTGCCTGAGGCAGCAGGGAGCTGATCACCCTCACTTCCCAAGTCAACGGGTATCCTGAAATAGTGCTGTTTGAACAACATTGGGCAAGAACATGAAGAGTGCTTCTGGGGTTCTTTGTATAGGCCCAGACACGCTCATTTCTGTTTCTAAATTACACAGCCCCAAGATTTTCAGGAACGATGGGATTCTGTATACTTGTGTTATTTGTTGTTGGTGTAACTTTGAAAATTTAGCTTATAGTATAAATGTCATTATATTATATAAAATATATAGCATAATTATTTTTATATGGGCACTTTTTCTTCCTTTTTTGGAACACACCTGTATATTTTAGTTTGCCCTTTCACCATCTAGTCCTTGGCTGTGATCCCCGTGGCTATACTACAGTATACACTAGGGCCATGAGGAACTTGGACCTAATGTGAAATTCAACAGAACCTATCACCCTTAGGAGGAATCATCTAATCACAAATAGCCCTTGGGAGTCAGACCAACCAAACTAGGATTCTTGAAAGAGTTGTTCCAGAAAAATTCTTGTTTGGGTTTTTTCAAGCCACAAAGCCAAAAGTTTGAAGGTGAATTTGATATGCTTATTGCCTGGCTGCATAAAATAAGTACACAATGAGCTTGTGACAAAGAACATCATCCTTGCAGTGCCTCAGCAGAGTCTCTGAAGGCCATAACTAGAATCTGAAGGGCAGGTAACCTGAGTTCACACTGGAGATCAGAGTCTCAGCAAATTCAGAGGGTTCACATTTGCTTGGCAATCTCTGAAAAGATGGGAATTCGGGGTTGTCCTGCATATTTCATTTTTCTAGCCCAGTTTTCAAAAGATGAGGAGATTCTAGTGCTGTAGGTGATGATATGTCACATATTATATACTGACCAAGGCTTCAAGGTATATTTGTGTCTGCTAATGATCAAGTTTCACCAAAAATAGAATTGAAACGTGAATGAAATATAAATCATTTTATAAGACACTGGATTTCTGTGTGTTTCTCATAAGAAATTCTGCATAGACCCCATAACTTTGAATTATCAAAACCAGAATTTTATAATACTAGTACAAAAACTGAGCTGTTTTACCCACAAAAATAAGAGTGTCAGGCAGACGTTTATGTACTTAGACATTAATGAAAGGGGAAAAAGCTTTTGATTAGCAACAACCAAAAAAACCTTCTCAAAAGAAAAAGGCAGAAAAAGATCCAGTTGCCAATTCACCTAATTAAAAAATGTCCAGGCCGGGCACGGTGGCCCGTGCCTATAATCCCAGCACTTTGGGAGGCCAAGGCGGGCAGATCACCTGAGGTCAGAATTCAAGACCAGCCTGGCCAACATGGTGAAACCTTGTCTCCACTAAAAATACAAAAATTAGCTGGGTGTGGTAGCAGGCACCTATAATCCCAGCTACTCCAGAGGCTGAGACAGGAGAATCGCTTGAACCTGGGAGGCAGAGGTTTCAGTGAGCCCAGATTGTGCCACGGCACTCTAGCTTGGGCAACAAAGCGAGACTCTGTCTCAAAAACAAAAACAAAAAAGAAACAAAAAAAAGTCCCAACTAGAGTTTTGAATTTTTTCAACTAGCATTTATGACCCTCTAATACAAAACTTTATGTAAATTTTTGCTTTTAGACATGTCATTTTCATTAATACCACTGTGATATAGACCTATTAACAGCAAAATGTGATGATGACAGTATTTAGAAAATAACTGTGGTGAGACAGCATTTCGTGGTTGACTTCATGATACTCCTTTCGTGTTGCATGCTTTGTCTCTGCCCACTCACGACCTCTCCAGAAAGCAGAACTTAGGAATCACAAGTATTAGAAAGGACAAGACATTTCTCATGATTTGCATTCTTTCCATTTTGTTCCATGCTGTCTTTCCTTCATTTATTATCTAATTCTTTAGACATTTCTCTCTGAATGGAACTGATTACACCTATAAATAAAGCATTGATAAAATGGCCTGAAGTTTTAAAAATATGATTTGACTTTTAAAATAAAACTGCTACCCTGCCAAGTGTCTCCTAGGTCCAATTATCATTTTGTTCTGTTTTGTTGCTTGACTTTTTTTTTGCACCAGTAACCAAGGATATTCTTACAGCCTGCATCTAAGTTGCATAGGCTCAGAAAATATTCAAGATGAGGAGATGATATTGGCATGCATGAGAATGTTGAGTTCTGGTTACTATTGTTTTAACATTGGCTCACTGTGAGTCATCATACTGAGCAATTTCACAGAAAAGACAAAGGTTTCTGAATAAATTTTCTGGGGAACACACAGGAGGTTACCTAGGAATTCAAGAGGAGATTAAAAATAGGAAAGAGGCAAAAGAGAACTCAGAGAAAAGTTTTATAAAATAAGGGCTGCGTGATCACATTTCTCTGAAACAAGGCTTAGAATGATAGGTGCTGGAAAAATCAAGTCTGTTCCAAAAATTAATATATCACAACATATAAAATATTGATAAAAATCCTTACTGGATAATGAAATTATTGCCAAGGAGCTAAAGATTAGAAGGGAAGATTTAACAGGATTTAGGAACTATACAAAGAATGGCAGAATTGTACCACATTAACAGAATGAAGAACCAAAAAGTTATGATTCTCTTTAATGATGCAGAAAAAGTATTTGACATATTCTATAACTTTTCATGATTAAAAAGATACTCAACAAACTAGGAATATAAGGAAACTACCTCAACATCATAAAGACAATATATGAAAAGCCCACAGCTAATGTCATATTCAGTGGTGAAAAACTGAAGCCTTTTTCCCCTGAGATCAGGAACAAGATAAGGATGACTACTCTTGCTACTTCTCTTCAGTAGTACTGGATGTCCTAGCCAGAGCAATTAGGCAAGAAAAATAAACTAAAAGCACCCAAATTAAAAAGGGAGAATTAAAATTATCTCTATTCACAGATGGCATCATGCTACACATAGAAAACCCTAAAGATAATACCAAAACTTATAACTTTTAGAACTAATAAACAAATTCAGCAGTTGCAGAAGGCAAAATCAACATACAAAAATCAGTTGCATTCCTATACACTAAATGAACAATCTGAAAAGGAAATTAAGTAAACAATTCCATTTACAATAGCATCAGAAAGAATAAAATACTTAGGAATAAATCTAAATAAAAAGGTGAAAGGTTTATACACTGGAAACTACAAAACATTAATGAAAGCAATCAAAGAAGACTTTCAAATAAATGAAATGACACCTCATGTCCGTGGATTGGAAGATTTAATATTGTTAAGATGTCTGTATTACCCAAAGAAATCTATACAGTTGGTGGAATTTCCACCAAAATCCAAATGGCAATTTTTGCAGAAATAGAACAAAAAATTCTAAAATGAAATCTCAAGAAACCTCAAATAGCCAAAACAATTTTTAAAATGAAGAACAAAGTTGTTGTGTTCACATTTCCTGATTTCAAAACATATTACAAAGCTACAGTAATCAAAACAGTGTAGTAATGGCATAATGACAGACATATAAACCAAAATAATAATAATAATAATAATAATAATAATAATAATAATAGAATAAAGATCCCAGAAATAAGCACTTGCCTATATGGTTAAATGATCTTCTGCAAGGATGCCAAGACCACTCAACAAGGAAAGGTCAATCTCTTAAACAAATGGTGCTGGGACAACTGGATGTCTACACACAAAACAAGTAAGTTGGACCCTTATCTTATATCTTATACAAAATTAACTCAAAATGGAGGAAAGACCTAAACATAAGATCCAAAGCTAATAAAACTCCTAGAAGAGAACATAGAGGAAAATCTTCATGGCATCAGACTTGGCAATGATTTCTTGGATATGATGCTAACATCACAGACAACAAAAGCAAAAATAGATAAATAGTATTTTATCCAAACTCAAACAAAAACTTTTATGCACCCAATAATACAATCAACAGAACAAAAAGGTAACATACAGAATGGGAGAAAATATTTGCAAGTCATATATCTGATAATGGCTTAATACCCAGAATACATAAAGAACTCCTACAATTCAACAACAACAAAAAAAAAAATTAAATAACCTGTTTAGAAATAGGCAAAGGAGAGGCTTTCGTGGAGGCAGCTAGCCTGAGTCTGGGGAGCACTGAGCTGCGCGTTGTGCCCTGCACTGCTCAGACTAGTGAGCAATACGGTCAGGATGGCTAAAGGTGACCCCAAGAAACCAAAGGACAAGATGTCTGTATATGCCTTTTTTGTGCAGACGTGCAGAGAAGAACATAAGAAGAAAAACCCAGAGGACCCTGTCAATTTTGCAACATATTCCAAGAAGTGCTCTGAGAGGTGGAAGACAATGTCCGTGCAAGAGAAATCTAAATTTGATGAAATGGTAGAGGCAGATAAAGTGCGCTGATTGGGAAATGAAGGATTGTGGACCAGCTAAGGGAGGCAAGAAGAAGAAGAATCCTAATGCCTTCCAAAGGCCACAGTCTGGATTCTTCCTGTTCTCTTCAGAATTCCGCCCCAAGATCAAATCCACAAACCCTGGCATCTCTATTGGAGACATGGCAAAAAAGCTAGGTGAGATGTGGAATAACTTAAATGACAGTGAAAAGCAGCCTAGCTACATCACTAAGGCGGCAAAGCTGAAGGAGAAGTAGGAGAAGGATGTTGCTGACTATAAGTTGAAAGGAAAGTTTGATGGAGCAAAGCGTCCTGCTAAAGTTGCCCAGAAAAAGGTGAAAGAGGAAGATGAAGAAGACAAGGAGGAAGAGGAGGAGGAGGAAGAGGAGGAGGAGGAGGAATAAAGAAACTGTTTATCTGTCTCCTTGTGAATAACTTAGAGTAGGGGAGCATCGTAATTGACACATCTCTTATTTGAGAAGTACCTGTTGCCCTCATTAGGTTTAATTACAAAATTTGATCACAATCATATTGTAGTTTCTCAAAGTGCTCTAGAAATTGTCAGTGGTTTCTGTCAAATGGCCATGGGTGTCTGGAGCACCCTGAAACTGTATCAAAGTTGTACATATTTCCAAACAGTTTTTAAATGAAAAGGCACTCTCGTGATCTCACTCTGTGCACTTTGCTGTTGGGGTGACAAGGCATTTAAAGATGTTTCTGGCAATTTTTTTTATTTATAAGGTGGGGTTAACTATATGGTTATTGGCTAGAAAACCTGAGTTATCAACTATATATATCTATAGTTTGTGAAAAGAACAAAACAACCAAGACAAACTCTTGATGCTCCTTGCTCGGCATTGAGGCTGTGGGGAAGATGCCTTCTGGAGGGGCTGTAGCTCAGGGTGTGCACTGCGAGGCTGGACCTGTTGAGTCTGCAGTGGACATCCATTTAGCTTCAGGTTGTCTTGTTTCTGTATATAGTGACATAGCATTCTGCTGCCATCTTAGCTGTGGACAAAGGGGGTCAACTGGCATGAGAAGTTTTACTTTGTTTTTGTTCTTAGTTGAGTGCATTAGTTTTTAAACTGTTTGTCTTTAAACAAATTGTAGAACTCTTCATTGTCAGCAAAGTGAAGAGCTACTGCATCAATGAAAGCTCAAGAACCTTCTGTACTTAAACACAATTTGTAACGTTCTGGGTTTTTTTAGTATGTTTAGAATGCTGACATGTTTTTGAAGTTAAATAAATAATATTACATTAAAAAAATAAGCAAAGGACTTGAATACACGTTTCTGCAAAGATGATATACAAATGGCCAGCAAGCATACAAAAAGATGTTCAACATCGCTAATCATCAGAAAGATGTTCACCAAAACCACAATGAGATGTCACTTCACACCCATTAGGATGGCCACTACCAAAAAAAATGGAGGAGGAGAATAACAAGTATTGGGGAGGATATGGGGAAATTAAAAACTGTGTACACTGTCAGTGGGAATGTCAAAAGATACAGCTGCTATGAAAAATAGTATGGAGGTTCCTCAAAAAAGTTAAAAATACAATGAAATATCACTTCACACACGTTAGTATAGTCACTACCAAACAAACAAACAAAGGAAAATAACAAATGTTGAGGAAGAATCACTGGGCACTATTGGTGAGGTTATAAAATGGTGCAACTGCTATAAAAAAAAAAAACTACAGTAGTTCCTCAAAAAAATTAAAAATACAACCACCATATGACACAGCAATTCCACTTCTGGGTATATATCCAAAAGACTGAATTAAAAGCAGGATTTTAAGAGAGAGTTGCACACTCATGTTTATTGCACCATTATTCACAATAGCCAAGAGATGGAAGTATCCCAAATGTTCATCAAAAGATGAATGACTAAAGAAAATATGGCATATACATATGATGAAATATTATCCAGCCTTAAAAAGAAGGAAATCCTGGCACATGCTACAACATGGGTGAACCTTGAAGATATTATGCTAAGTAAAATAATCCAGTCACCAAAGGACAAATATTATATGACTCTACTTCTATGAGGTGCCTAGAGTAGTCAGATTCACAGGGACAGAACATAGTACGGGGATTCCCAGCGGGAGAGAGGTTGTTGTTGTTCAATGGGTGCAGAGTTTCAGGTTTGCAAGACGACAAAGTTCTGGAGAGCTGTCTCACAACAACGTGAATGTAATTAACAGTATGAAACTGTACGCTTAAAAATGACTAAGATGGTCAATTTTTTGTCATGTATTTTTTACCAAAATATTTTTTTTTAATTTTCGAATTTTGTTTTTATAAAAGATGGGTGGCAGTGGGAAGAAACCCAGAGCAAGTGAAAGTTCATTTGTGGCAGCAGGAAGGGGCCCAGAGGAACTAAGATTTTGAGGCAGTAAGAAAAAAGGAAAACTTGTGTCCAGCAATGAAGAAGCACCATGATGGAACAAAGTCCCGGGAAGACTGGACCTCCTGCTGGGGACTAGCAATGCTCGAAGTGTGCTGGATGGAGGAACTGCTAGAAATGGCATGGGGATGTTTTTGTCCAAAAGCTCCAGTTTTCAATTTGAATAAATCAGTGAGACCATACACAAAAGCTGAGCCTTGGCTTCCCTCCATCCCTTCTCCCAGTTTGGAAGAAAAACAACCTGAGTGTGCACTGAAGTGCTATGTCAGATCCCAAAGCAATGGAAGAGGTCCTCTGATTGGTACCAATCCATGACAAAATTTGAGTCATTCATTCATTCAACAAACCTTTCATCCATGCCAGGCACTGCCCTCAGTGCTGGTGTAGGGGTTGGTTGGAAGACTCTCTTCCCCCATGGGACTTGCATCTTAGAGGCACCCATCAGGTGGGCTCCATTCTGTCACACATTTCTGCTGTGCAGGTACACACTGGTTGAGTATCTCTCTCTCCTTGCTTTTCTGTACCTTTAAAGAACTGGAAAAGGCCAGGCACGGTGGCTCACGCCTGTAATCCCAGCACTTTGGGAGGCCGAGGTGGGCTGACCACAAGGTCAGGAGATTGAGACCAGCCTGACCAACACAGTAAAATACAAAAATTAGCCAGGCGTGGTGGCACATGTCTGTAATCCCAGCTACTCAGGAGGCTGAGGCGGGAGAATCGCTTGAACCCGGGAGGTGGAGGTTGCAGTGAGCCGAGATCATGCCACTGCACTCCAGCCTGGTGACATAGTGAGACTCCTTCCCCCACAAAAACCAAATTGAACTGGAAAACTTCTTAAGACCTTGGGCTCATCCTTTAATGACCATTCACTCTTGGCTATAAAAAGCCAGTGTTTGTACAGCTGTGGGCAAAGAAGTCCAAGTCTCAAATGACGGGGGATGCTGTGGAATTCTAAGCAGAGGCTTAGCCCATGAGAGAGAGGAGAAGGGCTGGAACTTCAGGCATCACTTAGGACTTGGTCAGCCAAGTATGAGTTGTA
Source organism: Homo sapiens (assembly GCF_000001405.40). Classification (NCBI taxonomy): domain Eukaryota; kingdom Metazoa; phylum Chordata; class Mammalia; order Primates; family Hominidae; genus Homo; species Homo sapiens. The sequence continues at coordinate 104,774,937 of NC_000002.12, forward strand.
ATCAAGAAACAGAGATCACACGAGGGCAAACAGAAGAGCCTGTCAGTGAAGAAAGACATGAAAGAAACAGCAAAAGAAAAAAAATCTTTCAGATTATTTGCAGCATCACCGTATCTCCTGTGGACCTGGTGGGCAGCTAGCTGGACCTGGGCAGATCACCATGGCAGGAAGCCTTGCCCTTGAGGAGAGCCAAAGAGTTTGTAGTGCTCTTGAGACTTTTACAGTTAGACTTACAAAGCCTTCTCCATTTCTAGTCTACTAGTCATCAAATCACCTCAATGAAATGCAGGAAGAAAATATTAGAACTTCTATATATATTTTTTAAATCTCACCTTTTTGAGTTTTTACCTTTGGTATATTTTATAACATATATAATCTACTAATACAATAGAGGGTGCACAACTTATAAATATATAAATACATAATGTATATATGCACCTAGTTGCCAACCTAGTGAAAATGATGGACATTACATACCTTCAAAAATTTTACTTATTTAGTTTTACTAGTTAGAGATACTAAATTTGACATTATAGCAATAAAGACTTGAAACAAATCCATATTTCAGAGCCACGGATTTAAGTATGCATATGTTGGGACTTTGTGATCAAAACATTTTAGTGATAAGGGTGAACCATCAGAAAAGTTTGGCAATCACAGCTCTAGGCAACTTATTCTTTCTCTAATCAGCTTTTGTACCTGTGAGACCAAGAGCAGCCAGCATTTTGAAATACCCATTGCCTTTTGTACCAGACCAGCAGGATGGAAAGAAGGCGGAGGTAAAATGGAGAGGGGGCAGGCAGGCAGGGGCATAGTTAGTGGGTGGAATTGGTTCTGAAGCAGCAGAAGCAGTGGACAAAGGCCCAGGAAGAACAGGAAAGGAAGTGTGATAATTTGCAAAGTGTTTCGTAGTAATTTTAGGGTTTGCTACCGAATAGCAAATTTTATCAGACTTATCTGGTTTCCCTTGGCATCCACATCCTATGCTGTTCCATTCAGAAGACAAAGGGGTCCTACATGTGGAAAGGTTTTATCCTTAGGGAGAGAGAGGTTATATCCTTACTTGCTTTATTAATTACCTGAATCTATCTTAAAAGGAAGCAGTAATTTCTCTAATAGCTGGGGTGTGGCTGCATCTTCAGGTGGATGTTAAGCTCTCCTAGGATGGTATGCTCACACACAGGCACTCACATGTGAACACGCATACAAACATGCACCTGCATGCATGCATATGTGCACATACATATGTGCGGGCACACACAGGTACACATGCACACATGCTCATATATGTGTACACAAACTTAAGTCCATGGCTCTGAAATATGGATTTGTTTCAAATCTCTATTGCTATAATGTAAAACGTAATATATTTAACTAGTAAAACTAAATAAGTCAAATGTTGAAAGTATGTAATGCTGGCCGGGGATGGTGGCTCACGCCTGTAATCCCAGCACTTTGGGAGGCTGAGGCAGGCGGATCACTTGAGGTCAGGAGTTCGAGACCAGCCTGGCCAACATGGTGAAACCCCAGCTCTACTAAAAATACAAAAATTAGCTGGGTGTAGTGGCACACACCTGTAGTCCCAGCTACTCAGGAGGCTGAGGCAGGAGAATCACTGGAACCCGGGAGGTGGAGGTTGCATTGAGCCAAGATTGCACCACTGCACCCCAGCCTGGGCAACAGAATGGGACTCCATCTCAAAAAACAAAAAAAATTGTAATGTCCATCATTTTCACTAAGTTGAAAACTAGGTGTATTATTTTGCATCTTAATGGATCCAGGAAAAGTGTTTCTTAATAAAAGAGAAAGGCAAACATATTCACCAGCCTGATTAAGAACAAGGAAAGTACTTATAATCTATATTAATGTTGAAAATTCTACCTCCTTTGCAATGGCTTCTTTGAGATCCATTGTATGGATATACCACTACTTGTTTTATCAAACCCACTGATAAACATTGAGATGTTTTCCAGGTTCTCACTGCAGCGAAAAACACCTTTATGTTAGTTTTCTGTAGGTTAAATGTCCAGAATGTGAAGCTGTGTGGTCAAAAGTCAAGTACATTTCAAAATGTGATCTCTACTGCCAGATTTCCCTCCAAAAATATTGAATCCAATAATGTTGAAAAAAAAAAAAAAGCCCCTTTCTCCATATCCTTGCCCTCACTGGGGATTCTCAATTTTTTTTTATCATGTCAGTCAAGTCAACAACAATAAAAATGACATCATGTTTAAATTTACAGTACATTTGCATCAGTTATTTCCTAGATTGAATGTTTATAGTATCATGCTTACTGCTCATTTGCAGTAACTGCATTATCGCCAGTTTCCACATTTCCCCCTTAGTTTGCACTCTTCAGAGTCTCATTCACTGAAAAGAGGTTTTTACTGTTGAAGACATTAACTCTTTGCCTACAACATCAACCAAAAAATACTTTTCCCAGGTTCATTTTGTTCTCTTTTAAGTTTTACTTATAGTGCTTTTGCCATACAAAAGTTTTACATTTCAAGAAATTGTATCAAATTGTAGCCATGTTAACAAAATTTTTGCTTTTTATTGTCTTTTTTGTCAAACTTAAAAGCATCTCTTTATACAAGATTATTAAAATAGTCATCAGTATTTTGTTCTGGTGTATTCACAGTTTCGTTTTTAAACATTTACGTATTTTATTCCTCTGAAATTTATTTTGAAGGAGTAGAGTAATCCATATCTTCTCAAATGGTCAGAAACACCACCTCTGTCCTATGTTCCTGTGTGTTTCCCAGCCTTCCCGTCGTTTCTATGACCTGCCTGCCTCAGCACTGGCACCAAATTCTCTCACTTTTATTGGTCCATGACATACTGTACTATCTCATAGGGCAAATCTTCCCCAACCACTCTTTCTTCTTCAAAATTTGTGTAGCATTTCTATCATATGTACTCATCCAGCTGAAGCTTAAAATTATATCGTGATACAAAATAAATGTTTTTGAAACTTTAGAACTTCCACACTTTCATAATAAAGTTCCCCAAAAATATTATTTATGACAGGGATCAGCAAACTTTTTCTGTAAACGCCCAGACAGTGAATATTTTAGTCTTTCTTTGCAGGCTGTTATGATTTGTGCCACAACTACCCAACTCAGCCATTGAAGTGCAAAGGCAGCCATAAATAGCATGTAAGTTAATGAGCATGTCTATATCAAAAAAACTTTATCTACAAAAACAGGGAGAGGTTCAATGGCATATTACTCAGCCACAAAAAGAAAATAAAGTACTGATACATAATATTATGTTGGTGCAAAACCTGCAATTACTTTTTCACCAAGCTAGTATGGTGTGAATGAACCTCAAAAACATTATGTGGAGTGAAAGAGGCCAGATACAAAAGGCCACATGTTGTATGGTTCCATTTATATAAAATATATAGAATTGGTAAATACATACAGATAGAAAGCAGGTTAGTGATTGCCACTGGCTAGAGAGAAGGGAGAATAAGGAGTAATTACTTACTAGGTATTATACAAAATAATTTTCTGGGAGAGGTGATGGTTACATATCATTGTGAATGTACTACTGACTTGTATACTTTAAAATGGTTAATTTTATGTTATATAAAATTCATTTCAATTAAAATAAAAAAGCAGACGGCTGAATGTGGCCCATGGGCCTTACTTTGTCAACGTTGATTTATAGGATAAACAAAATAATAGAATTTAAAAAAGGAAAAGTTTCATAAAGAAGGAACTTGCATTTGCAACATAATCTTGATAATCATGTTTTTTTCTAATTTTTGTCCCATGGAAAATGAAGCCTACCCAAAAAGGAGTTGACAGAAAGTTCCAGGGGAGAGTAGAGGTAGACACAGTTAAATACAAACACCAGGGTGGATTTGTTAGGATAGGATAGGCTAAGTAACAAATAAACCTCCATGCTTTGGTGGCTCAGCACAACAGAAAGTTAGTTCTTGTTCATCTAAGAGTCGTGTAGAGGTATTCAAGTTGGTAGGGCAGTTCTCCACCATGTGGTCATTCAGGAACCCAAATCCTTCCATTTGATAACTACACCATTCTCTAGGACTAGGCTATTTCTTCACAAACTTTAATGTGCATCTTTTTTAAATGAAGATAATGACTCAGTAGGTCTGGGTGGGACCCGAGAGGGTGCATCTCTAACACACTCCTGGGTGATGTGGATGCCTCCGGTCTGGGGACCATACCTGAAGTAACAAGATGACAAAGACATTATTGCCAGCTGCATTCTAACAGCAGCAAAGATAGCAGGAGGACATACCGGCTCTTCTATAAGGCTCATCCTTGAAATGCATGCTGCATTTACCTTTACATTCTGTTGGCCAATCTGCATGATGCCACCTAATAACAAAGCAGGCTGAGCAACATATCCGACAACAGTTCTTTAGTGTGGAAAGAGAAAACTAACTATGGTAAACAGTTAGCAGTCTCTACTCTACACATTGTAAATACATTAAAAGATAATAGGCCGGGCGCAGTGGTTCATGCCTGTAATCCCAGCACTTTGGGAGGCCCAAGCAGGTGGATAACCTGAGGTCAGGAACTGGAGACCAGCCTGACCAATATGGTGAAACCCTGCCTCTACTAAAAATACAAAAATTAGCCAGGCATGGTGGTGCACGCCTGTAATCCCAGCTACTCAGGAGGCTGAGGCGGGATAATCGCTTGAACCCGGGAGGTGGGGGTTGCAGGGAGCCGAAATTGTGCCACTGCACTCCAGCCTGGGCCACAGAGGGAGACCCTGTCTCAAAAAAAAAAAAAAAAGATAATAATGCTGAGATTCAACCAGATTAGCTAGTGCTTCCTATCAAAATACAATGGGTTTTTTGAGTTACAGGATCTTAGAGAAGTGCCAATCAGACCCCTGGCTGTATCAAAAGAACTGGAAATTACATGGTGGAGGAGACACAAACTACAACGAACTAAGGGCTTTAAAATATTTTGTTTTGTTTTGTTTTTTCAAAGAAAAATTGGTTTAGGCAATAACTTAAACAAAAGAGGGTAAATTGATCCACAAGTAAAGGCTTTTAAAATGTGTACATTAAAAGAAAGATCTCAAAACAAAAATGATGAGTAAATAGTAACTGAGTCTCAGAGAGGAAACTGAATAAAAATTTATCCAAGGTTTTTCTGGGCAGAGCCCAAGGGATATCAGTCAGACAGCCAAATTGGCAGGGCAAATGTATCCTGGGAGGGCATGAGTTTTCACCTGTGATAAAAGAAATGCATGTTGGACTCAAAAAGATCCCCTGCTTGACAAGGATACCAAGAGCACACGATGGGAAAGGACAGTCTCCTCAACAAATGGTGATGGGGAAACTGGATATCCACATGCAACAGAATGAAGTTGGGCCCTTACTTTAGACTGTATACAAAAATTAACTCAAAATGGATTAAAGATCAAAATGTACCACCTAAAATTCTAAAACTCCCTGGAAGAAAACAGGGAGAAAGCTTCATGACATTGAATTGAATAATGATTTCTTGGGTATGACACCAACAGCACAGAAAACGAAAGCAAAAATAAAACAAATGGGACTATATCAAACACAAAAACTTCTATGCATCAAAGGAAACAGTCTATAGAGCAAAAAGGAAACACACAGAATTGGCCAGGCACGGTGGCTCACGCCTGTAATCCCAGCACTTTGGGAGACACAGGTGGGCAGATTACAAGGTCAGGAGATTGAGACCATCCTGGCTAACACGGTGAAACCCCATCTCTACTAAAAAATACAAAAAATTAGCCTGGCCTGGTGGCAGGCACCTGTAGTCCCAGCTGCTCGGGAGGCTGAGGCAGGAGAATGGCATGAACCTGGGAGGCAGAGCTTGCAGTGAGCCGAGATTGCGCCACTGCACTCCAGCCTGGGCGACAGAGCGAGACTCCATCTCAAAAAAAAAAAATAATAATAATAATAATAATAATAAAAGAAACATACAGAATGGGAGAAAATATTTGCAAGTAATATATCTGATAAGGAGTTAATATCCAGAATATATAAAGAACTCCTACAACTCAATAATAACAAAAATAAACTCAATTTTAAAATGAGCAAAGGGCTTGAGTAGACATTTCTCCAAAGATTATATACAAATGGCCAATAAACATATTAAAAGATGTTCAACATCACTACTCATCAGAAAAATGCAAATCAAAACCAGAATATCATCTCACAGCCATTAGGATGGCCACTATTAAAAAAAAAACAAAAAAAAAAAAACAGAAAATAAGTGTTGGCAAGAATATGAAGAAATTGGTACCCTTGTGCACTGCTGGTAGGATTGCAAAATGGTGCAGTATGGAGGTTCCTCAAAAAATTAAAAATAGAATTACCATATGATCCAGCAATCTCACTTCTTGGTACATATGCAAAAGAATTGAAAGCAGAATGTCAAAGAGATATTTGCACTCCCATGTTCATTGTAGCATTATTCACAACAGCCAAGGGTGGAAGTAACCCAACTGTCCATCAAAAGATGAATGGATAAACACAATGTGGTATATCTGTACAGTGGAATTTTATGTAGCTTTAAAAAGGAAATAAATTCTGACTCATGCTATGTGGATGAAACTTGAAGTCATTATGCAAGTAAAATAAGCAAATCACAAAAAGGATAGATATTGTATGATTCCACTTATATGAGGTACCTATGAGAAATCAAATTCAGAGGCAGAAAATAGTACAGTGGTTGCCAATGAGGAGTTGTAGCTCAATGAGTATAGAGTGTCAATTTTGCAAAATGAAAACGTTCTAGAGATCTGTTGCATAACAATGTGAATATACTTAACACCACTGAACTCTACACTTAAAAATAGTTAAGATGGCAAATTTTATGTTATGTGTTTCTTTACAACAATTGAAAAGAAGAAAGAGGTTGGGTGTGGTGGCTCACACCTACAATCCCAGCACTTTGGGAGGCCAAGGCAGAAGGATCACTCAAGGCCAGAAATTTGAGACCAGCCTGGGGAAAATAGTAAGACCTCATCTCTACAAAAAAGAAATAAATTATCTGGGCGTGGTGACATGCACCTGTAGTCTCAGCTACTCCAGAGGATGAGGTGGGCAGATTGCTTGAGCCCAGGAGTTGAAGGCTGCAATGAGCTATGATTGCACTCCAGCCTGAGTGACAAAGTGAAACCCTGACTCAAAAAAAAAAAAAAAAAGAAAGAAAGAAAGAAAAAGAAAAAGAAGAAACTCTTCAGGTCTTGGTGGATGAAAAATCTCTCCTAAATCTCGATCATGAATATAAAGTGGACAAAAGAACTTAGGCAGGTACTAGAGCCAGATCTGTGTCCTTGAAAAGGAAAGGCCACAACCCACATTCACTGCTGTGTTGCCTGAGGCCAGAACTGGGGTCTAACGCAGAGATAGAACAAGTCAACCAAGGTCCCCAGTCAATGAAAGGACTGAAGAGCAGGGCACAAGGTAGTGGGAAAGAATCTTCAGGAGAAAAGAAAATATAGCAGGGATTACAAAGAAGAAAACTTCTCTCACCTCTCTGGGGAGCAGCAATGGTGATGGGTTCTCAGCTCCCTACCCCTGCCCACCCTAATCACCAGGGGAGCTCCTGAAACTGCTGCCCAGGCCACAACCCAGAGCAAATCAATCAGCCTCTCTGCCAGTGGGGCCCAGGCTTCAGTATTTGTTAAGGCTGCCTGGTGATTATTATGTTCAGTTACAGTTGCAACCCACCGTGCTGAGGATGGAGATGGATTTATTTTGATGGGAATAAAACATAAGCATCATGTCAGGGTCCCTCACTTGCATGGGTCCCAGGAGTGCTAGCGATTGCCAGGGGTTGGGGCAGCCAGCGTGTGAGCAGGATGTGTCTTTATACATGTGGCTCAGGCCAACTGCTCACTGAGAGCTCTGGAGCAAGGCCTTGGTCTTTGGGGCTCCAGTAACATGGTGTCAACTTTCATTTCATTTTTTATAAATATTCTTTCTCATCTAATTCCGTATTTGGAGTTTTGTATTCTTCTTCATAAAGAAGACCCTCAAAACTATCAGGTTCATGCCTCACAAAACCTGGCTCTCCCTTGGGCAAAAGAGCTATCATTTTGAGCTCTGTGAGGGGCTGGGGGTTACAAGAAACTCATGAGGCATGATGCCTCCAGAGAGGGCTAACCCTCATACAGTGAAGTAAAACTCAAGCTTTCATTCACCCTACACATCACAGTGTCCACAAGACCTCCACAATCTTGCTCTCTTGGGATAAGTAAGCTAGGTTGAAAGGGCTTTTCTTTCCTTGGTCCTGTGATGTACTAAGAACAGCACCTCTCCTAGGTCAAAGTGGGTGTCAACAGGAGAAGAAGAGGGCTGGCATCCATGCAGATGTCCCTCCTGCTCACTGCTGGGAGAGCTTGCTGGGGTCCACCCCTGAGAAGGGCTCTGTGAAGGCTGTGGCAGGAGCCCCCAAGGAGCCCTTGGGATGATTTACAGAAACAAGGGTGAAAAGCATCCTGTCCTCAGTAGCAGCAAAGAAGAGAAATGGGTTTCATGGTTCATATTGAAAGTTACTCCCAAATAAAACTCAGGCTCCAGGCCTATGGTGGCTTCTGAAACTTCGCTGTTTGATGGGATCACCAGGGATTTTTTTAAAAATCCCAATGCCAGGCTCCCACCTTGACATTCTGACTTCATTTGTATACGGTGTGACCTGGGCATCAGGATTTTTTAAGCTGCCTGGATGATTCTAATGTGCAGGCAAGTTAGGAAATCAGTGGTATGCAAACAAGGTGATGAGCATCCCAACTTCTTCCTTGGGCCAGACAAGTCCATGGAAGCAATTCCAGTGGCTCTTAGCCCTGGCTGCACATGGGAGTCACCTGGGGAACAGTCAACATGACCAATGCCTGTCCCGGCCCCAGGTATAGCCTGGACACAGGGATTTTTGAAGCTTCCCAGGTGAACCAAAGGGCAGCTAAGCTGAGTGCCCTGCACAAAACACTATTCCCAAACATTCCTAAAACACAAATCTGCTGGAGCTCTTTTAAAAGAGAGAGAAAGGCCTGAAGGGATTGATTCCTAGTGTTCATCCCAGACCTACCGACTCAGGGAAGAGGGAACTTCATAAGGCCCAAATTATTCTTATCAGTAAAGGTTGGGAAGCCCTGTGCTAAAAATAGTCTACGCTCAAAAAGCAAACATTTCCATTAGTGTGTACGTGTCTGTGAGACAGAAAGAGAGAGAGAAGAGAGCGAGAAAGAACTGCCTCTGTGCTCACACTTGGTAGGGGCCAGGGATTACAAGAGACACATAAGGCAAGATGCCTCCAAAGAGGGCTGACCCTCATACAGCAAAATAAAAACTCAAGCTCTCATTCACCCTACACACTGCAGCATCCACAGGGCCTTCGCCTTCTTGCTCTCCTGTGGCCCAGCTAGGTTGGAAGGGCTTTTCCGACTGCAGAGCTCAGAGCGTGTAATTGACTTGCATTCACTCCCTTAGTTAGTGGGCCAGCCAGAATCACACCCCTGTACTTCACCTCCAGGACCAGTGCTCCCTCCACAAAACTGTGATGTTTCAAGCCACAGTCACTATATGGGACCTGGGCTCCCCTAAAATATTTTGCCATAGTTGAAATAAACATCAAAGAGAAACTTGATGTTCTCTTTGGGGAAAACAAGCATGCACATACAAAGGCTTGAGAGCTGGGGGCTCTTGGTGATGGTCTGAAGTCAGCCTCAGGGCAGAGATGCAGTGGACCCACCATTCTCCCCACCAGCCACTCCCCAGCAGCACTCTGACTGCTGTCCTCCCAACAGCACAGGGCCCAGTGAGGCAAGGGGCCAGTTCAGTAGCCAGAAGCTTCTGATCCAATCAAAAATAAAACAGAAGGCTGCGGATGGCATCTGACCCCGGGATCAGTACTCCTGGCTCACCCCTCTCTCAGAACGCACTCTTGCATTCATTTATGCAAACACAGGGTACCTGTGCACTCTGAGCTGTGCTGTGCTGGGGGACCCTCAGTAAGCAAAACAGGCCAATCATGGGGCTTCACTTAGCTTATAGTCTGAAGCCCGGTTTCTCCAGCCTTGCTACACTACCTGAGAGCTGTTGGAAAGGCAGGATCCAGGCCCCACGCCATACTTACTGAACCAGAATCTGCATTTTAACACAGCTCCAGGAGATCTGAATGCACATTAAAGTTAGGGAGCAGTGATTTCAATGCCCATTTCAATGGGTGAGAATCAGAGCATGAACTCCGAGGAAATGCCATATGAGTTCCCTTCCCTCGGCTTTCAGTGGGAGTGGGTATTGAAGAAAATAACTCTTCAGCTGTTAGGTCTCAAAAAGATCTGAGAGTTCACCTAGTTCAACTTTGTCCTTTTACAGATGACTAAGTCAAAACCCAGAAAGATAATATGGTTTCTAAGGGGAAAAGGTGGGATCGGAACCAAGGATTTTATTCCCGAATTCAATGCTCCCATCACATGCAAAGGCTCCTGCAGACCATCCAAATCTTGGGAAGGCTGAGGATGGTCAGGTAGTAGTGTCTGTGAGAACAAGGAAGACGAGAATGAACCAGGGAAGATGGGGAGTTGCACCGCTGCAGATCCTGAGGGATCCCTCAAAAATGGAGGTGGGCTGGGGGCAGGTCTGCTCTGCAGCCCGTTTTCAAGTTGGCTTTTTCACTCTCAACGTTGGTCCTGATTTTTATTTTTATTTATTTATTATTTATTTATTTATTTATTTATTTATTTATTTTGAGATGGAGTCTCGCTCTGTCCCCCAGGCTGGAGTGCAGTGGCGCAATCTCCACTGCAAACTCCGACTCCCGGGTTCAAGTGATTTTCCTGCCTCAGCCTCCCGAGTAGCTGGGATTATTAGCATGTACCACCATGCCTGGCTAATTTTTGTATTTTTAGTAGAGACAGGGTTTCACCCTGTTGGTCAGGCTGATCTCAAACTACTGACTTTAAGTGATCCACCCACCTTGGCCTCCCAAAGCGCTGGGATTACAGGCATGAGCCTTCACACCCAGCCCCAGATTTTAAAAATACTGATTCCCCTTGGTTTCCCATCGTGAATGTGCTCTGACGTGAAGGAGGGCTTTCCAGCCCCTGAAACCCACAGTGGCACAGCAAGATGACCACTGAGTATCATTCTGCCTGCATTCCTCCAGCTGGGCTGGACCCAAGAGGCCAAGATATACTTTCTAAGGTTCACCCCATGCCTTCAAAATGCTTGGCTAGATCGTTCGAAGCTAAGCAATATCCACTCATTCAGAATGTGTATAAATTATAGCCCAATGTGTTAAGACAAGCTTCCCCACCAAAAGCGCCCCTTTAAGTCTAAGCAATTGAACAGATTGTCAAGGAAGCTGACAACTCTGTTCCTCCTCCTCTCTACTCATTTTAAGTATTCTGCACAGCACCGCTTTAAAACTCAAACTTAAATCAACTTGAAAGATTCTTCCCCAAGAACCAGCACATTTTGTCAAAAACCAGATAGATTTAAAAGGAACACACACGCCCACTATCCCTCAAGTAGTACCAGAGCACAGTTGTCTGAGTCTCGGAGTGAGAGACGGGCAGATGGGGGCCAGGGGTGTGTGATAGGCCGGTCACTTCCTTTTCTTCCCACTCCAATAATAAATAATCAATTTCATAAAGTTGATAGAAAGAGGCAAGAGTAGAAAGTACGCGTGGTACATTTCTAAGATGGATTTTTCCTGGGCTTCTTAAGTACGGTGTCTTGATTTTTCTCAGTTGTATTAAACGTATGAGAGAACACCTGTTTCATGTTACCCACCCACAACTCGGCTGTGTGATTAGATGGAGCACACACTATCAAGAACAAAAAATATTTGTGGGAAAGAATGGCTTGACAAGTTAACAAAATTTTTTATGTTCTTTCCAATTCAGAGAGAGAGAGAGAGAGAGAGAGAGAGAGAGAGAAAGGAGCCAAATTGCCAGAGGATAGAAACACTTTGTTTCTACTTGAACTCTCATAAAAGGCTTCTGAATGAGGTTTTTGACATTGGAACGGAGGGTATTTTTATGATGGATATTTTAACCTTTTCCTCAAAAGCTGAGATTTTGCAATCACAACCCACTGTTTCCCAATGATGATGACTTAAGGAGAAGTAGCATTTCTCAGCCCCACAACCTGATGTTTCCACTGAAGCCAAAGGGGTTAAGGATTTGTTACTTGATCTAATGGCAACGACTTTCCAATAGACATGCACAGAATCATTGATCAATGTGCCCTCTCCTTGTTTGCACTGGAACACTGTTCAATTTACACCAATTAAAGAATGCTTGGTTTGGGTATTGAAGAATAATTAAGAGAGGCAAATCCCCAAGGGCTTCTAAAAATGACATCTGACTAGAATGGTGATTATGGCATGAAGGCGGCATTAGTTTTAAATAGTTTGACTGATATACAAAATCATTACAACGTCTCTCCAGGAAGAGTGACATTAGGTCAATGTATGTACTTGCCTGGTCACCCTAAACAAATTTGACAAGTCTAATTTTAAGTAATTGCTCAGAGTTTAGTGGCAGCCTCTGTCCCCACAAGGGCAGCTGTCCAGACCACATCATGTAATTGAGACGTGTCTTTAAACTATATGTGTCACTCCAACATGCGAATGTGCTCTCACAAAAATGTTAAGGGTTAGTGACACTCCAGTGAATTATTTTCCAGTCGAGTTTCAACTTTACTGTAGCTTTTTGAACTTTACTATAGCTATATGAAAACTTTACTGTAGCTATTTGTTAACTTATCAACAAATTCTACCTCATCCCCCTATAGGAAAGATTGGGTTTTCTAGCTAGATCGAGCTCTAGAGTTCATCCAGGAATCATTTCAAGGTGTGATCCCTGGACCAGCAGCCTCGGCAGTACTTGGGCAGTGGGTAGAAAGGCAAATTCCCTGGCCCCACCCCAGGCCTGCTGAATCAGCAGTTCTGCAGATGAGGTCCCACAGTGATGCTTTAAAAAGTGCTCCCAGTAACTCTGAAGCCCACAGATTCACTATCTGGGTGATTAAATGGATGCCCAAAAGTTTAGGTAATTTGCCTGAACCATGCAGCTCACTTGAGAGTGGAGGCTGGGGCTGATCATGTCGTGTTCAAAATGTTTAATTCCTGAACCTTGGTCCAACTTTTATCTGAAATGCTCATCTTAGATTTGTATTGCAATAAAACTCCAGCCAACTAAGTACGACTGATTTTTATTATTCAGTTAAAGTCTTGAAAATATTTTGCTCGTCTGTTTCTTATTTAACTCCCTGGGTATCCCTGAGAAGGTGTGCAGCATCCGGACTGGTGGCTGGCTGGTTGTCTTCTTTCTCCTGGTCATCAGAGGCTGAGCCTGCGTGCAGGTGTAGTCATTGGATTAGTTGTAAGAGGAAGTATCTCCAGAGCCAGCGATTTGATGACCAGTGTGAGAGCCTCAAGAGGCCCCCTCTTCAGTCCTTGGAGATCTCTATGCATATGTAGAGAGTGGTCCTCCCTTGCTCCAAGGGGCTCCTGCACGACACTGATGAGCAGGGCCCCTGCTGCCCCTTACTGGACATAGAGTGAGAGTGACAGACTTTGGTATATGAAGCCACTGATATTTGGGGAATGTTTGTTACCACTTTACAACCTGGCACATCACAGGATCCTTTGGGACCTCTAGACCATCCCTTTGCACCATTAAAAGTAGGCAATGGGTAGGACAGAAGGTAGGTGGGAAAAAAAACACTTCCCTATGTAGAATACAACTGAAGAGAATGGTATTTCCAAGAGGACAGAAGAAAGTGAACTAAATTTGAGTTACTAACCAAAAGACTTCTAATTTAATTTTCTTTTTTTCATCATCACTGTATCTTTTGCCACCTACCCCAGCCTGACATTCCTTGAGCCACATAGAGCCCGTATTTACCTAACTACAAGTGAGTGAATCAAATCAAAACTGAAAAATAAGAGTGGTCTCATTTGCAGGCTGCACAAGTTCGCCGTTTCCAGTGCCCTGCCAAGCAGCTCAGCCATACAACTAAAGTGTATGAAAAAGGCTTCTTTCCTACTTGCCCAGGCTCCCAACAGATGGAGAAAGTCTATCTTAGATGCCTGTCCCCCTCCCTCTTCCTACTCTCCTTTTCTTCCTGAGCACCCTCACCACCCAGGTGAGCCTGTGGAACCAGCACACCCCCTCTCACCCCCTTTCCTCTCCATCTCTCTCCCTCCGTCCCTCTCTCGGCAGTGATGCTGAGTCGTTCAGCCATTTCATCCCTGGGCTCTCTGTGCAGGGCGAGGGGTAAAATGTGCCTCTGAATGGGGAGGAGTAGACAGAGTGGATTAATGGCAGCAACAGAAGAGTGATACAGCCGAGCAGAACAAAACGAGGGCGACCCGGACAAAACAAAGCGCCACAATAGATCATTTCTGAAAAGTCATCCGGGCAGCTTTGAAACCCAGGGTTGTGTGTTCCAGCGCAGTGTCACATCCACCGGCTTTCAAGAGACATGAATGGAAACGGAACAGTAACTCTTTTTCATGCCTCTTTTCAGGGGTCTTGTCAGCAGAGAAGGATTTACCATTCAATTCCCATACTTTTATGTGGGAAATTAGGAATTTGCCCCTTAAAAAGAAATTGCCTTTTAAACTCATAAATTGTGGCGATTTTATAGATTTACCAAAACTTCTTCCTCCTTTTCCTCTTTCCACTTATATTTCATTTTTAAAAATACTCATAAACACCAATATGCACATACATATACACAATTTCTATCTTCTCCACTTTTCTCAGGAATCTTCTATTCAGAAAATCTTCAGCCAAAGAGCTATTTCATCTTTCTGCTTGATAAAGTACTTGGTTTCTGTCCTTAATGATTTCATTTTACCACATTTCATCATACATCCAACTTCTTTTCAGAATGAAGAGACATACACTAGAAATTATTTATCACTGTGTATCGGAAAGATTGGCATGTGTTGGGCTAAGGTGGTGAAAAGGTCAGAGGCAAAATAAAATAGGACCCTCATTCATTTACTGGTCAGCAGGAGTTAACTAAGTAGTCACTGGTGAAACTTCCTCTGACTAGCCCTGAATACATCCTACTTTTGAATTGTCTAATAAAAATAATCAGGTTTTACTAGAAGAGAGCTGGATAAAACGTCCCCAGCTGGAATGGACGGGCCCGTAGTTTTCCCGTGGACAGCACATATCTGGCCTCTTTCTTCTCAGAAGCGCGCAGTGTTTTGCCATGTTAATCTCATTAACCTTCCCTATCAGTTTCAACGGGACAGAAATGAAGACTTGAGAACGTAGAGTTCCTGGCCGGAGGAGTCAAGCTTTGGCTCGGAGCCAGTACATTTGATCTGACTCCCCAGGCCTCTTCCAGGGGCTTTTTTTGGAGCAGAGGAAGAAAGCACAAACAAGGGAACCTTGCCATAGGAAACCCAGCCATGTGTGATTCCTCGCTGCCCTCTTCCCTCCTCCTGCCCCCAGGAGAGTCCCCATTGCCCTAGAAGGGAGCAGAGCGCAGCTGAGCTGACGGCGGGCCATTCTCCAAGGGCGGTCAAGCATGCCCATATCCCCCGGCCCATTCCCTCCGAGAAGCCTTTGGGGCAGGCAAGAGATAGAAAGGAGGGAGAGGGCAGGGGGAGGGAAGAGAAAAGAAGGTTTTCCTCCTCAGCAGGTCTGTAAGGCGAGACTGGGGAACGCTAACCATTTCCTGATGTGCAAACGCAGAAACTTGGACTTCTTTTCTTGTTAGATTTCTTAGATATGCAAAAACCTAACCCAACAAAAGCAAGTCTCGAAATAGATTTAACTTGGATCGGTTCAGACCCTGGTGTCACTTCTCTGACCAAAAAAAAAAAAAAAAAAAGATAAAAAATCAATTTCCTATTTCTAATGGCAATATTTAAAACCTCAGAAAGAAAACCCCAATACTAACTGTATCAAACTCCGCAAATCTGGGAACAGTGTCATTTCCTTCCCTGTCAATAGTTACGTCAAAAAGAGTCAGGATGTTGCTCTTTAAGAAGCAAATCCCCATTAGGAATTAGTATTTGAAGGAACGGTGGTTCTCAAACACGGACCTCACTTGCTTCAATAACAGAGGCAGCTTTAATGATCTGGGAAGGTTTACTTTATAATTAAAATATTTAACTATATTTCATTTAAATGTATATTTAAACTATAATTAAGTATATATTCAAATTACATTTAAATATTTAATTTAATATTAAAATATTTTCAATTCCTTCTTTGCTATCTCTAAATGAAGAGTAAAAATTCCAAAGACCAGGCTGCTCACAAGCTTTCTAAAGCCCCATGGCAACAACTCTTACTTGCCCCAGAAAGAGCAGTGCCCAGTGCCTCTGGGGAGATGTCCTTTTCAACAGCCTCACCCACAACCAAAAACTACAAATGCTGACAAGATGACAGCACCGCTAACCTCTAAACCAGCGATTCCCAGCCTGTTTGGAATTAGGGCAGCATATTGCTTAAGAAACTCTCTTCCTACTTAACTCTTCAGAAAAACTGGCTTACACTTATTTTTTAAAACTTAAATTGCTTTCAAATATTATTATGTGATTAGAAAAATGTTTTCTGTGATTTTTCTTAAAACCTGTTCCAGCCTCCACTGCCAAGACCAGTATGGCCTGTGACAACTATATAAACTTACTTTTTCCTTGTCCTTTCTCCATCAAGCAGTGAAAGTTATCCTAAAATAATTTAGTGAATTATCCCACCTCCCACCTCCATTGCTGGCTTAAAACTCTTCCACCAGGGAGCTTCCTGATGCATTGAGGGTAACACTAAGACCTGGCTCCCATCTACATTGCCAGTCCTCTGTGGTGCTTCTCTCTCCTCTTCATTCTTGCGTTCAGTTCCTTGGGCTCAACTTCTTTGCTCCAGGACCTTTGCACATGCTCCCCTCTGCTTGGACTGGTGTACTCCCATTCCTGGCATCCCTGGCTTCTTCTCTTCCATTAGGGCTCAACTAAAACACCACCTCTTCACAGGGGCTTGCCCTGACTGTGCTATCTAAAGTAGCCTTCTCTCCCCCATTCATATCTATCCCAGCCCAAGTTTTTGTCCTTTGCAACACATATTCCAGTCTATAGATGTTTTAGTTTTATGTGTGTCTACTTGTTTCTGTCTGCCTCTTCTTACTAGAATGTAGGCTCCATGAGAGAGGAACATGGCTTTTCTGTTTACCATCACCAGCAACTTGCATATTGCCTGGTACAGAGTCGATGCACCATAAATATTTGTGGGAGAAAGGAAAGAAGACAAAATATTGACTTGAAGTCAATGTTCTACTTTCCAGCCTGGATCTATTCTGCATTATTCAG
The DNA here is from genome assembly GCF_000001405.40 of Homo sapiens. NCBI lineage: Eukaryota > Metazoa > Chordata > Mammalia > Primates > Hominidae > Homo > Homo sapiens. The sequence continues at coordinate 104,792,252 of NC_000002.12, forward strand.
GGTCAAACCTAAGCTTTTATATTAAACAGACCCCAAAATAGAGTAGCTCATAAGGTGGAATTGATTTTTCTTTTTTTCTTTTCTTTTTTTTTTTTTATTTTTTATTTTTTTTGAGATGGAGTCTTGCTCTGTTGCCCAGGCTGGAGTGCAACAGCACGATTTTGGCTCACTGTAACCTCCGCCTTCCAGGTTCAAGCAATTCTCCTGCCTCAGCCTCCAAAATAGCTGGGATTACAGGTGCCTGCTACCATGCCCAGCTAATTTTTGTATTTTTAGTAGAGATGAGGTTTCACCATGCTAGCCAGGGGGGTCTTGAACTCCTGACCTCAAGTGACCCACCCACCTCAGCCTCCCAAAGTGCTGGGATTACGGGGTGAGCCACCGTGCCCAGCCCGAATTGATTTTTCTTTCACATATATTGTGGAGTTGTTTGTTTTAGGCTGGGAGGACGTTCTGTCACACATAATAATTAAGAGATCTAGATTATTTCTCTTGCTCCTCTATCCTGCAGGGCAGTACTCATCTGCTTGGTAGAATGGGATTACCAGCACATCAGGTGCCCACCTATTGGAGGGGAGAAAGAGGGCACGTCCAAGAAGAGTGATTTCCATTTAAGATGGGAAACCGGAGTTGCACATATCGCCTATGCCCACATTACAAAAGCAATAATTTAGTCTGCAAGGGAGGCTGGGAAGTATAGTCTCTAGCCGAATGGCTTCATACCCAGGAAGAAAGGAAAGATGGATTTGGAAGGATGGATTTGGAGGAAACTAGCCATCTGCCACATGTTCCTAGACTTCTCTCTGGGTATAAAACATTCTGTGACCTGCCGTGGAGTAGTGGAGCCTGTGCATAGACTCTGTCCTTAACTAGACAGGGAAGACCTCCACCCAGGATCCCTCTACCACACTGCAGAGCTCATGGGAGCCAGAAAGGCAGCATAACTTAAGGGTGGCAAATGGCTGCAGCCACACTGAATACTGAGACTCCAACTACTCCACCTTTCCCTACCTCTCTTAGCTCTAAGCTTAGAAAATATCCAGATGCATTTTTGTCTTAGCACCTAAATTCTCCCAGTCAGTTCTTCACTTACAGCGTAAGAAGAACATGCAAAATGCAATTGCCCAGAGTGCCAGTGATTTTCATTTGTAAGGAAGAAAATAGATAGGCAGACCTCTTCTCTATCCCCAAAACAATCCCAGCTCAGTGGTTTCCTTCCAGGTGATCTTCAGCAGATTACTGAACGTCCTTAAGACTCAGTTTGCTCACTTCCAAAATGGGAGCCAAAATACATTTGTCATATGGTTATTAAAATGTAAAGTCATGAATGCATGTAAAGTTCTTTGTTTTTTAAAAAGAAATGCACGGCCAGGCTTGGTGACTCATGCCTGTAATCCCAGCACTTTGGGAGGCCAAGGCAGGAGAATTGCTTGAGGACAAGAGTTCAAGACCAGCCTCAGCAACATAATGAGACCCCATCTCTACAAAAAATAAAAATAAAAAAATTAGTTGGGTGTGGTGGCTTGAAACTGTGGTCCTAGCTACTTGGGCAGGAGGCTGAGGTGGGAAGATCACTTCAGGCCAGGAGTCTGAGACTGCAGTGAGCTATGATCGCTCTGCTGCACTCCAGGCTGGGTGTTAGAGTGAGACCCTGTCTCTAAATAAATAAATAAGTAAATAGAAATACCTGACAGATACATATTTTCTTACAACTAGTGGCTTTTCTTTTGCCAATTTCCAGCCAGGTAAACTATCTCTCTTCCTCAAACTAATCAAATTCCTCCGCACTATATTAAATTCCCCTGTTGCCTAAAGTCTTCTCGGAAGTAGTCCAATAGTCCTTGTCTGTCTCTCTTTTCTCAGTTCCTGTCCCATGAGTGTTCACATATTTATGCAATGTCTTGGGCTATCCTCTGATTGTGTCATAAGTATTTATCTCATTGCCAAGACTGCACGCTTTGTGAAAGTAGTAGGAATCATGTTGGTGGGTCTGGTAGCTCCTAGCATCTAACACAATGGGCGCTACATCATAACCATGCAACAGACACCCTGTTGAGTTATTGAAATGGAGACATCAGCAAATTAAAGTTAAGTCTATATGATCCTAGAGAAACAAATTAATTCAGCAGATTATTCCCAAATATTGGTTGATTCGAGATTTCTTTTTTTAAATAGTTAAATCTGCTGCTTATCTGAACTGAATGACTAACTTACTATCCCTGTGTAGAAGAAGCTGAAAATGTTGCCTAAAATTATGTTACACACGGGGACTTCTGGTAACTCATGATACTGCCTTCTGGGTGGTGTTTATTCTATGCCACAAACACCTGAATTACTGAAATTGAAATCCATCCAGGTTCTCTGTTTGGGGTTCCAGCACTTTGTGGACTGGCACATGTGTCTGACAAAAATCCGGGGAATGCTTGGCCTTTCATTCCTCTGAGAATTATGCCATTTTCCAAGAAAAGCTAAATAGCTCATTCATGTTTCACCCTCTGTTCTTCCAGGCTGGTTTCCTGAGGATATTTTTTAGCCAGACTGGTGTGTTTTCTTTTTTTCTTTTTTTTTTTTTAAATAGGCTGCTATACATTGAGAATTTTCAACTTAAACTGATACTGAATGATTCTTAAGTGCATAGTTAAATGACGAATATTATTCTTATTTCTTCGATTACAGATGAAAACAATATACACATTCGTGGTGTCCACTCAGTGACATGTGTTGACAAATTCCCCCAGAGTATAACTCAAATGCACGTGAAATTTCTCAGTACTGCTTCCGAGGGGAGCTAACTAATAAGTACCATCAGGTAACAAAACTGTTATTTTTTCTTTCTGCGTCACTTTTATCATCAAGAGAAGTGAGGAATTTCACATTTCAAGGGCTTTTTGCTCAGGAAATTCTAGTTTGGCCTTAACACAGATTGATGTCTCTAGGGGGGAAGTAATGGAGTAACCTGAAAAACTTGAACAGAGGAGCAAAACTCCTTGACCGGATGTCATCCATCTGGGGCTTCCAGAAGGAAACTGATAAGTCTATATACCACCCGCTAACACGGAGCAAGCTCTAGACCATCTGAATCCTCTTTTCAAAAGGAGGAGACGCATGAACTGCAGAGCTCTGAGCCCAGGTTCACTCCCCAAAGCTAAGCAATAAGCTTAAATGCAGACAAGGAAAATACTGGGTTTGGCTTACCTAGCTGGTTCAGGCCAGTGTGAACTGGACAGGGGAAAGAGCCCAAGAATTTCTAAAAGTTACTTAGAAAACAAAAAGGCACGAGTCAACTGAGGTGGCCTGGTGATACACAGATATGTGTCTCCCAAAGTTAAAGGGAAAGGCCCCCCACTTCTTTGAAATGATGAAACCAGTGAAGGCTTCAGAGAAGAGGACACTTGAACTGGGTCTTTACTCACAGCCAAATAAGAGCACGAGGTGGACTAGGAATGTACAGGTGGCCCCGTGAGCACAGAGCAAGTGCTGGGCTGACAGGGGCAGGAGAGAGAGCTGGGTGGGAAGGGTCTCGGGAAACATGTGAATGTGCTGGGACACCACCTTGTATAGACTGCTGTGAGTTTGTTGAACTAGGCTGTGGATAAATAGGTCTTTGTCTCCCCTCACACTACATGAGGAGCTGAGGATTCACCAAGCATCACAGAACATGGTTGCTGCCTTCAGGGCGCAGGCAATGGAGGTTCCCTTGCTTTAGAACGTACAATGATGGTGAATTGTGTGGCTTATCAGCAAGTAATTGAGCCACAGGACAGCAATGCAACCTGATGCTAGATGACACTTAGTCCAATCGTGGCAGGTAAGAACAAGTAATATTACTGCTGAACTGGGGGAGGGGGGACGAAATGACATCTTTCCGTCGCATTTATCATGGTCTAAGCTACTGTGGCAGTCAGCATCCCTGTGGGAAACAGACGGCTAATTCATATGGTAAACTGGGGTGACACTAATGAAGGATCTGTTTACAGAGGTGGAGTGAGGGTTAAGAACACCAAAACGATGGTGAGCAGTTATGACTCCTAAGCTTGAAGTACCACTGTTAAGGGCCAATTCCCTCAATTGTGGAGATGGAAAGGAACTGGCCCTTCCCAGTGGCACTTCTCCACAATTGGAGAGGGCTGACTTCCTCCACAGGGAAGGGCTGATTCCCACCTTTGGGGAGGGCAAATTTCCACCATTAGGAAATGCTGATTCCCACCATTAAGGAAAACTGACTCTGACCACAAAGGAGGGTTGATTCCCTAAATTGTGGAAGACTCATTCCCTCCATTGGGGAGACCTGATTCTCTCCACTGGCGAGGGCTGATTCCCACCACTGGGGAGAGCTGATTCCCACCATTAGGGAGAGCTGATTCCCACCATTAGGGAGAGCTGATTCCCACCATTAGGGAGGACTGATTCCCACCATTAGGGAGGACTGATTCCCACCACTGGGGAGGGTAAATACCCACCATTAGGGAGAGCTGATTCCCAGTACTGGGGAGAACTGATTCCTACCATAAGGGAGAGCTGATTCCCAACACTGGGGAGGACTAAGTCCCACTATTAAGGAAGACCGATTCCCATCATTGCAGAGGACTTATTCCCAACTCTGGAGAGGGCTGATTCCCACCATTAGGGAGGGCTGACTCTCAACATTGGGGAGGACTGATACGCAACATTTGGGGAGAGCTAATTCCCAACATTAGGGAGGGCTGATTCCCAACACTGGGCAAGGCTGATTCCCACCGTTAGGGAGGACTGATTCCCAACACTGGGGCGCTCTGATTCTCAATATTGGAGTGGGCTGAGTCCCTCCCAAAAAGAAGGCAATTGTGTTACCCTCAGGCCATCAGGAGGGACAGAGGCATCGAGACGCTGAGCTCACTGTTGTACTCTTCAGTCTCAGGTTACTGACCCAGGTGGATTCTGAAAGGCAAGGAAACCATTGATGCCCTCTTTAATGACCTATGCCCCACAGGTTCTCTACAAAGCAGGGCAGAAAAGGGTATGGAGGAGGTATGGGGAGGCAAATGGAAAACGGCCCACCCACAAGCTGTGTACTTTACTTTTAGATGTTCATTGACTACCTTCCCCTATTAGAAAATGAGATTCTGGAGGACAGCGATTTAGCCAGTTTCATTCCCTGCTGTGTCCCAAGTATCTGCAAGCCGTGAGCATGCAAAGGATATTCATTGAAAGACTGAAGAGGAGCAAAGAAGAAAACTGTTTGCCCAATATTTAACAGGAATTAAGTAATAAGAGACTAGCAGTATTTTTTATAATGAAAATATTTCTGAATGGAATGTTTCCCTATGGTATACTGGGTCTTATTTTGGCCATTCTGCCCAAAGCAATATAGCCAAGATATATAAGAAGGAAAATATAACGGGGTACCAAATTTGCTGAAAAGATTATGTTTATGCTTTGCTCGGAGTGAAGAAATGTTGAGACTGAAGTATTTAAAATTGCCTCTTAAAAAAATACAAGACATACATCTTTCTCCCAACTTTTCAGACCTGTGGTCTAAGAATGAGGGATGGTTGCCAGGATTACTAAACAAACTGTGTTCAACGGGAGAAAGATGTCAGGTTGTGGGATTTTCTGCCAGGAGAGGTTTTAGAGACCAACACTGTCTGGATTTGATGACAGGTAATGACATTAACTAATTACAAAACTAATCACATTTGGAGCAGTGGAAGCTGAGATCATGATAAGTGTAATCAAATCCCTGACTTCAGGGCTTTGGGAATCGGAGGATAAGCTTTCTTCTATTGCAAAGCTTGACCAGATGACTTTCAGGGCTGTTGTTCTGAATATTTTGGAAGCTGTAGATACCAATGGAAGTCTGAACAAGGGCACTGAATTGCAGCATTCCGTGGCCTGACTGGCAGTCAGCGAGGGGACTGCACTATAGGGACTCTGTGTGGGTCCCTACTGGCTGAAGATGAGTCCTGACCACTCCGTTGTCAGGAGTTCCATCAAGGTACATTCCTGGCCCCATTTTTTCCCCCTAAAAGCCTGAAGACCTGTACCTCCACACCCATATCTCTGGTTGGGTTGCCTTGAATTAACTACAATCCGCAAGAGGCTCCGTTTCTTCCTCTACAAGTAGAGAGAAAAATATCTTTCCCATTTGCCTCAACACATGGATGTAAGAATCCGGTGAAATGTAGTTTACTTTCCATACTATAAACCTCTCTAAATAGAAAACTTATTGTGAGTCTTAAGCCAAAGTAAAGGCCCAAGCGCCTACATTACGAGTCCCTCAATCACCAAAAAGGTAGGAAACTATTCCAGTTAAGAAGCTGGCTACCTTCTAAAGGTCAGTTCCTCTGCCATGTTGTCCCCTCTTCCTTCTTGTTGACTCTGGCCTCCTGGGAGGAGAGGGATGAGGTCCAGCTCCTTCAAAGCCTTTCCAGCCCTTTAAGGAGACAATAGGGCATGGAGCTGTGCTGTGGAAATGCCCTGGTCATTCTTCCCATCTACTCACATTCCTTCAGCCCCTGGTGTAAAACTTGAAAGGAAATAAAATCCTAAATGTAAACACTATCTTTCAGTCACTTGGAAAATTATCTACCTCTCCTTTCTCTCTCTTACGAATTCACTCACCCTCAATTAAAGCTGTCCTTTGAGTTCAGTCTCACTTTTCAGAAACCAAGCAATCACTTAAGAAAGAGAAAAATATTAAGAGATCCAGATTTCAATTAACTTTGCCATTGATTTTTGTGTAATTCTGGGGGAGGCATCATTCTTCTGGCAAAGTGGGGGCAAAGAACTCAAAGATTAATGAAGGTTCTAATGACAGCAGTGGGCAAGGACTGAGACATTTGCAATCCTGTCCCCCAGGCCCTGCTGAAAAGCAGAGGCAAAACTAGGAGGAAATGGCCTGGAAGTGAGGCCTGTGAATAGCCCACGACAATATCTGCTATTCAGGTGGAAAGCCTTCTGTGGTCAGTGGATACAGTGTTTTCTTTCTTTCTCTCTCTCTCTCTTTTTTGTTTTTGTTTTTTGAGATGGAGTTTTGCTTTTGTTGCCCAGGCTGGAGTGCAATGGCACAATCTAGGCTCACTGCAACTTCTGCCTCCCAGGTACAAGCGATTCTCCTGTCTCAGTGTCCCAAGTAGCTTGGATTACAGGCATGCGCCACCAAGCCCAGCTAACTTTTTGTATTTAGTAGAGACGGGGTTTCACCATGTTAGTCAGGCTGGTTGTGAACTCCTGACTTCAGGTGATCCACCCGCCTCAGCCTCTGAAAGTGCTGGGATTACAGGCATGCGCCACCGTGCCCAGTTGAACACAGTGTTTTCTTGTACTTTTTCATTTTAATGTAATTTGTGTATTTGGTGATTCACATAATTGTGCCTGGGTTTTTTTTTAAAGTGATCAATAAAATACATATATCCAACCTTGCCTTTTTAAAAGCTGCAATTATTTCATAATTTTGAATATATATTGATCATAACCAGGAACCAGTAGGTTAGCACAAAAGAGCACGCATGTACACATACATACACACCGCATAAATACAATAGAGGAAACCACTGATACAGATATAATTTTTAATGTGTTATGTCACTGGATGTCTATCAGAGGAAAAATTCTCTGTGAAAATAGATTTAAAACAACAGGCAGTTTAATCAGATAAGTACACAGCATTCATCTTTGTCTCCTAGCAATATGATTGCAGCATAATGAATGAAGGGTGGGAGCTCATCAGAATATGTCTCTTCTGAGCAATAAAGTGAAACCAACTGTCATCGAGCATCCTTTCCTGTGATGGGAGCTGGAGCAGGATCTGCTGCTGTGATCATCATCATCATCATCAATAGCTAAACTATTAGACTTGAACAAAGAAATAAATGATGCAATTTGGGATTTTATGTTGAAAGGTTTATTCCAACTTTACGCAATGCCCTAATGGGGAATTTAGCGTTGCGACGCAACTCGCCAACTTTTGGAAGCCCCTGCTAGGGTAGAGCAAGGGTTCCCTTCTGTGGGGAGTCAGTGAAGAGAAACTACCTTTCAAGGAAGTGTAAAGGGAGTGAACTGGAGCAAACGTCCTCCTCTCAAACCAAATGCAAAGAGTGAGGCTATTCAATTACAAGGCAGCCTAGGTAAAGCTATAGAATGCACTTGTTGCTTGCTGCTTTTGTGCAAAAAAAAAAAAATGTTAGATTTGTGTCTGGCTCTGCAGCTCAGTCAGAGTAAGGCTGATGGCCGCTGTCTCACAGGGAACAAGAGGGTTGGTGAGAGAACCTGAGGGCGCCAGCACACCCAGTGGCCCATGTGAATGCCCATGCATTTGTTGACTGCCTGCTATGAGCCAGCCCTGTTGAGGGCTTTACCCCTCACATGACCTTGTGACCCTGTGAGGCAGGTCCCGTTATTCCCTCCATTTTCCAGACAATGCAGAGAGACATGAAATGGGTTATTGGGTTTTAAAGACACATTCAAAGCCACACAGCCAGTACTGAGAGTACCAGGTAACCACTATGTAGCTGCTCGAAGGAATTGAATTATTTGAATGAAAAATCAGAGAAGTGGTGGGCTGAAGAGAAGACAGGAAATGATTTGGCTTAGTTGTAATCATCTCCAAAATAAAAACTGATTTGCCCAGCTCCCCCTCCATCTCAGCAGTGTTCAGCAACATTTCCATGGGTGCCACCGACAGACAAGTGTCCTCTCCCTGCCCTGCCTTCCAGAATCTCTTTCTACCACCACACCTCCAGAAGCTACCTGCATGGTAAAACCAGTCCCAGGACTGACACATGCCTCATAGATTGCTGAGAGAATGGGGGCCAGGAATGGAGGTCAGCCAAGACCCTGGAACTGTGAACCCAGCAGCTACACCCCATCACCCGGTCCTCAGGCACTGGTTCTCCCAAACTGCGTTGGACACCCTCTTGTTCCACCCATGTAGCCCTTGCCCTGGTGTCTGGAGATCAAGGACAAGGCTCTTTCTCTCTTGAGACCCCACTATCATGACCATCACTTCCCTGCAGACTTGCCTACTGCCCTGGGTGTGTGCTCTCAAGTGCTTAGCTGGGCTCTGAGGCCTCTTTGCTCCCCTAAGGACTGGGGCTGTTACAAAACAAAACAATGTCTTGGGTAAGGCTTGCCTATGGATGACTATAGCAGAAACCCCAACAACAATGGCTTGACCAATAACATTTATTACAGGACATAAAAATATCTGATGCAGTGATCAAAGACACAAGTAAGGAGCCAGGCTCTTTCCATCTTTCAATCAGGTCAACTGTGCCCTGACCGTTGCCTGCCTCGGGAGCAAGAAGGAGCTGGACCTGGAAGAGCAGCCATGATGGACTGTGGCCTGCGGTTCATGGGGTGTACTATTGTAGGCATCTGAGCACCCCAATTTGTAGGGCAGTTGGGAAAGGGAGCTTTTGGCTTTCCAGCCTCCACAGCAGGAGGCTAGTTAGAGTGGGGATATCTAAATGCCAGTTAGAATGGGGATTGCAGAGGGGATTGAGGGAGTCAACCTAAAGAATATGTCACACTCAGGAGAAGACTCGTTTTCCACATCGTTTCCCTCCCTGAAGCCCCAAGCAGGCAGTGGCCAGTTGCTTGAATAAGGAAGAGATGAAAAGAAATACTGAGTGGTAAAAAGGCAGATAATGCTCATACAATATTATCCCACCTCATGGGTTGAAGAACACTGTCTGGGTAGGCGGCCCAGAGAGAGCTCACAAGCTGTGTGTGGATACACCACAGAACCAGACTGGGAGTAAGACACCAAGACCCCCAATTCCAACCCCTGCCACTCACTCATGGGCAGCATGACCTATACCAAGGGCCTGTGTTTTTCCATTCCGACCCTGGCTTGGCCTAAGAGACCCAACAGGCACTTGGTGAATACGTGCCAAGCCAATGAAGCTCCCATGTTTGTGAATGGAAGAGGCTGGGCCAGAACACTGCAGGGCCTTGCTTCCCTGACATAAATGACTCCAGGAGGCCTAGTCGCCGAGCAGAACCACAGAGGACCAGCCATTCTGTAAAAACTGTGTGCTACTCAGCTCCTTAAGGGGCTCCAGAAGGGTCAGTTCCAGGCTTGGTTCAACTACAGAGATCCAAGGTGCCCTCCAACCCCTTGAGCTCCACGTTCATTCTGGCTGCTAACTGGTGTGGCAGAAAGTCTGACCTGCTGAGCCCATCTCTTTATGTGTAAAATGAAGACAATAATGCCTACCTCACAGGGCTGTGTGAAGATGAGAGATGATGGATGCCTGCCCAGCCAGGCCTTTTAAGCCTGCAGTATTGACTCTTCTCACAGAAGACCCTGGGGACTTGGACTGGACCAAGAACAGAATCCAAATCAGTGCTGACTGCTAGAGATGTGAAAGGGAACGTTCGTTCACACCTGGGTAAATCTACCTCCAGAAGCTGCTCCGGAAGTTGGTTTTTTATGGGGAAGTGTTGGTGGTAGGCAGGGTTGGCTGAGAATGCTCCCCAGGCTGGTATGGCTGATTGGTACCAAACTGTGGGAATCACCTACTGATCTCAATTCAGCCTAAAACTGTGGATGTTGATGTGCCCTGATGTGGCTTGGCATTTTCATCTTTTACCTACAATGTTAGCATTTGCAAATAGATTGACCCTTTTAGGCCCTTTGAGTACCTTTAAGACTATGTGCTTCTATATAGGCATCTATACCAAAGTATAAAAGAGCATTTTTAATCGACACTCAGCGTAGAGCAACTAAAAATGATGTGTTTGCCAAAAATAAATAAAATAAAATAAAATAAAGTCCATCTCTGGCAACATTCTTGAAGTCAAAGTCCTGTGTGTTTGAGCAGACCATACCTGAAGTTTTGGTGTATTCTGTGAGCTGCCTTGTAAGGTGAGAGGAAGGCAAACTACAGCTTGTCCAGAGGAGGGGGCTGGTGTGGCCACCAGCCACAAAAAGAAAACTCCTCCACAAAGCCAAGTTGAAAAAAATAGGACTGTTTTGCCTGGAAAAAAAAAAACAGATAAAGACAATCTTCAAATATTTGGAGAGAGCTTTCATGTATAAGAATGAGCCTTATTTTATGTACATCAAGAAGGAAAGCTACACCTGTAATCCCAGCACTATGGGAGGCCAAGGTGGGCAGATCACTTGAGGTCAGGAGTTCGTGATCAGCCTGGCAAACATGGTGAAACCCCGTCTCTACTAAAAATACAAAAATTAGCTGGTCATGGTGGTGTGCGCCTGTAATCCCAGCTACTAGGGAGGCTGAGGCTGGAGAATCACTTGAGCCTGGGAAGCGGAGGTTGCAGTGAGCTGAGATCACATCACTGCATTCCAGCCTGGGCAACAGAGCAAGACTCTATCTCAAAAAAAAAAAAAAAAGAAGGAAAACTAGTGCCAATCATAGAGCTACAAGAAGACAGGTTTTTACTCCAGTGGGAGACAGAAGTGCAGCCCTGAGGGGCAGCAGGATCCACAAGCTAGCAGTATTCACGACCTTAGGATGAGAGCCTGTTGAAGACATCATATCCCACTGCCTTGTGGAGTTGTGGTGCCAACTAAGGAGACCATTGTCTCAGACCCCTCTGCCAGCTACCTCTCAGGTGCCAACTCAGCCACACTGCCCAGGGTCATTGACTAATTGTTCACCAGAGCTGCCTTGCAATAGACTGTAGAGCACAAGATCCAGTGGAGCCTCTCCTTGGGTACCTTGCCTGGCTTCTCTTCTCCCACCCTGGGGCTTCTCTGTTGCCCCTGAAGCATGAGATATCCCAGCAAAATTCAGTGCACAACCATGCTCATCCCAGAGGTAAGAGGAGGAAATAAAGGAGGATTAATAACCCATGGCAAAAGCCACTTACCAATCAATCAGAGGCTGAAGCTGGCAAACAAATTCTTTTCCCTTCTTCACTCTCCCTCCACCCAATCAGTCTGTCCTGAGACTTAGTCACTCATGCTCTGGGAGGATGGTCCCTGTATTAGTTTCCTGTAGCTGCTGTAACAAATTACCAGTAACTTGGTGGTTAAAAACAATAGAAATGTATTATCTTATGGTTCTGGAGGCTAGAAGTGTGAAATCAGTATCACTGGGCTCACAGCAAGGCATTGGCGGGGGGTGTGCTCCCTCCAGAGGCTCTAGGGGAGAATTCCTTCCTTGCCTACTCTGGCCTCTGGTGGCTGTGGCTTGGCTTATGACCACATCACTCAGATCTCTGTCTCCTTGATCACACTACCCTCTCCTCTTCTGTGTATGAAACCTGCCTTTGCGTCCTTCTTGCAAGGACATTTGTGTTGGGCTGCATGCACCATTCACCCAGAAAACTCAGGGTAATTTTGCATCTCAAGATCCTAAATGGCATCTGCAAAGTCTTTGCCATATAAGGTAACATTCACAGGTTCCAGGGATTAGGATGTGGATATTTCTTTGGGAGCCAATGTTTAGCTTACCACAGCCTCAGGTGATGGAGCAGTCAGCTACATGTCATTTGATGACAGCTACGTGTCATCACATACATCAATAATACACCCTTGTATTTGCTCCTTGCATTTCAGCCGCACTACCTTTTCTTCCAAACTCCTACTACTCTGGGATGAAACTCTCCACGAAAGAGGCAGCACGTGAGATTTTCCTCAAGCTCTACTTTCTGGGAAACCCAGGGTAATATACTTAAGCCATTAAGAACACTGCACACAGTAATGATAGTCACAGTAATAGTGGTAATACAGTATAGTTTTCAAAGAGGTTTAACTTTCTTCCACAGTATTGCTTAATCATTAAAAAACAGACTTACACACTGAGAGAATGGAGGCCTTCTATTGCAGTGGAATTTTACACTTTGTTGAAAAATCTATTTCCCCTCTACAAAATATTGCCAACATGGTGACAATTTTTTCAGTAGAATACCTGCTAAATGAATAGAATTAGAAAAAGAAGTGTATTCCACAGCAAATGGAAGAAAATTCACTCTGTTAGAGGAAAGTTAAATAAATTAATGTTGACAACTTCCTTACTGACAAAATGTCTTATCTGTAGCAACATTAAGTCCTTCTATGAATATGCCTTTTGTATGATGAAACAAATTATGTTCCTTAAAACAGCAGTGTCCTGGGTCCTAGGAATATCTGAGAAGTAGCATACTGCATGGATGAATCACAGAATTGATACTATCACCTCCAAATTCAGTCGGCAAGGCTGTGACTGCCTTTTGTGGGGGAAACGAGGAGAGTAAAGCAGAACTTTCTACTGCACCTCTCAGAGGTCTTTGCAGGTGACAACTGTATAATGGAAGATTCTGGAAGGTTTTTTTTCATTAGGCAGCTTCATTGGCACCTTTGTTTTAGAGAATCATATGACTTTTAGGTTCACCAATAAATCTGATGAGAACAAGTGATATGGTTTAGCTATGTCCCTACCATAGCCCATTGTAGCTCCCATAATCCCCACGTTTCATAGGAGGGACACATGGTGGGAGGCAACTGAATCATGGGAGCAGTTACTCTCATGCTGTTCTCATGATAGTGAGTGAGTTCTCATGAGATCTGATGGTTTTATAAGGGGCTTTTCCAGCCTTTGCTTAGCACTTTTCTCTCCTGCCACCATGTGAAGAAGGACATGCCTGCTTCACTTTCCACCATGATTGTGAGTTTCCTGAGGTCTCCCCAGCCATGCAGAACTGTGAGTCAATTAAAACTCTTTTCTTTATAAATTACTAAGTCTCGAGTATCTCTTCATAGCAGCGTAAGAACGAACTCATACAACAAGTATCCAGTGACACTGAATGAAAGGAAAATATTGGCAAACTTCCCCTACTAAAAGGGCAAATATCAAAATCAGAAACTTTTAAGTACTTCTCTTACTATGACAAGGCAAATCCAATATTTTGGTGGAAGCTGCTTCCTCTAGGCATCATCTCATCTCAAAAATTACAAGACACATAATTGAATAAATATAATCTGAATGAAGAGCTGTATTGAACAGCATGGTAAAATAAGCCTATATCTGGCACACCCATGTTTAATATATGTCACTTAGCTGGGTAATTCATATTTGAAATTTCTTTGATATGGATTCACTTGGACTTTATGTACAAAATCTTAGCTTTCGCATCTCCCAAGCCTGGATCATTTTCATCTTTTAGTTGCTGGTACAATCTGCTATCAACATTTCAGTATCGCTCATTCTCTTTCCTTTCATGGTATGTGCACTCAAGAGACATGCATATGCACACAATGTAAAACAAGATGTCAGGCAACATTTTGTAGAGCAATAGGATTACTCTCCCTCTCCAAGTTCATATACTTTCTCTTTCTCCATAGCACAAATAAAAGCCAACTCCTTGGACAGCACAGAATAAAACAGAAGAAGAATCTATGGACTTCTGGAGGATTCCAGCCACAGGAGTCTAAGAACAAAACAACTGAAGAGTTACAACTCATCTTTAAACAGTCATCACTCCCTGGAAAATTTCAGCTCTTTTTCTAGCTCATACAGGGCTCTTAAATTATGTTAAATAGCAGATGAATGAGTGAACCAATGAACTAAAGGACTGAACATTTCCAAAACTATAGAAAGACACATGATGTAAAGAAGCATTATGGTATACCGGAAAGAGTAGTGACTTAAAGCCAGGAGAAGTAACTGCCAGCTGTTCTACTGGCTTACTATATGATCTTGGGCATGCTACCTAAATCTCATTTCCTCGCATGCCAAATAGGGATGATAATTTATTCTAAAGTTTTATAGATAGCATCTATACCACAAATATAGTACCTATATGGTTTAGAAAACAATTGGATTCACATTCTCTCACTTGATCCTCCCAACCACCAAATGGTGGGAAAGGATGTTCATCATTTGTCCTGGAAGCAGAAGTCCACAATGTTGACCATAATGCCTTGATGTAGTTAATAAAGGTGCACTCCAAGCTAGGAGTTCCAGATATGTGTACACCTTCTTCTCCAGAGAGCAGGCAGAGAAAAAGATGGCTATAATCAGTGATTTACCCCGAGACAATGGCAGAATCTTATCTCTAACCATGACTTCTTACCTTAAATCATTCTTGCTGCTTGCCATCCATATACCTGCTCTGAATACTCATAAAATTAACTCACAGCCAAAGGCCCTGAGCATTTCTTCAAATTAGTACTACATAAAAATACCTACAAATTTATTTATCAGTATGGAGTAGGTATCGAGTAAATGAACAATGAACTGGATGGAGAACATCAGGAATTGGCAAACTTTTCCCGTCAAGAGCCAGAGAGTAAATATCTTAGGCTTTGTCGGCCATATGGTCTCTTCCACAACTGCTCCATGTTGTGGCGCGAAAGCAGCCATAGATAATACAGAAACAAATAAGTGTGTCTGTGAGCCAATAAAACTTTATTTACAAAAGCAGGCGACAAGTCAGACCTAGCCTGATTGGGCCTTGTTTTCCAACCCTTAGACTGCATCCACTTTGAGAAAAGTCTTGTCAAAAGCATCATTTTAGCGCTTTCTTTTAGAGGCAGGGTCCTGACAACTCTTGATTAACACACACATCCAGGCACTTTGTCTCTCTTCCTCCGTTGTCCTTTGATAAACACCAACTGGCAGAGGGGACATGGAGCATTTTTCCTTCAATTGCAGTGATTCTGAAAGACAAAGCCGGGGCAGAGATTAAAACCAGACCCGAGGTCTTTGTGCCATGCTCGGCATATCAAGTGCCCCTCTTCAAATTGTACTGAGCTAGCGGTATACCTTAATAAAGAAAATAGAGCTATTCTTTCACTTAATAGTCTTTTAGTGAGGGTATGGGGGCCAGGTTTACGAAAGCCCTTATAAAATACTGGCTGAAAGGAAATAATGCTCCTTGGCACCACAGAATCTTTTTCATGTGAAGCTACATGATCACTTTTCATTTTGTTTCTCAAGCACTCCATGGCACCCATCCATGTATTAGGCTAATAACTGCATGAATCTAGTTAAAAGGAGCCAAGCAATTATTTTAATTAGAAGAGAACAAAAATAATGCTCCTGGCTTCTGTTTTAAGGGGCAAGAAGGAAGTAGTCAGGGTTCAAAAAGATCCCACAAAATATTTTTGTGAAAGGAAAAATAATTAAGGCCAAATTTAGAATGTACTTGCAATAAATGGGCCAAATAAAATGAATGGCATCACTGTGCAGCTAGAACCCATTCATAGATAAGAGCCCCAGAAAGTCCGTTTCTACGTGATACCATTTTGAGGGTATAGCCAATTTTACAAAGTGAAAGTGAATGTCTAGCAGAGATTTAATGATCCTTGTGAATCTCTCACATGATTTCCTAAAGAGAGTCTGTGTAAACTCTTTTATTAATAAGAGACAGGGGAAGGATATTGGTCAATTTGCTTTTGGGGCAGGATTTTTTTTCATTTACATTCTTAAATTGCTCAAATTTGTTTCTCTGGAAAAATCTATCTTCACAGCAAATCCTTGTTGCTAATCCATTCTATAAAAAGCGGATTCCACCATAAGAGGATTTTAATCAGCTAGACTGAACTCAGTTGTACAGGAAGAGATTGTATCTACAGATCTTCCTGAGCCTTTGCCTTCCTGCCTCCTTCCTGCCTCCCTTCTGGTCATGGCATTTTGACCATTTTATTCCATCTCAGGCTTCCATAAAGAAATGAAATGAAACTCAAAATAGTCAACTAGTCACCATTCTTCCTTCTGTTTGGATCTATCATTGTTTATTGTGCACCTGTTATCTACCAGCAAACAGGAAGTTATGGTTGTACATAGGTAACTAAAGCCCAGACCTTGCCTGCAAAGAGCTTACGGTCCAGTCTGACAGACAGACACATGGGCAGAAAGGAGAGCCAAGCAGCCCAGCTGGGTGGAGGGCAAGGTTACCTAGCCTGAGCTGGCTGTTAAAGAATGGATTATCCAGAAGGATATGGATAGTCTATTCCAGGGAGAAAGGTCAGCACAGGCAAATGCACAGGCACAGAGAACCACAGGGAGCACACATAGTTGGAACCAGAAGATAGAGCTGCAGGAATGTAAAGCCAAAGACTAGAGTGAGACAGGAGAGCAGACTGAAGAGGTGAGCAAGAGCCAGGTGCTATGGTCTGAATGCTGGTATCCTTCCAAAACTCACGTTGGAACCAAATACCTGACAGGATCGTATTAAGAGGTAGGGCCTTTGGGAAGTGATTCA
This sequence comes from Homo sapiens, assembly GCF_000001405.40. NCBI lineage: Eukaryota > Metazoa > Chordata > Mammalia > Primates > Hominidae > Homo > Homo sapiens. The sequence goes on from NC_000002.12 coordinate 104,809,391, forward strand.
GTCATGGGGGCTCCACCATAATGAGTAGGACTGGTGCCCTTATAAAAGAAGATCCAGGGGGCTTCCTTGCCCCTTCCACCATGTAAGAATGCAGCAACAAGGTGCCATCTATGAAGCCCTACCAGACACCAAATCTGCTGACGCCTGGATCTTGGACTCCCCATCCTCCAGAACTACCAGCGATATATTTCTATTGTTTATAAATTACTCAGTCTAAGATATTTTGTTAAGCAACCTGAATGGACTAAGACATCAGATCATGCAAGAACCTGCACCACATTGATAAACCTGGACTTCATCTTGCAGAGCAATACAGAAATCACCTGGTTTTCAGCAAAGGACTAATGTGGTTAGCTTTCTATTTCAGAGTCAGCATCTGCATGGCTGAGAAGAAGATAAATGGAGAATAGTATCCCATAGACGCCATTGCCCAGGCAAGAGGTGACAAGGCCTTGAACTGGGACAATACTAAGTAGGAAAAGAGAGCTGGGATGAGGAATGATATGCATGCTACTACAGGATATTTTAAAAATAAAAATTAAAAAGTCTTTGGAGCAGTGACAGATAAGGTCAAAAGTCAGAGATTAAATTGGCCTAGAAGATTCTTGGCAGGGATCAGATATTTTATCTGAACACTTGTCATATGTCCAAAAAGGTTTCTCAACTGATGAGCCTTGATTATGGGTTCCAGGATTGAGATGCAGTAACAAATTTCAGCCTTGGGCACATGAACATACTGCTGAGTGCCATATGGAAACTCCTAGAAGATAGTCTAATTCCTATTTACTTTCCCATGCAAAACTCACACAAAACCAGCTTCCTGCTAAAAATCTAAGTTAAAATACACAGAAACATAGAAAGACAGAAAACTGTAGTGAGTCCTTCTCAGGATAAACTACATATATGTTTAATTACTATGTGATATTAGACTCATTTATGTTTTAATTTCTAAAAGACTATATACTTCTCAACTTGTTTTATGAGCCAGTGGAACGTTGATAACACATTTGAGAAAGACATTACAATAAAAGAAAGTTACAGGTAAATTTCACTCATAAACATTTCTATAAAAATTATTTTTGAAAATATGACCAAAGTACATGCAGCAATATGTAAGACAAATATTCCATCACACCCAAGTTGAGTTTAATCCAGAAATGCAAGATTGGTTTAACATTCAAAAACCCATTGAATAACTCACCATGCTAACAGAATAATGGAAAAAAGTAATATGATAATTCTATAAAGAAGTGGGTGCTTAATTTATGACAAAAGTGTCCCTGCAGAGCATTGGAGAAAGGAAGTCTTTTCCATTCATCATGAAGGGTAAGTAGATATCATGGAGTAAAGAACCAAACTTGATCCCAACCTCACACCACATACAAAAATCAATGCCATGTGGATTGTAGATCCAATTGTGAAAGGTGAAACAACACAACTTACAAAAGATAATATGAAAGGATATTATTATGGCCTTGAAATAAGCAAAGCTCTCCTAAATAGGACACAGAAAGCATTAACCACAAAGGGAAATAGACTATATTAACAGTAACATTAAAATCAGCTGGGCACAGTGACTCATGCTTGTAATCCTAGCACTTTGGGAGGCTGAGTTAGGAGGATCACTTGAGTCCAGGAGCTCAAAACCAGCCTGGGCAAGATGGCAAAACCCTGTATCTACAACAACAACAACAGAAATACAAAAATTAGATAGGCATGGTGGCACATGCCTGTAGTCCCAGCTACTAAGAAGGCTGAGGTGAGAGAATCACTTGAGCCCTGGGGGTTGAGGCTGCAATGAGCCATGATCAAGCCACTGCACTCCAGCCTGAGCAACAGTGCAAGACTCCTATCTCAAAAAGCAAAACAAAACAAAAGAAAAAGTTAATATTTTCTATTCATCCAAAGGCACCACAAAGAGAATGAAAAGTCAAGCTCAGGGTGGTACATATTTTTAACATATATAACCAAAAAGCTATATGCAGAATATATATCTCCTACAAATCAATAAGATGAAAAGTCCAATAGAAAAATGGACTTAATAAGACCACTTACAAAAGGGAATATCCAAATAGCCACTATACATGAAAAAGATGCTCAGTGTACTAATAATCCAAGAAAATGGAATTAAAACCACAATGAGACTCTATACATACCACCAGAATGACCAAAATCAAGAAGACTGAGAATGCCAAGTGCTAGCAGGGATGTAGAGCATCACCCACTGCTGGTAAGAGTGGAGACTGACACAATCTCTTTGGAAAACTGTTTGGCATTATTTATTAAAGTTGAGCATAGTCATGTTCTACAATTTGGTAACTTCCCCTTTAGTCTATATATAGACTAAACATAATGCATATACACAAGCATCAAAGACATGCACAAGAAAGTTTCCAGCTGCACTCTCTGAAAGTAGCCTAAAACTCAAAACAATTCAAATGTTCATCAAGGGGAAAATGGATAAACTACCGGGCATGGTGGTGCACTCCTGTAATCCTAGCACTTTGGGAGGCCAAAGCGGGCAGATCACTTGAGTCCAGGAGTTTGAAACCAGCCTGGGCAACATGGCGAAACCCTGTCTCTACAAAAAAAAAAAAAAAAAAAATACAAAAATACAAAAATTAGCCGGGCATGGTGGCATGGGCCTGTAGTCCCAGCTACTCTGGGTCCGAGGATCACTTGAGCCCAGGAGGTCAAGGCTACAGTGAGCCAAGATCATGCCACTGCACTCCAGCCTAGGTGACAGAGGGAGTCCCTGTCTCAAAAAAAAAAAAAAATGATAAATTGTGCTATATTACTGATACAAGGATACAAGGGAAGAAAATATAACAAAGAAAACATACTATTAGTATACCCAACTACATAGACACAAAAATAATGTTGAGAGAATGAAGACAGACAAAAGAACACCTATCCATGTTTAATGTTCTTATCACAATAAAGATGAAATTTAAAAAAGAATACCTACCATATGATTCCATTTACATGAAGTTCAAAAAAGCAAAACAAATGTATGGTGTCAGAAGTCAGGCCAGTGGTTACCTTTGAGGGAAAGGGGCCTTCAGGAGCATTGTTCACATTCTCCGTCTTGTCCTGGGAGGCAGTTAGAGGATGTGGTCACTCCAGAATAATTTATTGAGTCACATACTTCTGCTATTTGCAGTTTTCCATATGTGGAACCCCAATAAAGCTTCCATTTAAAAGTTTCAAATGTTGATTTCCATTTTCCTTGAAATAAATAAAGGGAATAAGAAAATATTATAGAATATCTTCATTAAAATCAATCAATTTTAATTTGCTAACCAAGCTGGCTCTTACCTGTGTTCACGTTGCTCCCCTGATGTCAGCTACAGAGCAGGAAACAGGAAAAACCACGCATATGATTTTCAGGCAGCTGGAGGAAGAGGAAGAGAATGCCTTCCCTGTGAGGGAGAATGAATGAAACTGGGACCCTCTGCAATTTAGCTAAGAGGTGAGTAATGCATAGAGAGGAAAAAGAAAAAAAGAGAGATAGAGAGCTGAAGGTCCAATGTATAAAATAATGACAAAAATAACGGGCCTGCTGGAGGCTCATATATTTCTAGCCTTATATAAAATGGGATTAAAACGTAACAAATTTAGACTGGCTACAAGAAATGCTTTTTTATGAAATGTATAATTAACCTGTAGCCAATGGTTTAGTAAAATCCAACTCCTCCCATCCTCCAAAAAAAATAGCTATTTATAGCAGCCAAACCAACAACATTGACAAGTATTGTATTACAAAGACTCCCCTGCTTCCAGGCAAAAACTGATCACCAGCTGGGGTCAGGAAGAAAATTTTCCCTTTGGTGTAGTATTTCATGGCTCTGTTATCTAATATTGAACAACTCTCCCGGGCTGAGTAGCATTTGCACCTCCATTCACGGCACCTGGCTCTGGGGTCCAGGATGGAATATTGAAATAGGCTATTGTTTTAATCCCCGGATGGCAACACCTGTATGCCTGTATTTAGGCAACACTTTGTGTTTCCAAAAAGAAAACACAATGAATATCATCAAAATTGTTCCTAACACTACTGTTTTTATATCAACAATCTATAAATATATGGAAGAACTCAATATATGTGAGAAATAAACAGAAGGCATGCCTACATTGAGGTAATTCAAAAGATGGCTCTATAATTTACCAGCTTGAATTTCAGTTGTTGCATTTTTAGGTATGAAACGTTATGAAAAAAAGAGATATTATTCATCAAAGTGATTGTCCTGTGCACTTGTATACCTTATATAATTTATTTTTTTCGGGGCTTTTTACTTCAAAGAAATCACTAGCTAATGACATTTCAGACTTTAGAAATTTTTTCTGATAGCACATTGGAATTCCCCCAGGGACAGAATTGTGAATAAGTGGATTTTTTTAAAGATCATTAACAGATATTACAAACCAATTCAAACTGAGCATTTTCTTTGCAAATTACCTTTAACTTTTAAAGCCAATGGAAAAAAAAAAAAAAGACAGTGAGTGATTTAATTTACTTAACCTGTCTACAAATTGCAGCTTTGCGCTCCATCGGCGATTGCATTTTCAACCAAAAAAAAAAAAAAAAAAAAGCAAAAAAGAAAAAAGGTCTCTAACTATCTCTAATAGAGATATTTTTCTAAATTATCATCCCCGATGAGTGATGTTTATTTTTTTTTTTCATTTAGGAAGTTGCCCTGGAATTGAGAATGTTTATTCTATTGCTATGTTTAAAGTAAAAACACAGCCCTACACTGTCTATATCTGTTGCTTAATTAAAACTCTCCAGCAATTAGCAGGTTTATCATCTCCAGAGCAAATGGGTGGTGGTGGTGGAGCTTTGGTGGTGGATTGTGAGTTTTTTGAGGGGAGGGGAGTGCTCTTTTATTTAATGATCAAACCACAGTTTCTGGGCTAAAGAGCTAATATTTGGGGTGAGAAGCACCTTTATTCCTTGCATACATCAGGCCTGATTCTTATTGGCATCAACACCCCGTTGTGTATGTTTTCCATTCAAAGAGTTCCCATGGACTTCAAAGGGAGTTGCCTGCAAAGATGGGATATGTGGGAGTCCTGACAGGCCCCAGAACAGGCCCAGAGCTGGAAGAAACCATGCCAAGAGTACCTCACATTGGAGCCCCCCCAAAAACCATGTCACAAAATTAAAGGGTCTCCCCTGCCTATGCCATCCCACAGCACACGTGGGAAACATCCTCAGGCTTGCCAAGCGCTGCTCTGACTCTGCAGGGTACTAACATATACATATTTGATGAGTAGAGCTCCATTTATAAGAAAGTATGTTAATAAGAATATTCTTTGAGAATGGTGTCCAGTGCAGACTTCAAAAGGGTCATTGTTTGAGGTACCAGAGGTTTCCTTTTTCCCCTTTTAAAGTGCAAAGTCAACTTACTATACACCAAACAAAATAATTGCACATCCCTTTGGATGTCCCATCAACAACAAATGGGTAGGAGTCTATTCTGAAGAATGTTCTATTTTTGGAGTGATTAATTGAATTATTAAGAGTAAAGGGGCAGAGAAACTAATATTTCTTGAGTGTTTCTTATGTGCCAGGTATTTTAATTCCTCTCTTTTAATCCTCACCAATATATTATGAGGTAGATGGTATTATCCCCCATTTAAAAGGTGATAAAAATAGGCTTTAGTGAGATCATGAAAACTATCCACTCCAAAGTCCCATGACAGCAAGTGAAAAGCATGTGGAACCCAGCCCTCCCCATCTCCAAATCCCATGTTTGTCTCTTTACATCACACTAACTCCTCATTGTCTGCTGATTTCAAATGTCAAGTTCACATCTTACGGCAACTGTCATTTTTCTAAATGGCTGGAACTCACAGACTGTGGGTTCTTTCCATTCAAGCTCAGACAAGAGTTACTGTATTCCAAATGCTGATGATTAAGTTGCAAAAGCATCGTTTTGCTCCAAAGAATTACCAGTGGAATCCTGTCAGGAAACATAGAATGGAAGCTGGTTGAAGATCTACACTAGCTATTCTGAATGTCACACGTGTCCCCAAATGCTGACACACCTAAATGAGTCTCACATCATAAGCGGTGATCCTAGTGATCACAGTAGACTCCCTTGGAAACAGGTCTAAGGGGGAGGCTGGGCCAGGGCTTCAGGATGGCAGAGGACCAAGATGTTCATTGGTAGACAGGTAGCATATCCAGAATCATTACAACCACATATATTTAAGTGTAGGGACGGGGGAGACAGCCAGAACTTCCATTGATCTTTTTGGTCCCTGCCCCAACCACAGGACTTCGGAGTCCTAATGAAGTTTAGGATGTGGACACCCAGTGGGCACAGAGTGGGATTAGAGAGGTGGAGTCTCCCATTCACCTGATGAGCAGACACCAACCAAGGGCTTGACCTGTGTGGAAGTGGTAAGAGGAGTGGGGATGGTCTGTCAGGGCCACCCCTAAGCTCCTTCCTGCTCACCACAGACTCCTCCAGCAAAGGCCTCTGAGGCCACAGGTAGAAGCCCAAGCAATTCTGAATGTGGCCACCATTTGCCTTGGGCTCACAGAAAGCTCACCAGAACACAGGCACATGTTCCAGAGACCTTGCCAAGTCTTTTCCATTCTCCCAGGCTCCGCATCCTTATTTTCAAAGTGGAGACAATATGAATACCTGCTCAGTCTAGTGTGTCTGGTGATGACAAAGGGGACGGATTGGTTCGTGAAAGCACTTCATGAGGTCCAGGCAGTGGGAGGGCATCTCAAGCTGCTTCCCTCTAGCTGCAGGCACGTGGCTAAACACCAGACCCCATTCTCCCCACTGTAGCTTGGTCTTGCAGTGAAAACAAATCTAAATGGAAGTGACTTTTTATATAATAGAAATTGAAACCAAAGTTTAAAAATAAAATAAAATGGAATGTTTCTGAGCATGCAACATCCATCTACTGTATTTGTTTTTTGCTCATTCAGCACATTTGTATTAGGCGCTGAGTGGAGGCAGAGGCACTCCATCACTGGATTTCTGAGCACACTACTTAGCCTTTGCACTTGGGAGAAAGTCCAACTCCTGAACAGGAAGCCATCCTCTCACACCGCACCCTAACCCAGCAGCCCAGCTCATGGCTCTGCAGATGAACAGGACACGCATCCCGCTATTCACTGTCAGCCTCTCTGCTTCATCCTCGACTTGCCTGAAATGTCCTGTGCTCAGAAAGACCTGTCAGAGAGCACCTCCGGTCCAAAGCGGTCCTAGCCCTGATCTTCACCCTCATGCCTAGTGGGTTTCCTGCGGAGCCATCATTGCCACGCGTGGCGATACTCTGTTGGTCTGGGATCTCCTGTACCATCTGTCTCCCCAGCTTGACTGTGACCTTCAGAAGAGCAGAGGTCACCTCAGCCTTGTTTCTGCACTTCAAGCCCCGGCACAGTGCCTGGCCCATGAAGGACACAGGAAACAGGGTTTTGCCTCAAAGCAGCTCACCTAATATAAAGCAACACAAAACCCCACGCAGTCAGGGCTTTGTTTCACCTGCTGCAATGGCAGCCCTTGAACTGAAGGAGAAGAAAAGTTTTTCTCTCCTCTACCAAGCTCAAATTCTTTTTTTTTTTTTTTTTTAAGACAGAGTCTCACTCTGTCACCCAGACTGGAGTGCAGTGGCGCGATCTTGGCTCATTGCAACCTCTGCCTCCTGGGTTCAAATGATTCTCCTGCCTCAGCCTCCAAAGGAGCTGGGATTACAGGCACAAACCGCCAAGCTCAGCTGATTTTTGTATTTTTAGTAGAGGTAGGGTTTCGCCATGTTGGCCAGGCTGGTCTCAAACTCCTGACCTCAGGTGATCCATCGGCCTCAGCCTCCCAAAGTGCTGGGATTACAGGCGTGAGCCACTGCGCCTGGTCCCAAGCTCAAATTATTTCCCCTGCAATTAATCTGTGCCTCCTCCCTGCGAGGTGGCCACCCTCACCTGATCTGGCAGGAAGACCTGTGTTTGCTCCCAGCCCACAGAAATGTCCCACCCGTTGGTCAGGGTCCTTCCTGTCAAGGAGGTACGGCTTCCCCTTGTCACCTAAGTGTCCCCTTATCTAAATGTAAGATGGTGATAAGCCTGGTGCCATGAGAGGTGACTGTCAGGTGGTCCCCCTAGGACTCCCCTGCCAGAGTTAGCCTGAGCTCCAGTGACGGCCCAGAAATTTAGCTCCCATTACCTCATGAATTCCCCACCCTGTGTGCTGCAGAGTGGATGATGGCAAGCAACACTCACAGCATAGTTTATATTCGTTTAATTTTTCTTTATTTTCAAACTAGAGAATATGTACTTACTGTAACAAGCAAAACAATACTTAAAAAGGTGAATAAAAGCAAATATAATTATTTCTTCCTATCCCACTTCATTACCACTATCTCAAGAACACCAAGGGCATGCATGCATATGCCTATATCCATGTATAATATATAAAGAATAAGCCAGGCACGGTGGCTCATGCCTGCAATCCCAGCACTTTGGGAGGCCAAGGCGGGCGGATCACCTGAAGTCAGGAGTTTGAGACCATCCTGGCCAACATGGTGAAACCCTGTCTCTACTAAAAATATAAAAATTAGCCGGGCGTGGTGGTGCACGTGCCTGTAATCCCAGCTACTCCGGAGGCTGAGAAGGAAAATCGCTTGAATCTGGGAGGCAGAGGTTGCAGTGAGTTGAGATCATGCCCTTGCACTCCAGCCTGGGTGACAGAGCGAGACTCCACCTCAAAAAAAATTAAAAAGTAAAATAAAATATATCTCTAATATATAGCATATATATTATATATACTACACATACCTTATATATCATTTTACATAAGTGGGATCATATACATGCTGGGGGAATTTTAGTGCCGTATTTTGTCTTTATGTAATTATCTATTTTGCATGCCTTTTGCAGGTGTGGTTCCTCCAGGGACTCATTGGAAAGCGCGGACGTCCTGTGGCCATGGGATCACACCTGTCTTCAGTGGCACTGTTTCCCTGTTTGTTCTTGAACACGCCTGCTGCCTTGGTTACACTGGCCTACTGGTGAGTCTTCAGAGAAGTGGCACTGCTGTTTTTTTCTTTTCTCCGTTGGTGGTTTTGGGACATCTGAGATGTCGCCTACTCCCACTCAGTCTCTTTTATTTTCTGCAGTTCCTCTGGCCTGTCTTGTTCCCTGCTCTTTCTAATTGGCTCTCATTTCCAGCTGCCAGCCCCTGCATTGCTTCTGACCTTGTCTATTTCCAGAGACCTTCCCAAAGTCACAAATCTCTTGACAAAAGGCTCCTTTCCCTTTCTGTATAGAAGCCTCTCCCTATCCCTCCTCAAACAAATCTTACCCAAGCCTTCACCCAGTACTCAGCTCATTTGTCAGTAGAGACCATTCTTCCTGACCCTTCCCCTACCAGGTCACACATTTGATCAATACATTTGTGTATTGCTTTGTAGATTTCAAACACATTCAAATAGATTACTTCAAAAAATTCTTACAACAGCCCTATGAAACAGAAAGGGGTAAGTATATTGCCTCCCCAAATATATAGGTCTTAAAGGACATTAACTGACAATTTGCAAAGAAGACATTAAAATGACCAGACTTCTTAAAAACTCAGTTTCACTATTAGTGAAAGAAATACAAAGTATAAGAACACTGATATACTTTTTGCCTATGAAATTAGCAAATGTTTAAAAGAATGATAATACTCACTGTTCGGCAAAGGAGGATAGTGGTGGTACACTAGATTTTTGCAAATAGGAGTGAAAATTTGTGGTACCTCTTTGATTAATACCTTGCCAACACATATTAAATTAGAAAACCATGGAGCCAGGCAATTCCTCTTATAGAAATTTATCCCAAGGAAATAAACAAAGCTATGTAGAACATTTTAGCTACAAGTATATTTTAATATGCAACTGATTAAGTTGAAGTCCAGTGATGCAATGAAATGCTCTAAAAAATGTTTTAATGATAACGTGGAAGAATATATAATATGTAAAGTATTTTGATATAATGAATAAAAACATTATACAATGATACATACTGTCAAGAGTTCCATATATATATGACAGATATATATAGATATATATATATATGTATCTATATTAAGCACTCCAAAACAGCAAGGACGGTTATCTCTAAGAGATGGTGTTACAGGTGATTTTTATTTTCTAAATTTTGTTCTTCTCTACTTTCTAAATTATTTTCAATAATCACGCATGCTTTTGTAAAAAGAAAAACAAGAAAATTGTAATATTAAAAAAATTATCCTTGTTTAAATGGAACCAGTTCTACATTTGGTTCTTTAATCCACTCACTCATTCATTCAACAAATATTTTTTTAACTCCCACTATACACAAAGCACTCTGCTAGATGAAAGGGATATAGTAATCAAAATTTTAAAAAAATTTTACAAAAAGAACTGGTGTCTGCCCTGGAGAAGGGGTTCTTGGTAACTGGGAGAAAGCCAGTGGAGCTCATTAGACATTACTGTTCCCTAAATGCAAGAAATGGGCTCAGAGGACATCAGTGCATCCAGTCATGCTTGAGTGAGACTTGGCATTGGAACTGGACCTGAAAAAGTGGTTTCTGAGAGAGGGCTGGGAGTGGAAAATGGAGAGAGTACATGAGAACGAGAATCACCCTCACTCTGAGTGCTCCCAGCTACTGGGTCTCCTGGCGGCTTGAGACAAATGGTTGGAGTGGCCTGGCAATGGCAGAAATGGTCCCATGGGTTGCATAACTTCAGATGTTAATCAGAAGGCCCAAAATGATTCCTATTTTAGATAAGTGACTAGCGAAAATTCAACAAAATTCTACTAAAGTGTCCCTCTGAGTCTGCATTTTGAATAAGCATTCAGCCTCCTACTGTTATTAGTTGGCACTCCCCTTTAACTGGTAGGATTGGAACCTCCCACACACGTCAATCAATTTTCCCAGCAAGGAAGCCACCCCCAGGAAGTGTGGCACTTGGCACAGTCTGCAAGAAGTCCTTACAGCCTCTAGGGTACCATTTTGTTACCCCATAGGATCGTTGTCATATTCCAAATTAACTCAAGTCATCTGCTTTGAGTTGTTTTTTCCATAAATGGTGAAAAATTTTGTTGATTCTTTCCCAAAAGGCCATTTGTGACCAGTGGCCATTTGGAGACCTGACTGGGGCTTGGAGGACCACAATGAATGAAGCAGCCCTCTTGGGGACTGAACCCATGACCTCATTAGCACAAGGTTCTAATCAACAGAGCCACCAGGCACATACCTCATTTAAGACACTGAGGCAGTAATTTGCTAAATGTTAATTCTTAGATTAACTACAGATGAGTAGAGTTCCTAGGGGGAAAAAATGAGAGAGATTTGTTCATTCTTGAAAGGAAATTTAGGTCATCAGTTTTTGATCCCTTTGGTTAGTTTTATGGTATAGTTCCAGAATCCTAAGATGATGTCCATCAGGGTCTATGCCCCATGATTTTTTTTAAATCAATATCTTGGTCAGGAGACTTTCAAAGAAAATGCAAATCGTGTCACTTCTGCACTCTTAAAACACCACACGACGATTTTCGATAGATACCTCTACAGTTTCTATTTCTCATGCACAACACAGGTGGCAAAATAAAGAAATGAGATTCATATCTGAGTCAGAGATGGTCCTCCCAGAGCAGGAAGGGCTGGACCCCATTACCACCACCCCTCAAAATCCTAAGTCCTGTGGATGAAAGGTCCCCCTCCATGGGGAAGGGGAGCCCCAACCTCCAGACCTTTCTCAAGGCATGCAGGAACCCAACCCACTCGCCTTCTTACCTTATCCCCCAGGCAGTCCCTGAGAAGCCAGTTTTACAAACAGCAAATATGGTTTGGAACAAAGTTTTGACACTGACTTGGTATCTTGTGCTCATATTACGTTTGTATGAATATTCCACCGACTTTTCAACTCCAAAGAAAAGTTTCCGCTCCAAGGCTACATTCAACATTCAGACTATTTCAACTTCAGTTGCTCCCACCCCAACAGCGATCTTTGAAACTGATATGGCCCTGAAAGAAGCCAGAATAACTTTGTAAAAATGTTAATAATAATGGGCTAGGTTCCCAGTCTTTGTAATCTTGTGGAAGGACCTCTGTGAGAAAGCACCCTGAGAACTGAATTGAGTGTGTGCCCACACTAGCTTTTCCATGGAAAGCCTGCTTGAAACACATGGTTGTTTTGCAGGAGCATTTCTACCAAGTGGAGCAGAATGGGAATGTAGCCTTGCATTTGTCACCTTTCATCCCAGGAGCTTTAAGACCACAGTGAAATACCCAGGCTGCTGCCTGTTGATGGAGAGGTCCCCTACATTTGGCGGCAAGACCCAGCCACACATGTCAGGAGTATGCCATTCTGCCACTGCTGGTTAGGGTCCTATGGGAAAGCTAGGTATCCTCTCTGAGCTGTCAATTTCCTCACCTGCAAAACGATGGCAATTGTAGTTACTACAAAATAGGGTTGCTGTCTCCACACAAAATAACGGACATGAAATCCTTTAGCTTATTGCCTGGAACACAGCACTTACAAAGCACTCATTAAAACTTAACTATTTCTGTTGCTACTTTCTGCCTCCTGAGAAAAACATAGCCATCTCAGTGTAATGGGTTGCATTCCAAATATCCCTTTCTTTATAAATCCAAAATGAAAATTAAATAGGTACCACAAAGAATTTTCTAACCGTAAGCTGAACACAAGCAAGCTTTAATAGTATGCGCTGATAGGAGTAGCTAAGAGGGAACAACCTAAAATGAAAATAGATAGCTAGCCCTCATTTCTAAATAATGCCTTTAAAAATGTTTTCTTATGAAATGCATTGTAAAATGGCATAAGGAACTTTCCAAACTCGCATGACCAAAATATATGATCTTAAAATCACAATGCTCTACAACACAACAAAATTTTAGCCAACCTAGATTCGCAGGAATTTCAAATTCTGAATGGATGTAAAAAAAATCTCCACTAATTCAAATAATCAAACCAAGTACATTTTTATCTAAAAATACAATCTGAGGCAACTCCATTTTATAACCAAGAAACACTCATAGCATTTAGTAAGCTACAATGTTGCAACTTCTATTCAAGTTGAAGTTGACAGTTAGGAGCTAGATAAATAGAAACTAAACTTCTGAATAGTTATCTATCTTGTAGTTACGGGCTCAATTACTTCAATCTCCAGCGGGGACAGCTATTAGTTCGATAAAATAAATATTTTTAATTTCCTCTATGCATTTCCTCAAACCATGCCAATGCACTTATCTATGGCTCACTTAAAGAGTTTGGTTAAGCGGCCTCCACTTACTTAAAAGACAATGTTTGATTTTCCTATGAAATGGAGAAATGGACGTGAGTGCTCGTTGTTTTAATGCACTGAGCCCTTAATCACTTCCAGTTCTGATTCATCAGAAAAGTTGTCCTCTTGAGGGTTTGGGGGGCTTTTTTGGTCACTAAATATTGTCTTCCATTTTGAGATATTTATTCCTTGCCAGAAAATGATACTGTATTTTCCCCTAATGATGAAGGATGAAAGATGGAGCAAATTCCATTTGGTGATTATTGAACCACAGAGAAGTAAACTGACTCAGAAAACAAATCCCCAAAAGAAAAATAAATGTATTATGTGAGGTAGGAGCATGGGATTCTTGGCAAATATTCAATTGGAGCCAGGATTGGTAATTTAATAGCATCCTTGTCTCATTAATATTTGAAGGGGGAAGGGTAAAGCTCTCGGGCTTTTAGCCATGAGCCAGAATCTCCCTATTCTTCACCTCTCCACCGCTACCCCAGCCTGCATGGATGTTAAAGATGCAAATGCCTGGGATGCCTTGCTAAGAGTTGTTAAAAATGCACAGGCCATAAGCAGGGGTCCAAGACGCCATCGCTCCTCACATAAGCCAAAGGAAATAACACAACCTTAACTTCTGCAGCTCAATGGGCAACGCGAATAACCTACAAGCCTACTCTGAACACTGTTCCCAGAGGCCTGGAGCATCAGACCCAAATCAGAGCAGGCAGAGGAGTTCATGAAGTGACATCTCCCAAAGACGATTCTGCCAAATCATGCCAATTTGGTAAATGCGTCACTCTACTTTCAACTGGTCCTTCTAGCTTCCCCTTGCTGATTGGCAGAGTTTGGCAGGGAAAAAAAAAAAAAAGCCCTTCCTTTGGAAATCCTGGCCACATCTGTGCACTAGAAAGGGACACCCCCAAGTGGTATAGATAGGAAAGGGCTTAGAAGTCAGTGCTGTAGTAACACACAGCCCCTTTCTAGGACTGCATGTTATGAAGTGTAGCATTTTTGAGCTTTGGTTCTCTTTCAAGTTAAAGGAGGAGAGAAGGATATTGAAAAACGAAAAAGATGCTGGGCGCGGTGGCTCACGCCTGTAATCCCTGCACTTTGGGAGGCTGAGGTGGGCGGAACATGAGGTCAGGAGTTCTAGAGCAGCCTGTCCAATACGGTGAAACCCTGTCTCTACTAAAAATACAAAAAAAAAAAAATTAGCCGGGTGTGGTAGCACAAGCCTGTAGTCCCAGCTACTCGGGAGGCTGAGGCAGAAGAATCACTTGAAACCTGGGAGGTGGAGGTTGCAGTGAGATGAGATCATGCCACTGCACTCCAGCCTGGGCAACAGAGCAAGACTCCGTCTCAAAAAATAAAACAAAGATGAAAAAGACAAAGAAGGAGAAAGACAAGTTTAGTCCAAACCCAGTCCCCAAGACAGCTCCGAATTGCCAATTTTCTGCCATAAACCTTTTTAATTCTTGGATTATGAAATGTGTAGAAAAAACAAATTTAATTGCTAACAATCTTACCTAATTTTATGGTCTCCATGGGTGTCTGAAAAGAAACATTATATGGGTCACACAACTGTGTGATAGATGGTGGTATTAGTGGTGATGGTGATGGTGATGGTGATGGTGGCAGTAGTGGGGGTAGCAGTGACAGTGGTGATATGCTGGTAGTGGTGGTGATTGTGGTGGTGGTGCTGGTGGTGGTGGTGGTGGTGATGGTGGTAGTGGTGGTGGTGGTGGTGGTGGTGGTAGTGATGGTGGTGATGGTGGTGGTGGTGGTGGTGGTGATGGTGGTGGTGGTGGTGGTGGTGGTAGTGATGGTGGTGATGGTGGTGGTGGTGACGGTGGTGGTGATGATCATGGTGGTGACACTGACAATGATGGTGGTGGCAATGGTAGTGGTGATGTTGGTGGTGGTGATGGGGATAATGGTGGTGATGGCAGTCATGGTGGTGATGGTTGTGATGGTGACAGTGGTGGTGATGGTGAAGGTGATGATGATGTTGATGGTGGTGGTGATGTTGGTAATGATGGTGATGGTAACGGCGATTGCACTCAAATCCCAAAATATGAATTAAAGACTTTAACTGGTATGTTAGATACTTGAGAAATCTACTCTACCTGTCTTCTCTAAGTCTCAATTCCTATCCCTCAAATGTTGATTAATCTGATTACAATGATATTGTTCTTTGATTAAAACCTGAAAGCACATTTGAAAGAAAGTAAAAGAAGTGAAGTTAAAGCAACTGCTTGAGGGATGGATGTATTTCTCTCCATGGATGAGTTTTTAATTCTTTATTATTATTTTCATCACAGTCCTTGTCACAGAAAGGATTTCAAAGTATCAATAGTCCTTTAGGTTGCTGTATTATAAAATTCCAAGGATATAGGAATTTCAATTCATGGAGACTATTGTGAATCTAGGTGACAACACTTTTTTCTACCAATGTAGAAATGTCTGGGGCAGAAAAATTCACACTTGCAGCATTAATTATTATAAACACAGAGAAACCCCTTCCCTGTGCAGTTATGTCTAACAGATGATGGGACATAGGACAGCTTCCCAACTGCTTTGCATTAGGCTTGGTCAAGTGACTTTCTTTGGCCAATAAAATGTGAGTAGAAGGGACAGGTGTCACTGCTGGACAGAGGCTTTAGGAGCCAGGGTGAGCCTCACCATGTTGCCTTCCTCCTGTTATGATCAATGTGGAAGCAGGTGGAGAGGGGGCCTCTATCACCCTATGTTTCTAAGTGTCTATGACAGGCAAACCCCCTCCCAACCCATAATGGACATGCAGTGAGAGCAAAAAATAAACTCCTGTTGTTTTAAGCCACTGCGATTTGGGTGGTTCTTTTCTACCACATCATAACCTACCCTATCCTAATAGATACAGATGGCAAAGAGCCAAAACAAGTAAGTTTGAAGTCAACTGTGGTCACACTGGGGAAAAAGGAATCTACGTATCTCCCCTAATAAACCAAACCCTCAAGGCTTCTTGTTACCCAATCACAAATTCCAAGACATTTAATCGTTCTGCAGTGAAGGTCAATTCTGGACAAAAAGTGCCTAGGAAAAAGGTATTCCATGACCTGCAAGGAACTGAAAGTCACTCACCCACACAAGCTCTGCAATGATTTGGAGATCTCTTTTGGCCAAGTTCTATTTCAGACAATAAACCACCTTCTTACCATTATCCAGGCAGACAGCACAGATCTCCTTATCATTTTCAGAACTGTTCATTTCAAAGCTGCACTGCTGAAGGTATAAGCCTCCTTAAAGAACTCTACTTTTAAGAAAACCAAATCTCATAAAAGTTAGTATATTTCCACATTCAAAGTGGGGCAGCAAATGTGAAAAGCCCATCTGTGCCCACCCTCCCCTCCACCCCACAAACTCTACCACCACCCAGAGCTGTAGCTGGGCATGAAAAATCTAACACATGCAAAGTACAGAGGCTCTTTGAAAATTTGGCCCAGTGTGTCTTATATGTGAGTTGCAGCCTTACAGAGTCTTGCCAAAAACAACAAAGAGGAAAGAAAAGGAAAGGTTTTCTTTTCTCCGGACTTGGGAATGAAACATAAAACTCCTCTTTTCTGCAAGGCTGAATGGCTCCAATTTTCCACACTCAGGATGAGCTCTTACTGGCCATTACCTTCATAATATCCCAGTGGCTTTTTAGTGGGCATTTCTGTCCTCCCAAATGAATGGCGTGGCAGTAGTGGCCCAAAGAGGTGCCCCAGCTCCCTACTGAGAAGCTGTGGCCCTCACACATCCTCAGGGTTGTTGTGAAGATAAAATGAAATGGATGATATGAGTGTGCTTTAAGTGTTACGTTCATGGTATTATTTCTACCATTCCTTGCTTCTGCTGCATCTACTGTGTCTACTGGGTCTAACTTGTACAGTTTTAGCTTTTCTGGGGTCTCTACCCAGGTAAGAACATAGAGGATTAACAGTCACTGGCTCTAAGTGCAAAATTCCATAAAACCCTATGAGGTGAGCACTAGTGAGTCCAGGAATGCAGAGAGGTGCAGAGAATTAAGTGGTTTACCCAGGGTGACACAAACAGTGGTAAGTGGAGAGCCCCTGTTTGATCACTGTCTGAGTGCCCAGAGACACACACGATGCCAACACACACGATGCCAACCTCCCATCTAAGCAGTCTTACTGCTCCCAGACATGTGTGTTCCAAAAAGAATGGCTGTGAAGGTGCCACCTGTTTGGTTGCTGAGAATGTACTAAGCTCCCAGGTTCAGTTGGTGAGGCAGGACTCTCAAGCTAGATTTTCTTAGATGTGACCAAATCCTACCTTACAAAGAAAGAGCAAAATAAGCAAGTGAGGAAGAACAGATGACCTCTGCTTAGGAAGACAAGGCAAGACTGAGCAACTGTGGAAGAGAAATTCAGGATCAACTCCAATTAATAAGATAATGAAAACTGTATTAAAAAAAGTGTTGTTCATCAACATTGGTTCAAAATTTCCAGTAGCTTCCTATAGAAATCTCTATAGGAAGAGCACAAAGTACGATAGTCACAGAAGCAAAGAGAACAGGGAGACACTAGGGCGACATGGACAAAGGACAATCAGTAGAAACTTACGAAATAGGGAGAAGGGGACCGGGAGCGGTGGCTCACACCTGTAATCCTAGCACTTTGGGAGGCCGAGGAGGGCGGATTACAAGGTCAGGAGTTCAAGATCAGCCTGACCAACACGGTGAAACCCTGTCTCTACTAAAAATAATTAATTAATTTTAAAAAATTAGCTGGGCATGGGGCATGTGCCTTTAATCCCAGCTACTCTGCAGGCTAAGGCAGGAGAATTGCTTGAACCTCGGAAGTGGAGGTTTCAGTGAGCCAAGATAATGCCACTGCACTCCAGCCTGGGCGACAGAGCAAGACTCTGACTCGAAAAAAATAAAGAAAGAAAGAAATATGGAGAAGGAAAGTAGATGTGACGTTGAGAAGAAATTCCAGCAGTATCACTGGAAGGAAGGGAATCAAAGAGTGAAGCAAAGAAGAAAAAGCATGGAAATGGGAGATTAGTTTTAAATGCGAAGAGGGAAAAAGGACAAAAGGGAAGAAAATCCAAGGAGCAAAAAGCAATAAACCAAAACTGAGAGACTGGAAGGAGGCAACATTATTTCTGCAAAAAGTAAATAAATACTATCTCCTTAGAAAACAAGTTGAAATTGGCATCAGAGGCACCAGAAGAACCATCAAGGACCAGCTCATCTGACTCAGGTTACGAATGCTGATAAATTTATTAGCTACTTAAAAAAGTGTAACCAAAATAAAAGAAAGGAAAGCCTTTCATTATTCAAAACACATGTAGGTTTCTAAAACATATTTTTGTTGTAAGCCTCCAGATTTTTACTGAAGTCTTTTTCTCCATTTATTTTCCTACTTTATATTCCAAAAAAAGTTACATATTCATCTCAAATAATTACAAAAGATGTTCTGTGACATCTTTGCAAATGGCCTCACAAGAAATTTTTCATTTCGGGGGCTACGTCCATATTCCTTTACAGCAATCTTTGATTTTGATCTATCTACTCGAACGATCCAATTCATTTTTTAAAATTTAGAACTACTTAATTCGTTTACTGAGTTAACTGGTTCACCAACTTAACTGGAATTTATAGCTGAATATATCATTCATTTCAGTCCAAATGGGCCAGCCATTTAAGCATACAGACACATAATGTGCTTTCTTCAATATTAATTAATTTGCACTGCTTCCTCACAGCGGATTATTGGCAAAATGGCTTTTCTTAAGATCTGGATCTACAATATGAACATTCATTATTGCACTCACCAACCCATAAATTCCCAAAGTTAGAGGGATAATTTTGTAGCTCATGTATTTTCTTATGGAGAATTATACCTTTAAGAGAACATTTCCTGATCTCCTTCAGTAATTATTTCCATCAGCAAAATCTTCCTATTGATAATATGATGAAAACAGGAAATTTGAGACAGTGTATAGTACCCTTAGAACAACTAGTGAAAAAAAAGGAATTCTTCCTACAATTTAACATAACATTTTCCAGCCCCAAACAAAAATGCAGTTTACTGAAACTGTATTGGCTCATTTTTGTAATGTTGTGGGTCATATTTTCTAAATAGCATCTGTAGAAGAATCATTTAGAGTTCTAATCTCAGAGATTTTGCTAGAGAGGAGTAAGGTGACAGAACATTTAATTTTTTTTTTCATTCAGACTGGATGTTTCATATTTACTTCATATGTAGCAAAACTGCCCTGGAATTCACATAAATAATGAATTAATGAAATAACTCTCAAAGTTCATGAGACATAAGAAAGTATTCTCTGGGCATATCCCAGAGTAGAAATCTGAGTTTATGGCTCTCAATTCTCACCTATGCAAATACATAACCTCTCCAAAGTAAAGTTCCATCCCCAGTTCTGAATCATAATATTCAACCAAAAAAAAAATCACAATACACAAGTGGTATTTCCAAATTAAAATAATTTAGTTGTGGCCGGGCACGGTGGCTCACACCTGTAATCCCAGCACTTTGGGAGGCTGAGGCGGGTGGATCACGAGGTCAGGAGATCGAGACCATCCTGGCTAACATGGTGAAACACCGTCTCTACTAAAAATACAAAAAAAATTAGCCAAGCGTGGTGGCGGGCGCCTGTAGTCCCAGCTACTCGGGAGGCTGAGGCAGGAGAATGGCGTGAACCCAGGAGGCGGAGCTTGCAAGGAGCTGAGATCACGCCACTGCACTCCAGCCTGGGCGACGGAGCAAGACTCTGTCTCAAAAGATAAATAAACAAAATAAAATAAAATAATTTAGTGCAGCAGGGAATACCAGGGCCTTAGCAAAGGGACTTGGAAAATTTGAATAAGGTGCGTGGCAAAAGAGTGTGTCTGAGATCTTCTTTTGTTCGTTTATTTCTATATTACCTTCCATTTCATGGGATGTCTTATGATCTCCAGCTGTGGCACAGCAACACTGAGTCACGTGAAAGTAACAATAGTTTTGACTTATAAAGCAGTTTTTTCTAAGGAGCTTTTGATAAACTTATTTCATTTCTTCTCCCAAAGTCTTTATGCTGCTGAAGTCAAATGGTATTACCCTCGTTATATATGCATGTGGATAAAGAGATATATTGTTGACTGACAGGGTCATGGTTAAACCTAAGCCAGCTAACATTATTGATAGCATGCCATTCCACTTTATTATGGATGCTTTATCAATGATATGCTCAAAAAGCTTCCCAACCAAAGAACATTCCTAGGTAGAAAGCCGGAGTGTAGTTTACCCAACAACAGATGAGCTGCACACGTGTTGACTGCCAAACAGGAGAAACTCTGCTGGGGTGGCTGGAGAGAAACAAAGAGGAACAGGACCTAGAGCTCTCACGGGACAGGTCATTTCACATCTCTCCTAATGGAGACAAAATGGCATCAAAAGTCAGCATTCTTTTATTGCCTCTCCTACCAAAGATGAAAACACAGTATCATTAGCCAAATTTACTCTGAACTTCCACCTCCTCAGGTTGAGTCAATGTATCTTTCCATCAAGGTCAATAATGTAAGAGGCAGATTGGTAACTGAATTGCTTAAGGAAAAATTCAGGGCAGGATGTATTTCTGGTTTTGACAAGGCTTTGGATCATTAGAAATACGGTCCTTTAGGGAGAAGAAGGTACATACTGGCTGGGTGCGATGGCTCACGCCTGTAATCCCAGCACTTTGGGAGGCCGAAGCGGATGGATCACAAGGTCAAGAGATTGAGGCCATCCTGGCTAACATGGTGAAACCCTGTCTCTACTAAAAATACAAAAATTAGCTGCACGTGGAGGCATTCTCCTGCAGTCCCGGGAGGCTGAGGCAAGAGAATCCCTTGAACCTGGGAGGCATAGGTTGCAGTCAGCTGAGATCGTACCACTGCACTCCAGCCTGGTGACAGAGACAGACTCCATCTCAAAAAAAAAAAAGAAAAGAAAAGAAATAAAAAGAAAAAGGTACATATAAGCTCTGGGGTTTCTTTGTTTTGTTTTTTTGTGACAGTCTCACTCTGTCACCCAGTCTGGAGTACACTGGCACAATCTCATCTCACTGCAACCTCCGCCTCCCAGGTTCAAGTGATTCTCCTGATTCAGCCTCCTGAGTAGCTGGGACTACAGGCACGTGCCACCACACCCAGCTAATTTTTGTATTTTTAGTAGAGATCGGGTTTCACTATGTTGGCCAGGCTGGTCTCGAACTCCTGACCTCAGGTGATCCACTCGCCTTGGCCTCCCAAAGTGCTGGGATTACAGGCATAAGCCACCACACCCAGCCTCATATTAGCTCTTTATTCTGTTTCCTTCCTCACTGAAATTTGGTTTGTGATATTCCAATCCTTAGTCATATTTTTTATCATTGCAATTGGTCATGAAGTTTTGTCGTGTTAGAAATATGAATTGGTAATAAATAAATAGATTAGTAATTTAAAAACTCAGCATCCCCAGGCTCCCAAGGTTCATCAGTATAAATTATAAAATATGTGATTTAAGTTGGACTTCATAGAAAGTTCACGACTGCAAACATCTTAGCCCTATGGGACCCTTTCAGACCTTTCTTTCTGAAAAATAGTCTCTCTGGGGGTTTGAACTCAAAACGGTACCACCCCTTGTTATACTGAAAGAGTTTTGATAAATCTGCAATATAATTAGATATCTGGGGAAAGGGAAAAGGACAGAAAGGTGGGGTGGGACCCTGCCTCTGAAGTTAGAATCGAGTTTGTAGCATGCATGTGAAGTTAGTCCACACGCACAAGTACCACACAGACATGAAGGATTGTAAGGGTGAGAATCTTTTCAATTAATATCTCTCAAGTTAAGAATTTTTGCACAATAGATCATATCAGCATTGGAGGTTGGGTCTATATGGCACCCTAATAACTAAGGTGAAAAACTTAGAAAGCCTTCCAGATGTTGGAGCGACATCATGTCAAACATATGACAATGTAGAAGTATCTCATAGCCTGAGGCCTGCAGGGCCCACCAGAACAATATTCTACTTGTTAAAGGTGGATGCCTCCTGGCTGGCCACATTACCAAAGCCTGCTGAGGTGCTGACACTCCCAGTAGGATAACTGGAGATTCCCTGGCCACCTTTGCTATTCTTCATTTGCCCCTCTGAGGAACTCTCTCTAACCTCTGGGGTTGAAATATCAAGCTGAACCTTTTGGAATGTTCGTAAGCCTGGCATCTGTGCTCAGCAGTAGAGTCTCTGAATTCAAAACAGGACTGTTTCCTGGCTCAGAACTCCAGCTCCAAATTCCTCAGGCTCAGAACTGATGGGAAAACAGATCTTCAGCATTCTTCTGATTTAGAAATCATTCAGATAAGAAATTGACAGATAAGAAATTGACAAGGAGGTACAAAATCCTTAATTTACATAGCTGTCTCTTTTTTTCTTCTCCATGGTAAAGAACAGAGCATGCTTAACCTTGATTTTCTCACTTCTCTCAGTTTAAAGCACAGCCCATAACATTAATTAAAGTGTGTGTGAGATGGAGGGTAGAAGTTATATTTCATATGCCGTACCACATGGCATTCTAGAAGAGCTGTATGATTTTTAGGTGTGCTTTTTTTCCCAACTTGATACCTACGTAGTCCTACAACTATTCGGCATAACATCTCCCATACTCCACCGAGGACCTCCACAGTAACAATTTTAAAATAAATGCAGTCCCAAAGAACAACTGCTAAGGGCACTGGTGGGTTAAGGATTTAGGTAGATGAAGGTAAATTTCTGACTCAGAGCTCCAGAATACTAAAGCTGGGAATCACACTGAGATGGTCAGTTTTTAATACTGGTAATCCACTGAAGTTTAGAGATGAGGCTTACAGAAGGTAGGTGGCTTATGTACTTCAGGGTGAAACAACACATCAGGAGTAACCCCAGGTATTTCTTATAACTCCAAGTTTTAGGGCCATAAACCACTTTGAGATACTGATGTAAGTTAGATATTTTCCAGGAAAAAAAAGTCATATACACATATACATACAATGCTAGCATATAAACTCAGGGGGCTCATAGAACCCCTTAAACACCTTTGGATGTTTAAGGAGTCTCTGATCTCCAGGTTAAGAACTCTTGCACCTGAATAAGCAGCTTTTCTAAATATGAAGTGCTACTTTTAATCCCTTTGAAAACTTACCACCTTTAGCATATAAACTTAGATTTAATGAAGTAATCTATAAAATTCAAAGGAAAAGCAATTCCCACAACTCAAATAGATGATTTAATCCCTAATCAATATTTCCATATTTTTAACGTGTCAAGGAAAAAAATGTGCAAGAGAAATTTAAACCTACGTGTATTTTATCACCAATTTCACATATGGACATGGAATATCTTTTCTCCTAATATGGAGATGGCTCAGCAGTATTTAAATGATTCCTTATTCCAAGTCATATAAATATGCACCAGATGTATCTTTTGTAAATGTTATGTTTTTCAACTTCTCAGCATTTGCAAGTAGTTGAAAGCTATGTCAAGCATGCTTTAATGGGGCATAAAAGTGTATTGTATTCAAAGAGATGGCACAGCTCTGTAATAGGTGAAAATACAAATGTTGTCAATGTATACATTTTCATTTTATTGATTTACACTGCATAATGGAATGCCCTGTATTCTTCTTTACATGCAAGTTCTATAACAATTGAATATAACTAGATATAAAAAATCATGCTTACATTAATAGATTCTCTAGATGACAGAAAATTCAAAACACAGAATTTTATGACCAGAAGGCAACTTAAAGATCAACCAAATCCCACACCCTTATTTTACAGATGAGAAAACTGAAACCAAGAGGGTTATGGGAGGCCACCAAGTCACTAGGCTGGTTGTGGCAGAGGACACATGAATTTTTATACCCCTAAATATAAGGAACCTTTCTGAGATCTTTATATTATCTGCCTCTTGACTACCTAAACAAAAAATAGAGGAGGCAGTAAAACATATATCATTTATTGATTTCCTGGGATTTACTGGAAAGAAGCAGAACATGACCTACATTTTGCAAAGTATCAAAGTAAGTATAGAAAGTAAAATGCCAATTGCTAGCATTAAAGGTTGTCAAAGAATATCATAAAGCCCTTTCTCCAATGTAAAATTCCAACAGACTACAAGATTGGCTTTTTTATTGTGACTACAAAAGATGTAGCAAATTCCCCTATGAACATTTTTCTTCGGGGTTAAAGATATCAAAAATGTTTAGGAAATATTTTCAAGTAACATGTAATTGATAGCCCACCTTGAAAACAGTGTCTTTTTTCTTTTTTTAGATAGAAGTTAACATAGATTAATCGCTTATTGTTAAGCTTTTTTAAATTTTTTCTTTCTTCTTTTTTTTTTTTTTTGGAGTAAACAACACTTGATCTCATGTCATTTTCTGTGGCTTTGGAACATCTCTAAGCACTTAGGCCCTTACAGACATACAGTAATGGATGCTCACTTTACGCTGGCTCCCTTTTCCCAACTTCATTTCTTACCGACATGCATTTTTATAAACTGCCTCACATTCTTCCTTGGAATGAGGCAGAATATTAATTAATTAATTAGGTGAAAGTCATTTTCTAAAAGCCAAGTAACTTTTTCACCTCAACCTTTACGAATAACACTTTGCCCTTTGGGGTCCGGTGGCAGCAACGAATATTTCATTTAAAATAAAATCATTATTGAAGTTTTTTCAAACTTTATGTCACTGTTGCCATGAGTTGAGTACCCGTGTCTCAGAGTTCCCTAGCTGATTATATGTCCTCCTGGACCCAAAGCAAAAGCACAAATTTTTTCTCTTCCCAAGAACCAGCGTTCACATGTTCTGCTTGCTTTCTGGTCAACATGCAGAGCAGCAGTCACCAGAGTCCCAGATCTCCTTCAAGAGGCAGGGCCTGGCTCAGAGTCCGGCCTCCCTGATTGATGCTTGGTGTGCCTGAAACAGCTTCATTGTTTCTCCAACAATGCCAAAGCCAATGAGAACGTTTGGATGGTGGCCCTGCCTGTGTTCAGTGAGGCGTCCACACGGTCCCCTTCTAAGGTGTGCGTGAGCTGAACACAGTGACGAGCAAAAAACCAAACCAGCCTTCTGGGCTTTTCCCCCAGCACTGACTGGGTGTCCCTCACAGCCTTGAAACAGGGATAAGTTCCCGAGTCAATAGTCAACGTCGTGGTTAAAACATTGCTTCCGATTAATAGCTGTTTTCTTCCCCAGGGTGTTCATATACAGAGAAACAGACATACTCCTATACGTATATTTAGCACGAGAGAGTTTAAAGACACACACACATGCACGTTCTGAGTCCCCTCTCATAACACACCGTGCTTCATTGTAAATGGAGCATCCAAACCAAATTGTAATCATCATTTCACGTTACTATGTCCAGCCTTATTCTGTTCTCATCCTCATGAAGGGCTGGGAGATGTGGCAAAGAGTGCAGTCATGGGATGTGAAGAGGCCTTAGGAGCCTTGGCCATCTTTGTTTTCACCGGAGACGGGGTTGGGGAGAGGGCGGGGGATGCATTCACCAAATGTCACAGAACTGCTCTGCAAGCTAGCCCGGACTAGGCCCTAAAGGGGCAATGTTTGGGGGATTCCCAGTAAGGTAGAAAGCAGCAGGTCCAGAGTTTAAGAGACAAGACTCAAGTTCAAAACCTGGTGCCACCATCATGTGACCTTGGGCAGGTGACTCAGCCCCACAGGCCTCAGCGGTCTCATCAACCTAGATAGAAATGATCCTTCAGAGGGCTTTCAGGAGCTTAAATAGGGTAATATAAAACCTGAGGGGCATGTTTGAAGACCTGGTACATGGTAAGTCTTTAGTACAATTTTATCATTATTATTACTTTTGCCATCATCATTGTTGTTATGGAAATTCTCCTTTGAGTTACTACGCTTGGAAATGAGAAAAGATTTGCTTAGAAGAACTCACTTTTTCTCTTCTCCCTACGCTCACAGAGTGAGCACATGCTGCTGAATTCAGGTGGGCAATTCCCCCTCCATCCCATTCAGGGAAGTTCAAAATGGAAAACAGGAGAGAGTGCCCAGGGCCCAAGCTCTAACCCATTTGGAGTCCAGCCACCCGGGCCCCTCCATGGGTTTGGCGCCCTGCTGACAAATCTAGGCAGGGTGTGGGGGAGGTGGGGGGTATCAACAACATTTTCACAGGGAGCTGAGTGAAAATCTCCTGGGAAAATGCTCCCTCTGGTTCCCCTCCTGGTTTATTGTGAAGATAGTGGAATCACTTATGTTTCAGTTCCTGCTAAAGTGATGATAAAGAGTTTTCTGGTGGGGAAAGGGGTAGAATCAGTCCAATCTCATTCCTCTCCAGGGGGTAGCTTCGCATTCCACCCCTATTCTCCACAAAGAACACACCCATGCTGAAACTGATGGCCAGTGACCATGGTTAGTAATGCGGTTGTTTCTTTGAAATATCACCACCAACCCCACCAACTCAGTCCTTGTCTTCGCTAAGTCTTTCCAATGCCTGAAACCCGTTCCTTGCTTTCTCAACCCCCGTTGTACAAAACTGTAACATCCTTAAAGCATAAGGCTTGGCTCAGGAAATTTAAAAATAGAAAACAAATTTATCTTCAATGGTTAATGCACCTATCCCTTAAGAAAACAGATACAAAACTTTTTTTTTTTTCTCCTCTCCACAAAAACCAATTTGGCTGTTACCCAATGCCATTGACCTTCCTAAGACAGCAAGCTAAAATCAGTTCATTGGCACACTGGCCCTGCGCCCAGAGTGCAAGCAAATGTGCTACCAGGGGCCTGTGTGGAGCTCTCTCTGAGTAAGGAACTTTCCTTAACTTGCACAGCGGCTTCCCCCCTCCCACATAAGGAGCTGGAGCTGGGCCTGGTGGGCTGGTTATGTTTAATGTGCTTAACCGAGGAGGGAGCTCTGGAGGGACTGGGAAAAGGGAAAAAGATGGAGACCTGGTCACACCCAAGCTCTCTGAAGGGGTTTTCATGTAGCTGCAACTTATTTCTCCTTGTCCACTGATGTTACTACAAAAGTGTCCCATCACACCGGGTCTAAGAGCCTCACAAGTGGGACCTTTGCT
The DNA here is from genome assembly GCF_000001405.40 of Homo sapiens. NCBI lineage: Eukaryota > Metazoa > Chordata > Mammalia > Primates > Hominidae > Homo > Homo sapiens. The sequence continues at coordinate 104,836,773 of NC_000002.12, forward strand.
TCTGAATAACGCATGGTTGTTCATGTGCCCAATTCACCAAAGTCAGTATTGGAAAAGAGCATTATTTTCAAGATGCTTTTATATTTATAATAAAGGGTATTTCTTAAGATCATATCACAACTGTTTTGGATGTCTTGTGTTTTTTTGTCTTGTTTTTTTTTTTTTTTCTTTAAAGACTCTGAGTTTTGAGCTAAGGGCAGTTAATAGTAGCCAGTCCTGATTGGCCAACATCTGTTTCTTTAGAGGAACCTTACTTGCCAAGTAGCTGGACAGCAATACTCATTTGGTATTCATGGGAAGTACTTGCCGAACAATAATGACAATAATTGCCTCTGATTCTTGTGTTTACAACACTGCCAAAGTATCATTAGGGCCTTATTTATAGATAATAATGCTTATTAATCACAAGTATTTGAATTTTGGAATGTATTAGATTAATATTCTTTTGTACCTCAGTTCTGTACTAATGCTGTGAAAAGACATTTACTGAATGCAACTCATTGGGAATGCTTATTTTGAGCTGCAAAATAATGTGTGTAATTTGCAGGTGAAAGATAAAGAAATTACATGGCTACCTCTCAACAGCCGCCATCAAGATCAACGGCCAACATGGAGAATTAGACCCTACCTCTAAAACGAGAAAGGAAAAAAGCAAAATAAATATCCCTATAGGTTTTTTTTTTTTTTAGAAAATCTTGTAAATACTTATGCCAAGAGAAATTCCTGATAATAAGTCTATTATTCTGTTTTGCCTTAAATCTTCCATGGATGGCATCGCTTTATTGAAAAGGGTCTGGGGTGAAGAATAATTAGTGATTCTGGAACAATTTCACACTGTATAAGTTTTTTAAGGCTCAATGAAAAAAAAATGGTACAGGATGACTAATAGTCGTAACCAGCAAAATACAATCTTAGGCCTAAATGCCTAGTTGTTTAACATTCTTTATTCACTTATTCACTAATATCTTTGTATATGTTTAATTTCTGTACAAACATTAAAGCTATTAAGTAGTTTTCTATTTTTATGTGCATCTAGAAATAGGAATCATTAAAAATTTCAAATAATTAGCACACTTTTTCTAAGGTTAATCTGGAAATACAGTTTCTGTTAATATAATAAAACAACTTTTTAAATAAATAAAAACTATTACTAACCCACAGGTTTCACTTAGCTACTCTCTCTCGAAATTATAGCAAAAATGAAATCAGCAACTTTTTTTAGTCTAGCACACATTTTTACTTATTCTTGGAATACTCATGCTTTATGTGTTAGAACAATACTTCAGATTATTTAATTAGATGAATATAAAATGAAGTGACATAATTTTCCAGAGATTTTCAAGAAAAGAAGAAAGTTTATTAATATAAAGTCTAGGTGCTCTTTCGAAAGTCATATTTGCAACTAGGTATATTTTTAAATGGCCTGTAATTATTGTTTACTATTGTTCTTTAGATTAAATCCAAATGATGTTCAATCTTATCTTGCTCTACCAAAAACTACTTTAAAATAGTCAACGGGCCTAATTACCACCTACAATTTTTAACCTTGTCCTTTCTTATTCTCTTTTGCCCGCCACAGAAAGTAAAGAGACTGCACCTTTCAAGCCACCAAATTACACTGAGAAAATTGTCCTCCCTAAAAAACTCTTGGAGATTTGTTCAGCAAATGTTTCCAAGTCAGAGCACACAAAGAGAATAAGATCCTAATTCAATAAATGTATAATGCTAACATTTTAATCCATTGCTAAATGTAAATAAACTTTAGTGATCCCAGTTGGACTATTTAACATTAATTTAAAGTATTTTATAATATAGCATTGTCTCCTCTCGTGGGGCAAAGTAGAAAGGTGAAAAATTACCTAATAACTTCTATCAATGTACTCAGCAAAACCTGGCAAGTCATGCCCCTCAACTCCCTTTGTTTAGATTTGGGGTAAATGTCTTAACCCATATAACGACCTCCACTGGAGGCCCATTCAGGTGTGCGCATCCATCTTTGTTAACACCGGTAGAATGAAAAGTCAAGCAACAGCTTATAGGATTAGTTGATATCTTACAAATTTAATCACAGATAGATAGCCAGTCCAAATTGTTCAAATTTCACTTTTTTTTTTTTTTTTTTAGCAGCTAGAAGGGAGAGCAACAACGCCTGGATTATCCAAGTGATTAATTCAATTCTCTATTTTGCCTTCAGTAGACATCGTCTGCCTCTCTTTTTAAAAGACACTGGTAGTTGCATGAGGAAAGGAAATAAATGTGTTTTAAGAGAGCACCAATATACCTCAGTACACTCGATGTGTGTCATTGATAATGTCTAACCACTGAGGCTGAGGACCTTCAATCCCCCTAGGGTGTCTCTCCAAGCCTTTCTAAATAGCCTTGTCCAACTGCTTACAGACTTGGAGATGGGGGGAAGGAAAGAAAGAGGCGAAGGAGGGAGGGAGAGACATGGAGAGAAAGAAAGAACGAGAGAAAGAGAAAGAAAGAGAGAAAGAAAAAGAAAATGGTTAGTCATGAAGCTGGAGTTTAAATTTGAGGGTATTGAAAAAAATAATTAACTACAAAAAATGGTTTGACAGAATAACTTATACTCCACCAATATCCCAGCAGTTTTCTAAGAGCCTAGTTGGATATGAAACTTGAGATCTGTCAACATTTTATAGTTGCCCTGATTTAATAAGCATTTTTCCTTCTTTTCTCTAACTGCCAAATTTTTTAATGAAATTGAATCTTGGATGCCTACATTCTGGGGAGTTTTATTTGCTATATTATAGTTCTGTCTGCTTTTAGGCCACAGAATGCCAAAGTATTTATTCTTACAAATCTTTCTACATATGTAATTTGAGTCTACTAAAATAGTCCTTTACCCACTTCATTAATTAAGTTGACAGAAAAGATTATTTTACAATTTTGTAGCAAATGACTCTTCATCCAAATTTTTGAATCAACGTTGTGCATTTTTATGTTATTTTATAGCCTATGCCTCCTCAAATCACTTCACGCCATCAGATATAAAACTTTCTAACATAAAAGACTAACTTTTGCAGTTGATCTGAAACCTCAACTAGAGTAGAATATTTTTACCTTTTTCCAAGTAATAGTTCTTGGTTTTTGTTTTTTTTTTTTTAATTTTCACTTGCGGTATTTCTATCAATTTAACCTCAAACTTTTTAGGAGATTAAGAAACAAACCTCAAAAAGTAGTTAGGCTAAGCTGATTTCTATTTTCACAAGTTCATCACTAATATTTAGACACCACCAATGAGTCACTAGTCTTTTAAATACTCTGAAATCAACAAGCAATAAATCAAATGTAGGAATAAATGTCATCATAAACATCATATATGTTTTTTGTAAAGAAATATACATTTACATAAACGTGAATAAACAAACAAAATATTTTACAATTCAGTACAAATAACTCTCATTACATGAGAGAGCTCCTTTTATCATGGTCTTGCATAAAACTTCAAAATTTCATCATTTTGATTCCTTTATCAACTAGGACAAATAACACTTAAAGTATAAAATTCTGGTAGATCATTTCTTTCCATTTTCTTAACACAAATGAGCATCTGGACTCTTGCCAATGAATGCCAATGTATTCATTTTAACTGTAGTTCTTATTTTAACCAGAAAAGGCCTCTGAAAATCCAAAGATTCAAAATACCATTTCAAGGAAGCAAATAAGTAACATGGCATCCCATATTATACAAATCAAATATAATATAGGCCTCAAATTCGCTTTTACATTTTGAATTATCACTAGATTACTGAATGTCTTTTAATGCATATAGAGGACCATACGATCAACTAGTTAAAAATGTTTTCTTTACAATAGAGTAGAAAATAAAACTGCTGATCTCTTTCATTGCCTCTAAAATTTAATTTTTGTTCTAAGACAACAGTATGTAATGTGTGAAAAAAAAAGACAAAAAATAGGTACTCAGCTTTAGATGGAATGTTTATATTTTAAATATGCTGTCCATTTTATTTTTTGTAAAACGAGTTATTTAAGTTCATATTTTAGAGGGAGTGTGTATAAAATATTAATACTACGAACCTATTATTTACTGATTTCTGTGGTGCCATCTACAGTTAGCACAATTCAGATTTCAAAACAAATTTTGAATTTTTTTCAATATGAATAAAATTCACTCACTTCTTATTTTAAGACTATCTGTTATAGAACGTATTGTTAATCATAGAAGTTTGCTATATTACACATGGGCATGTTATATGCAAATGTATTCAGTTGGGGTATGTATATATTTTGTTATGTTATGTACATAAACATCTACCCTTGTGCATATGTATATTTACATCATGTATAAATATGTGTAGTATATTACCAAACTGTACTATACTTAAGGAGGAGGAGGAGCTTCCAAGGATTGCCATACAATATTTTAGTTAACTGAGTACTGTTTCCTGTGAAAGTAATTAGGTTGTTTTTTGTTTTTTGCTTTTCACAGTCCCAAAGGTGGGTGTTTACAGACCTGGTTTAGTAATTCGCTGTTTTCCAAAAGGCTAGTTTTAAAATTTTATGTCAACATATGCTTTAAATAAATAAAAGTGATCCCTTCCTCTTCACCTTTCCCTTCTTTTAGGAAGGCCTATGGGCAAACAGCTTGATAAATAATTCAAAGAAAAGCTAAACCTTGATTCTAAAAACAAAAGCTCATCAAGTTAAACACCCACATTTTACCATTAACATTCTTTGTTAAAATTTACCTGCCTATAAATTATCTTTTGAAAAACAGTGATTGAAAGTGTGTCAAGACACTAGCTGGGGAGGGCCTTTGGCAGAAGCTAGTGAGTGTGTCTAAATGTTACTTAGAACCTTTCTCTAGGACAACAGGTCCTATAAAGAATTATGGCTAACAGTAAAACCATCCAATATTAATAAATCCAAGACAGAAAAAATGTATATAACAGGTATTTCCAAATTCGTGAAAATCATTAGATGCAAACAGTAGGGTAACAAGGGGAAAACTAAAAGCGTGTGCTCCTTTTCTTCTTAGAATCCCTCTGAATCTCAGGTTATCAAAAATACATTTTGGCAACTGGGTTCATGGTCTCAGTGAAGGAGAGGAATGTTTAACCTTTCTCTGAATTTTTCTGTCCTGTTTCCCCTTGAGAGTAGAACAAACTTGGTGGGACCAGGGAGGGAGGGAGGCCCTGGTTAATGTTTTAAGAAGGAGGAATTTAATTTGGCCCAAGTTTTCTTCTGCTAGTTGCCTTTTCTCTTATAAAGAGATCCTTGACAGCCCTTGTTTTGTATGAAATTATGGAAATCACAGACTGGGAAAGGGGAGTCATTATTTCAGAATTGAAAAGGTATGAGTGTCTTTACTCGAACCCCCTCCCCCCAAATTTCCCATCACTGGAAAGAAGCCAGTAAGTTGGAAAGGTGCCTAGGAGGGCTACAACTGGTCAGGTAAATAAAGAGAAGCCCCAAAAGTGATTTGCAATTGGTTCCTACCTCCCTCCTATCCCTCCAAAACTAAAAACAGCCACTGCGCAGCAATTTTTAAGGCCAAGACAGAGAGAAAGCAGATACCCAAGTCCCCAAACGCGGCTTCCTGGTGCGTGAAATCCAGCCTAACGAGCAGGCTGGATGATGGACATGCCCTCGGCTAACACTGTCCCTTTCAGCCTGGCTCACGTGGGTCAGGGTGTCCATGAAAATCCCCGGACCACGAGGGGGATCTCTTTGGGAATCAGATTGGGAAGACTCAGGCGAAAGAGGGAGATGCCCGTGTAGAGAACCGAGGAGGGGGGCTGGGGTAGAATAATCAGCTCTAAGGTTGCAGATTTAGATCTCAAGGCTGAAAAGGATAAGCTTCCACCAGAGCATCCTGTAGCGCCTCCTGTCCTGCCCTGCCCTGCCCTGCGCGCGCACCGCACTCACACGTACACCCGGTCCTCGCACGCGCACACACGCACACTGTTCCCCGCCGCTCTACCCTCTAGACTGCAAGGGAAACGGCTCCTCTGGGGCGCGCTCACCGGAGGTGAGGCGACCCAGCCCGGCCCAGGCCAGCCTGGTACCCAGCGCTGGTCGCTGCCCCTGTGGGGAGGCAGCGCGGCCTTCGGGGCTCCAGAGCGCGCGGGCCCGGAACGAGGCGCGCGGCCGCTGGCACATGCGGGGACTGCCCAGCGCGGACTGGAGAAGGGGAGCGAAGGGGTGGGGAGGGGGTGACGCCGGCTGCCCACCCCGCTCCGCGCCTCCCTCTGTGGCCCTCTCTCCCTTCTTCCCCTCCCACCCTGCCGCTCCCAGCCGCGTATGGAACTCGCGTTTGGAAAAGGCACGGAGCAGGCGGGCAGCTGTGCGTGTGCGCGCCGGTGGCCTCGGACGCAGCCAGCGCGAGGACCTCGGCGCGGCGGTAGCGCCCCGGCGGGCCCTCCAAGTGCCGGCCTGCAGGGGGCGCCGGCGCGCTCGCGCCCCGCGGGTTCTCCACCGCCCCGCCTTCGCCCACCGAGGAAGGGTCGGAGGGAGGACCCGGACGGGAGCAGGTTCCCTTCGCGCCTCTCTGGAGGGTCGGCGGGGCCCTCAGGCTGGTGCTCACCCGTAGGACCGGGACGGTGTTGTCACACTTGTCACCAACGACGGCCGGCGTGGCGTCGCAAGTCCGCTTTCCAGTCTCAGCGGCTGGAGGAGGCCTCGGGGCGGCAGGGGGAGTTTGCCTCCCGGCTGGCTAGCTTCGCTAGACTCAGTCATTACTAAGGGGTTGGGAGGGGGAGCTTGTCTCTTCTCTCCTGGCAGAGCCGCGGGAGGCGTCGGAAAGTTTCCTACCACTTGAGGGACGAAGGTGGATGGATCGAGAGCCTTGTTTCCCTGCTGGGATGGCCGAATGTACCAGAAGTCTCGCTGGCGAGCAGCGCCCTCGGCTTCCCCGGCAATCATCCCAAACGCACACCCTTCCCCTGGCCGAAGGAACCCCAGGTTGCCTAGGAAACGGCCCCGCGGACCTGGCGGGCCCTAGGGTGGAGACCCGGGCGGGGTTGGGGGGTACTCGCGAATCTGCTGCGGGCGCAGCGTTGGGGTGTCTGGTCCCTGCCCAGCCGGTAGGCCGCGTCCGCCGTCCCACTCAGTGGGGCTTTGCGCCCCCACCCATGGGAGTTGCCCGTTCCGCAGCAGAGTTCGAAGGGGAAAGTGGGGGCCACGTTCCCAGAGGAACAGAGTTCCAGACCTCTCAGGGCACTGATGGGGACTCCGTCGGACCCACGGGTTCCGCAAACACTCCAGAGGGGTTCCCAGGGCCGAAGATGCCTCCTGAGCAGACCTGAGCTTGTGAAACTCCGAATGGGTGTCCAGCTTCCTTTCTCACTTCAGAAGTTCAGCTGAGCTTCGTGTAGTGTCTGTCCCCCACCCTGACCTGGACCCACCAGCCAAGCCGAGGCCAGAGGTGTGCGGATTTTTTTTAAGACCCACATCTTGTAAATGTGAGATTTTTATCAGTCAGCACAGATGACTTAAAGCGTTCCATTTCTCCGCGATCCAATTTTATTAGGATTTACTCTCATTTGTGCTCCGCTTCTCTGGGGAAATAATGCTTTGATTAATGTAATCCTGGCCCGGGATCCGCCACATGCCCCTCGACCCTCTCCCAAGAGAAGGACCCTATTTGACAAACAATAACAGAGCAGTAACTCTTGCAATCTGCCCACACCTTTGGGGGTGGCTGGGGAGAGGGTGATACACGTTCACACACCGCTTGCTAAATGCAGTGGCGAGAGGAGGGAGCAGCGTCTACATGAAGCGAACTTTTCAAGCGCAGAGCCCTGACTCCCAGGCGCGGGGGCTCACCGGGAGGGGCCCGGGCGAGAGAGCGCGTGGGTGCGTGAGTGCCTGTGTGCGCCCGCCCTTTGCTTGCTCGGGGTGTCCGCCTTTGTCCCCCGCCGCGGGCCTCCACGGTGGGATCTGCGCGCGGCCGGTGGGCAGCCCTCGACCCGGGGCGCGTCCACAGCGCCCACCCGCGGCCCCCAAACACCTCGAGAGCAGATCTTAGGGGTTAACCAGGCACCGACCTGAGGCGCCCTGCAGCTGCCAAAAGCTCGACCGGAAACCTAGAACATGGGACCCAATTCATCGGTTTTCCTCGTCCATACATGCATCCATCCATCCCTGCATGCGTACATGCATGCAATACAAATCCCGGGACGCCGGCACGGAGAGCTGCGCCTCGCCCTTGCTGCGGGCTGAGAGCGGGTACCCCCCCTTCCAGCTCTTCCTCCTCCCGCGCAGCCGCGGCCCCCTCCCCGAAGGAAGAACAGCTCAATTACGAAGAGGAGCCAAGGAACGAAATCCCAGGCTCAGAGGCGCCCGCCGTTGCTCCTCTGTTCCCGGTCCCTGTAGTGCAGTCCCCACCCCCACCGTCCCCAGCTCGGGGAGGGCGGGGACGCGGCGGTGCGAGGGGTCCTGCCCTGCTCCGCCGGAACAAAGCCCGCCGCAGGAGCCCGCGGCCGCGCACCGAATCAGTGACAAAGGCAAGCGGGCGGCGCCGAGCTCCAAGCCGGCGCTCCTACGGCTTGGCGGGAAGGAGGCCCAGAAGATGGGGTGCGATTTGCACCCGGATTTTCCTGGGCTGCAGCATCTCGCTCCTGTGTACCCAATGACCTGTTAGGGTGACTCAGCGTTTATCTCTTCGCCTCCCTGCTGCCCCATCTCCTCTCTTGTCCTCTTCTGTCCCCAGTCTCCTTCACCGCTCCCTGCATGTTTTAATCCACCTCACTCCTTGTACCTTACCCGCTTCTCACTTTGCCCTATTTACCTCTTTCCCTTTTTCTTTCCCATAGAAAAGCAATGCTAATTCGACTTCTGAAGGCCGCTCTAGATGTTCAAATAACAGTCTGAAAGACCTTGCTGGGCAGTGCTCAGAGAGAAAAGGGGAGTAATGGGATCCTTTTAATTTTATTATGCAAACTGTGCCCTAAATAAAATAAAACGCCGTTAGAATGCGATCTAAGGAAGCCGAGCTTAGCCCTGGGGCCCCCAAAATGGCCGGAGATTCGGGAGAAGTCGCTTCTCGTGCCCACAAATCACAGGAATGTTGGGGGTGGGGGTGAGAGGAGGACCTCGCCGCTGTGGAATGGGGACCTCAGCGCTGGAGACTCCAAAGCAAACCTTTCTGGGAAAAGTTCTCATCTTACTTTCTAACCCAGAAAAGGAATTGCTTGCCAGACCCCTCCAATATAATCATAGTATTTTCGAATTTAGGATACTTTAACAGTTAGTGTTTTTCCAAGTGAAGTTTTACTTGTTTGTTTTTGTGATGTGAATTAAAAATGAAGGGAACGCAGCCATTTGAACAATATATGCCTGGACTTCTAGAGGCTCTTTGCACCCTGATTTAATACTAAATTAACATTTGACGTGTATTAAATGGCACTGTAAGCCTGAGCTCCTTCCCTTGGGCTTCACTGAGTAGCCAGGCTCCCTACCGAAATTTTGGGGAGAGAGGTGAGCGTTCAAAGCAACATCAGACAAGTAACTTTTAACTTGAGACTAACAAACTCCAAGCTGCCTGAAGCTACAGTGAGCAAGGTCACTTAGCTCCACCACCAAAGTGTCTGACCAGATACGTTTGTGCTGAAAGTGTATCACTGCAAACCATGGTATTTGTAGTATCAAATATCAACGAATACATTCGGCACCGTATTTTGAAAGTGAACAACAATAAACACACTTTCTTGAAAACACCCCTGAGGCTGGCCATCCAGGGCAGGCACTGGGGTGTCTCAGGGCCGGGGGCGCGGGGGGAAAGAGCGATATAGTGAACTGGGTGTTTCAGCATTCACTGGAGAGAAGAGACCACAGAAGCACAGTTTGAGGGGAATGCCGAAAAGAGCAGCCGTCAGCCTGACGTGCTGCATCTGCACCCAGCTTCTCAGACAATAGCTAAGTTCAAATGTCAAAAAAAAATCTAATAATAATAATAATAAAAACAGAGGTGCCAAACTGCAAGAATTGTTTTCTGGGATGTATGCCACATGAATCTCTTTTCCACCTCCAGACTACCCTGTTCCGACCCAGAAAGGCGATGCTGTATAATAACGTATGAGGAATGTTTGGCGTAAGGAGTGTCCTCAAGACTGAGAGAGCTGTTTGTTCAGTTCTGTTAGGACCACCACAACCTCAAAGAATCAAACCATTTTTCTGATAAAGCTGAATTAATATTTCTGGGCGTTGTTTTTACACACATACAAATACACACAAAACCCACCAAGCTGACCTTGGAATATTTTTCTAGCTAAGAAATGACCAAATTTTGTCAATGAATCATCATCATCATCATCATCATCATCATCATCTCTGGTCAATCAGCCTGGCTCTATGTTACCTAGCCCTGTGAATTTAAATTTGAAAAAGAGCATTGCACTCAGTGGGGAGGCAGGGAGTGTGGTGAGGGGGCAGGCAGGAACAGTCCATCACACTGTGACAGCTCCAGCTTCCCTGGCAATTGGTAGCTTTCATTACCAGACTTGTCAGGTGCACGCCTGCATGCAGCTCGAATGGGCAAACTGTTGGAAATGGGTTGTTTTAAAAGCATTCACTGGATTACCAACTTACTGTGCTTTCTTAGTTTATTTCCCATAATCTGAAATGCCCTGTAGTTTAAAGCTGTCCTATAAGTATCAGAAAGAAAGCTTCTTGCTTTCGGGTGAGAAATCATAATGTCTTTGAATGTATTACTCTTTGAAACCATCTAAAAACCTACGTACTTGCTCCTTTCCTGCAGATCAGACAAATCAGTTATCAAAATGATACAAAGAATTAGGGGAAGAAACACTTCAAAAAACTTAGGAAGACCAAGAAACAACTCATCCACTGCCAAGACGACAAATACTTTTCTCCACCCAAAAGCTACCGTGGAAGAGCTGTCCCCTTTGTATATAACACAGAGTATGGGTTGAGAGTATGCTTAACATTTTAATTTGTAAATGCTAATGGCAAATGTGCTTCTGAACTGCAGCGATACCAGAGCACCTTATCATTCTCAAATGGAAACAAATGAGTAAATACCCACTTTGTGTTTTGTACTTTTGACCCAGGTAATGTTCTTCATTCTCTCATTTGGCAAAAGCAATTTCGCCATCCCCAACAATTAAAAGTCTGTAGCTTTGCCCAGCACTTTGAATCTTAATTCATACCCAGCTTGATCGCTTCCACCCCCAAATCATTATAAAATGCTACTAAAGCCATCTCTATAATATGTCAGTTCTTGTCAAATTAACTTGTTGCTCTACCCAGATTTCTTATTTTCTGTTTCTTTTACATTAAGGAACCTAGGACTATAGATATCATGAGGGGCAAGCATTTTATCTTTTCTGTTTATTGTTTAATTACCTTTTCAAAAAAAGAAAAGTAGCAGCAAGACAGTAACAATCACAGATCTTATGAAAAGTGGCACACAAAAATTATGCTCTAAATATATATAATGATTGCCTCACCAATGTTTTTTGCAGAATGTCAGGCTGATTTGAAAAGTTTCCTTTCTCCTTAATAATTTTTAAATGCATTCAGCAGCCCTGGGCATGCAAAGTAAGCTAGAGCTTTAAGACATTTGCCCACTTCATGTGGATCTGCCCCAGAAGTCTTTTGTCTGAAATGTCCCAAAAGCCAAAGAGAAAGCAATGTTTGGGCTCAAGTTACAATTTTCTCAATTCTCCCTGTTTTATTAGTGCGAACCTGAGAGTACCTTTCCTGACTCTAAATGTGAGAGCTTGGGGTGAAAATCACAGATTAAAATGTGTTTGAGTGTGCCCCTTTTGCTTATACTGTTCCCAGAATCTCTTGACCCTCCTAGAAAACACACCACTTAAATCCAAACTCTGACTTACTAAAGTTAGTGTCAAAGAAAAACTTCTCCTCATTGGAACCTGGTTGACTTGGAGCTGGGTTAGAAAGAATAAGGTGTCTTTTCCTCTCTTGCACAGGAACATGAGAGCGATCACGTAATGTGGCCCTTACTAACAGGCTCTGTGACACATTCACAGGTGTGTTCGGCTACTGAACCATGGAAGCCAGCTTCTCACTTCCAGTCACTCCGGGCTTCCCTTTACTAGTCACACTCTCTGAATCTCCTTGGGAAAATTCTTAATGACAAACTGACTAATTCTGAACCAGTCAGGATCTACCCTTCACTGCTTTAGGAAGTTTTCCACATATCTTTTTCGTCCTTTACCACAATAAAGTTTAGTCTTCATTGGCAGTATGTATATATCTTTGAGGCAGAAACCTTGTGGCTCTACTGAAACTTTTCTTCAACTGGGTTAAGTAATGCACTAAAAAGTTTCAAGCCCACAGTTATCTCTAACCCGTGGCTATTTTGTATTTTCTTTTCTCTGCCAAGCCTTTCAAGGATAAATCCAAAATCTTTCTAAAATCATAAGTGGTAACAAGAATGAAAGTAGCCACTAAATATCAAATGGAGTAAAAGTGATCCTGGGCCAGCGGACTAAATCTCTAGGACCCAGAGATGCATTTAGAAGTCAAAGCATGTATCAGGTTGAAGAACTTTCATTATTTAAACAGATCATACCCTAGGATGCATTTCATTTTCTTGACTGTTAAAACAACAACAACAAAAAACCCTGAAAGGTAGCTTCTTAAGTAGCCTATTAAATCCCCTTAGTAATAATTTTCAAAAACTATTCTTGCTTTCACATCTCATTTCTGTTTTCCAGCCCAGAATACACTTCACTGAAATGGAGGAATAGTTTTTGAACTATATTTCTTTCTGGGCCATTTCACAGACATGGGCGGGTGGGGGATGGGGAAGTCATTGTCTTCATATTTTAAAACCCTGTGTTATGCAATGAATTCACTCCTCGTTGTGAATATGCATAGAAAGGTAGCGGTATTTGTTCCTTTGGCAAGTTTGGAAGAGCAGATTTGCTTTTGAAACAGCTACATTTTACTCAGCACTCGCTAAGACGAGTCAGTGCGCCCCCTGCTGACAAGTCAATAATGCTACTCCTGAGCAAAGTTTATTTTGTTCAGTAAACCGTGTCATATAAAATTAACAACAGCCAATAAAATTAGCTTATATGTTTCAACTGTAAAAGTCCAAAACAAAATAAAGCTAGTTTTAGTGGCACTAGAAATCTCTAGTTTGGCTTCTTCTCTTTGGCTGAACCAAGGTCCTTTTATCTAAAGCCCAGTGCACAAACATATAGCTTAATGTGACTAGTGTTCTTCCTTTTATTTCTTTCTCTATGGCAACCAATATGCTCTGCTCAGAAATGTTCCCCATCAAGGAAACAAATGATCTTCAGGGAGCAGCTCTATATGGCATCTGGTCCAATGGAGCACACAGAGTTAACCCCAGTCAAAAGCAACGCTGCCAAGCACGTAAACAAGGAGTGGAAAACTGGCGATTCTGAGCCCCCTCCCCAACTGAAACCTCTTCCTCCCTCGTTACAAACCGTTTCATTGATTTGGCATCAACTGTTTCCAAATAAATTACCAATTCTAAATTGCAAGGTGTTCTGTGTAAAAAAGTGCAATAAAATTCCAGCCATTGGATTCTCCCCCCTCATCATCACAGACGCAGCTTCCCTTAAAAGAACAAAACCAAGAAGCTTTTAAAATTTTCTCCGGCCTATTTCACTAAGGTAAGGCACTCAAATGGGCCTGGACTTGGCCTAGCTATGTCCTCCGGCCATGTTTATCTAATTAACTGCACCTAGCAATAACTGCACCCTCAATTTTTACAAAACCCAGGAACAGTGGCAAGGAGGGGACAAGTGAGGCTGTCAAAAATAGAAAACAAAGTGAAATCCAGTCTGCGATGCTAAAGCTCCAGCCTCCTTTGGGAATGAAGTGTAGGGATGTCCTGGTTAGTTTTGATTGATCACCCTCTTTCTGATGGGCTTTCACTACCGAGCTGGGAGGCTGCAGCTCCCCGCCTGCTCCCCAGACACAGCATTAACCAGGGGTGCCCTGACTTCCTGCCTCGCTTCCTCCTCCTCCAGCTCTCCGCCTTCCCTTTGCCAAGTCCCCCTCCTCACTCCATCCTCCTGCTCCCAGCATGCGTCCCCCCACCCCAATCCAGGCAGGCACACACAATTCAGGACATCACCACTGGCTACAGAAATAGGGTTTCTTCCCCTCTAGTCCTGATTCTCTGGGAAAAATAAAAAATCCCAATCAAGAAATATTTATATACTGCATGCTTAATAATCACTTCTTTTCCAGGGCTTCTTCCCCCTCCTCCCACCCCACCTTCACGATCAACAATTACAATGAATAGCATTTTCCCCCCACCCCTCCAAAGTAAAGTGGCTTTTGCTGTGTGGGGCTTTGGACTGAGTCCATCTTTTTATGTAATATTTTAGCAGGGTTGGATTTTTTTAACTCCCCCCCAACACATCTTCCCTTCCTTCCTTCCTTCAGACAGTTGCTCTGTGAACCCTCTCTTGTCCCAAGCAATGAAAATAAGCTCCCAAACCTACAAGAACATAAATAAATAAGCCAAAAAGGAGGGGAAAAAGAAGAGGAAAGCAGGGAAAGAAAATGAAAAAACACTTACCGAGCAAACTTCCAGGGTTAGGTTTTTAAATAAAAGGTGTTTTTTAATTTTTTTTCAAATAAGGTGACTGGGTTGGGGGTGGAGGGGAAGGCATATTCTCAACTCTCCAGCACCGATGCGTCCTTAGCCTTCCCTTCACACTGACGCCTCGAAGCCCAGCTCTCCACTAGTCTATTATTTTCACCAAAATATATGAAAATGTATGCAAATGAAAATCAGCACTAACTGTTCTCCCCTTGTTATATACTTTGGATTTTTTTTTTCCAGACAAAACAATCACACTCGCAAAGGGAGGGGGCGGATGGGGTGGGGCAGCGTGGAGGGGGGAGAGAGGCCGGGGAGCGATTCGAGAATTAAGTACGACGAAAGGGGGGGAGGAAGAAGGGGACAGACCTCGGAACAGAAGTGTGTTTCTGTTATCGAGGAGCACAACGTTTTGGGGGGCTTCCCATACGCGCACACACACCCTCTTGAAAAGAAAGAAAGTGGATCTGTTTGCAGAGGCGCTATCACGTTTCATCAGGCCACCTGAGACTGCTTTTGAAAGCGTGTACTGTGAAATTCATAGCAGTAATTTAGACAAAATCCTCACTGTATATTAATGAAAGGCGGCCCCATGGCTCTGTTCCTATCCTCCCCATTCAGTGTAAACAAAACCACGAGACTCTCTCGGTTTTTGAGCCGGATCCAAGCAAAATCGGCAGGAAAGGAAAACACGGGGTGCTGGCACCGACTATTCAAACGTCTGCACCTGGAGATCTCAGATTGATTCAATGAAATCTGTGTTCCATCTTTTATATATACATATACGCATACGTAAATATAAAAAGCAACCTTTGGGGGCCGCAGAGGAAAAAAATCCGTTCTGTTTGGGGTTTGGTTACCACCGCCTTTGGTATCTATACCTTGGCAATAATGGCTTTGCTAAAACCTACCTACGATGGTATCTCACCCGGCAAGCAGGAGCTGGACAAGAGCCTACATAAATTCTACGCGTCTAGTGTTAATCTTGAGATCACGCGGGGGCTGCCTGGCTGCGGCTGGGCAGGAGAACTCCTGCTTTCACTGAGTTCACTTAACTGCGCTCGGCAGAGGCACGATACAGCGGGAGAGAAGGGCAGGCCCGTTCACATTTTAATCGGAGCGCACCGGCGGCCGCTCCTCGGCTGCGTCCTGGGCTGCCGCTCGGGCTCGGGACTGCCAGATGCAGGCTCTGGCTGGGGGCGGCGGGCGCAAGCGGGCGCACCCGCAGCTAGGGGTGCGGGGTGCACGCACACGCACGCTCATTAAGAGCCATGTATTTATTGAATGTCCGAGTTGGGTTAGTTCATTGGAAATCCCCGAGGAGGGCTCAATTTGCCCTTGTTTTCGTTGCCACTTTCTCTTTTTTCTTGGTTCGCTGAGGTTCCTCTGTGCAGCGTTTCCGCTTGGCCGCGTCCCCCCACCCCACCCCACCCCACCCCCGCTTCTCTCGCCTACCGGGTGCACTCCCCCTCCCATCCCCCTTAACTCTTTCAGCTGGGTTAGAGCTGAGAAAGCATTTGTCGCCGCCAGCCCCATCCACCACGCAAATCCATCTGAGACAGAAAGGAAAGAAAAAAAAGCACCACCATGCCTAAGAATAGAGAGCGAGCAAACCCCCCCACCGCTAATCACACACACACACACACACACACACACACACACACACGAGGAAGCGGTGGAGCAGAGAAGGGCGCGGCTAGCCGATCCCGGTTCTTTCGCCCGGCTCCTGCTGCCACAGGGAATTCCTAAAGCCATTGGGGTCGAATACACTTACGATGAATCTATGGGGGAAGGTCGGACTGATTGCTTTTCAAATACATCGCACGGCTCCGCTGACCGGCACCCTCCAAACTCACAAGGGCACGCACGCTACTTGCACGAATCCCAGAGGAGGGAGGAGGGAGGAAGGGAGGGAGAGCGAAGGAGGGAGAGAGGGGGTGGAGGAGCCAGGGAGCGGCGGCAGCGAGCGGTCCGTCTCGCACGCGCGGGCACCGCGCTGGTCCTGGGCTGCAGGTTTCCCAGATGATGGCATCCGAGAACTTAAACAAAGGGGGCTGCCGCCGGCGCGCAACGGCTGCGGAAAGTTGCGGTGGCGGATTTCCAAGGAGCGTGGCCACGACCAGAGCTCTTGGCGATGCGAGCCCCCGCTTCCCACCCCCGCCGATCAGAGAAGGGGGCCGGCTGGTGAAGGGAAGAGGAAACTTTGAAACCACTGGGGACACATCTGTCTATAGGTATTAGCTTGAATGGTACATCCGTGCCGCGCGCTTTACAAATCTCTGGCGGGGCGGGGGTAAGGGGGTGAGCAACCCGACGCGTACTAGGTGGGGTGGGCAGGTTGCTATTTTTCATGTTTCCCCCTTCGTTTTCCTTCTGATTCTCTTCCCCCCTCTCGTCCCTCCCTCCCTTTTATCTCCCCTTTCTTCCCCCCGCCCAGACCTATTGCGAACGCCCAGAGCCGCCGAGGGAACGCCAACGTCTGGGCCGGACACTAAGAGTTAAGATGTGGCGGAGGGGGCGGCGGGGGAGGGGCGGGGAGGGGAAAGTGGTGAGGGGGAGGGAGGCTGGAGGACGACAGATTTCCAGCTTCTACGACGCTCTGCCTAAATTAAAAAGCAACCAATCGGAACGGCCGGAAGGGGGGCCTCGCGTCCTGAGCCAGTCATTCCGAGCCTGCCAATCACCCAGCGGGTAGCCAATCAGCGGGGGCCCTGGTGCTCGACTTCCTTGTATTTGGGAAAGTGTGGTGGTGGGTGCGCGCTCGCGGCGGAGGGTAAACATTCGACAGTCCCCGCTCTGAGAGGGAGGGACAGAGAGCGAACTGTCAGATCGGAGCGAGAGCGGGCGCCCGAGAGAGGGAGAGAGAGAGAGGGAGGGAGAGGAAAAGTGAGAGAGGGAAAGAGAGCGCGAACGAGGGCGCAGAGCGAGCTCCTGCTGCAACTCTGCTCCAGCACGGCCAGCGCCAGCGCCCGCCGTCGGTGCACTCTACGAGCCGTGCAGCGTGCCCACTGGAGTTGTTGTGTATCAAGGATCGATCCCCTATATGCACACACACACCTCCACCTCCACCAATGCACTCTTCTTCCTCCTCCTTCTCCAGACAACTGCTGGGAAAAAAATAAAACACCAACCCCAACCGTCAGCAACAAGGTAACAGAGCGATTCGACATCATTTTTTTTCCTGTTCAATTTTTTCCTTGTTATATTTGTTTCCTAATTTCTGCCCAAAAGGAAAGATGTCGCATCAGACTGTGACTGTTGCGAGGAGAATGAAAAAGGACTCTTGTTTCAGAGGCAACCAAGAGCTCCGGCAATAGCAACTTCAGAGAAATGCACCATCGCAAGAAGTTTTCCTAGGACAGAACAAAACTTGAAACGAGAGGACCAGAGGGGGAGAGCAGGAGCCAGCCTCCCCTCTCCGCACTCGCGAGCAGCCAGCAGCACCACGCCTTCAAGGACGAAAAAGTTTTACTACTCTAAGGGAAAACGAGTGAAATGTGTTCCTGAGGAGGAGAGGAGAGGAGAGGAGAGAGCGGACAAGAGAAGGAGCGGGCCGGTTGCTGGTCATCCGTAATTTGGCTAAGGAAGAAAGGAGCAGCTTCTTTCTTTGTTATCTCCCGTGAAACCTTCACTTAGCAGGTGGACGGAGCCCCGCGACCGGGCAGAGTCCGGGCTCGCCCGAGGACAGGAGGAGGAGCGGGAGCCCGCGCGTCCCGGGAGAGCGCCCCGAGTGCAGGTCCCCGCCCCGCCCGGCGAGCCCCGCTGGAGCGAGCCCAGCGCGCCGGGGCTGGGGGGCGGCCACGACCCCCCCTGAAGGGGGTGGCCACGGAGCGCACCCCGAGAAGCGAGCCCCCCTCCCCAGAGCGCTGCTCCTGCGGCTGCTGCTGCTGCTGGTGACCAAGGCCGGCCGGCGACCCCCGCGCCCTGCCGAGCGGCCTTGCAGCTGCAGCCGGGGGCCGCGGCGGCGGCGGCGGCGGCGGGGGCGGAGGCGGCGGCGGAGGAGGAGGCGGCGAAGGCGGCGGGGCCGGCGGGGGCCCGGGGCGGGGGCGGGGAAGGAGGGGGGGAGGAGGCGGGAGGCGGGGGGCGCGGCGGCGGCGGCGGCGGCGGCGGCCGCGGCTGCTGCTGCGGCGGCGGCGGCGGTGGTGGCGGCGGTGGGGTGGCGGGAGCGGAGCGGCATGGCCACGGCGGCTTCTAACCCCTACCTGCCGGGGAACAGCCTGCTCGCGGCCGGCTCTATTGTGCACTCGGACGCGGCAGGGGCTGGCGGCGGCGGGGGTGGCGGCGGCGGCGGCGGCGGGGGCGGCGCAGGGGGCGGGGGCGGCGGCATGCAGCCGGGCAGCGCCGCCGTGACCTCGGGCGCCTACCGGGGGGACCCGTCCTCTGTCAAGATGGTCCAGAGCGACTTCATGCAGGGGGCCATGGCCGCCAGCAACGGCGGCCATATGCTGAGCCACGCGCACCAGTGGGTCACAGCCCTGCCCCACGCCGCCGCCGCCGCCGCCGCTGCCGCCGCCGCCGCCGTGGAGGCGAGCTCGCCGTGGTCGGGCAGCGCCGTGGGCATGGCTGGCAGCCCCCAGCAGCCACCGCAGCCGCCGCCGCCACCGCCGCAGGGCCCCGACGTGAAGGGCGGCGCCGGGCGCGACGACCTGCACGCGGGCACAGCGCTGCACCACCGCGGGCCGCCGCACCTCGGACCCCCGCCGCCGCCCCCACACCAGGGCCACCCTGGGGGCTGGGGGGCGGCCGCCGCTGCCGCAGCCGCAGCCGCCGCCGCCGCCGCCGCCGCGCACCTCCCGTCCATGGCCGGGGGCCAGCAGCCGCCGCCGCAGAGTCTGCTCTACTCGCAGCCCGGAGGCTTCACGGTGAACGGCATGCTGAGCGCGCCACCGGGGCCCGGCGGCGGCGGCGGCGGCGCGGGCGGTGGAGCCCAGAGCTTGGTGCACCCGGGGCTGGTGCGCGGGGACACGCCAGAGCTGGCCGAGCACCACCACCACCACCACCACCACGCGCATCCTCACCCGCCGCACCCGCACCACGCGCAGGGACCCCCGCACCACGGCGGCGGCGGCGGCGGCGCGGGGCCTGGACTCAACAGCCACGACCCGCACTCGGACGAGGACACGCCGACGTCGGACGACCTGGAGCAGTTCGCCAAGCAGTTCAAGCAGCGGCGCATCAAGCTGGGCTTCACGCAGGCCGACGTGGGGTTGGCGCTGGGCACACTCTACGGCAACGTGTTCTCGCAGACCACCATCTGCCGCTTCGAGGCCCTGCAGCTGAGCTTCAAGAACATGTGCAAGCTCAAGCCGCTGCTGAACAAGTGGCTGGAGGAGGCGGACTCAAGCACCGGCAGCCCCACAAGCATCGACAAGATCGCGGCGCAGGGCCGCAAGCGCAAGAAGCGGACCTCTATCGAGGTGAGCGTCAAGGGCGCGCTGGAGAGCCACTTCCTCAAGTGCCCCAAGCCCTCCGCGCAGGAGATCACCAACCTGGCCGACAGCCTGCAGCTCGAGAAGGAGGTGGTGCGGGTCTGGTTCTGCAATCGGCGCCAAAAGGAGAAGCGCATGACGCCGCCCGGGATCCAACAGCAGACGCCCGACGACGTCTACTCGCAGGTGGGCACCGTGAGCGCCGACACGCCGCCGCCTCACCACGGGCTGCAGACGAGCGTTCAGTGAAGCCAGGGCGCAGAGCGAAGAGGGCCGCCGCCGCCGCCGCCTCCGCAGCCGCCGTCAGCACCGCCGCCGCCCCTGCCGCCGCCGCCGCCGCCGCCGCCGCCGCTGCCGCCGCCGCGCCGACCCTGCACCTGGGCCGCTCCGGGCTCCAGCCCAGGCCCATCCGCCGCCCTCCCCTCCACCCAGAGACAGGCATGCCCGCCCTTGGAGGAGAAAACGCGGGAGAAACGGACCAAGGAGGCATTTTTGCAGTCCAAGGAAGGAGGGGCCAAAAAATAAAAAGCATAATAAACACCCAGACTGTTTTGTATACATATATAACAAACAAAACCGGAAGAGAAAAAGGGGGCGATCATGAGATCTCGTTCATACTGTGGTGGTGTTTCGTTTTTGTTTTTGTTTTTAAAGAAGGGTGAAGATGCCTGACGCACGAAAACTGCACTCGTGAGGTTTTTCCACCCTGAGATGACCTACACGGCAGCGGTGGACAGCACCTGCCTCGTCTTCTCCTCTTTGAAAAAAAGAGAGAGAGAGAGTCCCCTTTCCTTTCACTTTCTCCCTCCAAAACAGCTGCCTAAAGAGATCCACGGAAACTTTATTTCCTGGGAGCGACCTGAGAGAAAACAGAGGCACCAGGTTCCATCAGGGGACGACACCGTGCTCTGGGACCCTGTTTTTCTTGGCCATATTAAAGTCATTTGGAAACAAATCAACTCTGAAATGGGAAGGAGGGGGGAAAAACAGTCTCCAAGAAAAAAATAATTATATTGACAGCTTCTGAAACTAACAGACTGAATAGCAAAGCCAAAAGAAAAGTATCCTCAAAGTAACCTTGGAAATAAAAGGATCGGGAAGGAGCAGAGGGAGAGGGGGAACGTCCGCTGAGGAGTGGCGAGAGGCCCCGGCCGAGTCGGGTCGCGGGCGGGCGGGCGAACTGGGAGCAGAGCGGGGGCCCAGCCAGCGAGGCCGCCGAGCCAGGCCCGGCCGCGTACCCAGGCTTTGACGGCTGCCATTCAGGGTGGACGATGCCTAAAGATTCCACCGCTAATATTTTTTTTATTAATATTTTTTATTTTTTATTTCTGGACTGACTCAGATAAAGGAATTTAGAAAGACTGAGCACCAGCCGCTGCACTTCTCTGGACTTCTCTCCTCAATCCGTTGCCAACTTTGATTGAATGGGTGCTGTGGATGTGATTATATAATACTGCCATTTCCAAGCAGTGTTTTTGGTAGGTTTTAATAAACAGACTTTTCAAAAGACGGCAATATAGAATTGTTAGATCCGTTGTTGATCTAAAAATATTTGCTTTATATTTTCATTAAATGACTTCTTTTAATATTTTATTCAGAATACTTATGAACTGCTGCAAAACGGTAATTTATTTTTCCCCAGATCTTGTATTACGTGTTTTTTTCAGACGAGCACAAATCAAAATGAAATGAAAATATGGACAGTTGTTAGGTAATAAGGGTATCTTTTGATGTGATCATTTGATTGTAATTTAATTTGAGTAGTGATTCCGTAAGAGCTGATCGAGAAAATAAATTTGTTAGAATGAAATAGTCTGTGTCTGATGCGTAAACACTGTGTGGGAAGAAAAGAGTTCTTTAAGAAATATTTTTTTACTAATGAAAATCCCTAAGTAATAGCGTTGAGGAAGTAGAGCCTGCTCCACTTAAGGTACTTTTGGAAATCTAGAGTAAAGCATAGGCATTGCTGAGACAGCTAGTATTTTAACATAGTAGTCACTCCTCGATAATCCATAAATTCACAATATTTTTCTCTCCCTTAATTT
The DNA here is from genome assembly GCF_000001405.40 of Homo sapiens. Lineage (NCBI taxonomy): Eukaryota > Metazoa > Chordata > Mammalia > Primates > Hominidae > Homo > Homo sapiens. The sequence goes on from NC_000002.12 coordinate 104,858,810, forward strand.
TAGTGGATGTCTTTAGTGTTTTCAGGTGAGATTGCCTAAATATTAACCCTTTTCTTGGCGATACCTGTGTTTCTTATCGAAAGATTGAACGATATCACCAGTAAAAATGAGCCAACTGGCTATTAATGGTTAATACAGCCCCTCCCCCCAAGTTCAGCTTCTTTTTTCTTCTCCTGTCCCCCTCCCAACATGTTCCTGTCTCTTTTCTCTTTTTCTCAAGACTATAGTTGTTAGGAGTCGCTTATAAGTCTTATAAAATATTTTGATATCAATTACTTCCCATCAATAACTATATGTAATTAAATTTAAATTATTAAGCTTTTTGGGTTTTTTCCCCCCGTAATAAAAGAATATAGTTCTAAAATCCTGATTATGGTCCACACTGCATACCATCTGTGCAATTACCAACTCAGACTTAAGGTTCTATATTTCTGTGTTTTTGTCTCTCCCCAGTATGATTCTATATCTTCTTTACTGGTGCTGGGGGTTTTAGGTCACCTTTTACATAAACCCTGCAGAGTGGTCACATTGATCAAGTTAATGTTTCAATATTTACAATGTGGGAAAATGAAAGTGTAATGCCTCAGGTTGTGAGTACTTAAGACGCTAAAGGCTCGGCTTAGTTGAGTCCCTATATATTGTACTTAAAAGTATTTAGCAGTGGTAGAGCAACGATTTTATAGACAAATTCCCCCCAATCTCACTTAGCTGTCACTCACTTTTTTTCCTCCTTCTCTCATCTTCACTCCCTCTCCCTGTGATATCAATGCAGGGGTTAAAAAACCCGGAAAACTGTGAGAGCAACAAGGCACAGTTATTTCTCCCAGACAGGCCCTGTGTCACTTTCATAAATCAAACCCAGCCAGATGGCCATGTATTGGGTTGCATTATTTTAAACACCAAATCGTACTAAAAATCACAATCATTTTGATTTGTGAAATCTGAAAAAGGCCACATATATTAAACAGAGAGAAGAAAAAAATGAAGACAAGAAACCACAATTTACTTTTCTTTGCCTTCTTGTTCCCTATTTCTCTTGCTGCTGTAATCCCTATGCCCAGCAAATTTACAACCTGGAGTGGGGGTGGGGGAGAAGTTCACCATTTTGGGGGTGTCTAGAGAGGCAAGCAAAGAAGTCCTCATTGGAAAGCTGAGGACTGGTCAGGTTGTTTTTATGTGGTGGATACTACTGGCACGTGAGATGGAATCTTGTTTTTCCTATGGGAATGGTGGTGGTTGATTAGACAAGTAATAGGTCTATTAAAAAAATTTCAGGAGGTATCTACTTAGTTGATTTAGCTGACAACAAAAGAGCTAACATTAGATTTCACACTGTTTTCTATTAAAAAGCAAACTTTGCTGATTACTTTGGAAGAATCCCTGATTTGGGGGTAGCAGAGTAACTTTTAATTGGAGAAGCTGGGAAAGCAAACCCATTTTGTTTCATTATTTGCATTTTATAAAGTGAGCTAATGCTTGCACTCCATTTTTTTTAATCAACCCTTTCAATGTAATTACAAAATGAAATTCATGGTTGAAAAACAAAAGAGGGCAGATATAACTGAGAGGTTTTGTGCTAAGGCTTATATTGTTACACATGTAAATAATGAAAATATTGTTATATATCACCAGATCTTTTTAATGAATTTGGTCATTGTGTTCCTTTGCAGTGCAAGTGTCTTGTGCTTCGTAAAGTGCCCATTTGTTTCCTCCATTTCAATCCAACCCCCCCTCCCCTTCCAACCCAAAGGAAAGTGACAAAGTTCTGTTCCATCAGCCTTGCTAATCCCAAGCTAGGCCCACTTACAGTTTACAGTCTCCTGTGGCTCTTGATCAGTTGTCCAAGCCTCCGTCGCTCCCACAACCATCTTCCCCTGGCAAGTCTGTGCGATAAATCATTCAAGGTGTATTGAAAATAGTCACTTTGCTATTGTTGCTCTGCCTTTTTTTTTTTTTTTTTTTTTTTTTTTTTAGTACTTAGCCAAGGACTACTTCTTTGTTCCGAAGAGAACTGTTCGTTATTGATCTTAGCGATTCCCTTTGCTGCCCTGTAGCCTCCAGTGTTTGCTCATGACCATGCTCATAATCTGTTTTGTATGAATGGTTTTGAACATTCAGAGAATAATTGGTTCTAATATTAAATGCAGTATATACTATTGATAGTTTTATCGATAAGTGTAATATTTTAAATAATTTTAACAATTAAATTTGTTTTTTAAATTATATATTTGTAAAGTATTTATCCTGTTGAAAGCAACAATATATTGTTGTATTTATTCGTTTATTTTTGTAATAAATGATCAACCTCTTCAAGCTAAATCAAAAATGATACTTTTATATATTTATACAAAAATGTACTTTAAGAGACGGGCATATTTGCACTAATTTGTATGTAAATTGAGTAAAATCCATTAATAACTTGTAGCTTTCAGTACTAAATTGAAGGAAGAAACATTCTCTCCACATGGAGTTTAGTTTGCCCAAGTTCCAGGGTAATTAATCAACTCTAAAATGGATGCAACAAGTATTGGCACTGGATGCAGACTTGAAATTAATTATTTAAAAGGTGGACCTGATTGTTTTTTTAAGGCAGAAAGACAGAAATTAAAGAATTTTCTTCTTTCATGAAATGCACGTGGCTGGCTGCAAGGATTAGAGCAGATGCTATGTTTCAGTGATAACCTAATACCTGACTGTGCTCAGACATCTACGTTGGGAAAGGGAGTTGTAATAAGAGTTGGGAGTTTGAGGTTATCAGTGACCCAGAAACAAGGTGATGTGAAAAAAGAAGAGTTGTGCTAGACTGAAGAAAAAAAATTAGATGATCTATAAAATGACTGTGAGTGGAGAAGCCCTTTGTCCTAGTCCAGCTACTAACAGCATAAGCAATCAGCACAGGTGTTGTTGTCGTTGTTGTTGCTGCTGCTGCTGTTGTTGTTGTTGAGTGACGCATGTGAGAAGCGTGGGGCAACCTCTCAGGCTCTCCAAGTTCTGTAGGTCGGTTGGTCATCTCAGCTCCTCAGGGCTGCTGGTCTGAGGGCCTGAAGTTCACCCATGTGACCTCCTGGGTGCAGGATCCTCACGGTAGGCTTGACGTTGATTTCAATAAGGAAAGCAGAAGCCTCTGCGTTTGCATCCTGAACTTTGCAGCCTAGGAAAGGAAATAGTGCGCAGGCTGGAGGAGCTGGGGGTGGGGGCAGCGGAGATAGCAGGAGGGGTACTTGTGTAATCAGATTCTTTGATTTTGTTAGCCTGGCTCATGGCCTATTAATTAGATTACTCTCTCTTTCATTCTTGATTTCACATCCGTGTTTGTTCCTGTATCCTAAAATGCGGGCGCGAGCTTGGCGAGCAGGAGCCTATGATGTCACTGCCGGCCAGAGGCGGCCGCCTGGCCTTCTGGCGGGCTGTGCGCTGCGTTCTTGATGAGTCCGGTCTTCCTCAAGGAAGAGTTGGCTCTGGAAGTGACCTCAGAGGGGTCTGGGAAGAGGGCAACAGTCATTCTCTTGGCGGCACGATGTGTGCGCTAGTGTGTGCGCGCGCGTGCCGTGTGCATGTGGGTGCGCGTGAGGGGAGGGGGAAGCGGAAATTCGCAGTCTGGACCCCGAAGCCCTAGGGGTACAGGCGACGGGGTCAGGTGTAAGGCCTGCCTCCGGTGAAAACCCCGGATCAGAAGAGGCGGAGGGGGAGGGGGACCCGAGGCAGCCGGGCGTCCAAAGCTCGCTTCTCTCCGGGAGGGAGGGCAGGGCTGGGCGCGGAGGTGGGGCGGTGGCGGTCGCGGTGGGGCGGCCGGGTCCCTGCTCGGCCCGGCACGGCCGGGCGGCCAGACTGTGGCAGCTGCTGTGGGTCCCACAAGTTGTTTTCCTCGTGGCGACCATTCAGCAAAACGCACGAACCTTTCTCAAAGATTTAAATTTCGCGGATGAATTACCATACACCCGTTGCTTAGCAACTAAATTCAAGCAGGGCTAAGAATATGCAAGCTTTTTGTATTCTCATTAATAAAAATGCCACTCTGACACAGCAACCCGACTTTGGATCACTGCAACTTCTGTAAAAGCCGTAGGAGAATACAAACCGATCCTGCCTTTCAATTACAGATCAAAATGGCTTGAAACGCGATGTTTTGTTCATCTATCTTCCTAAAAAGCGATGGAAAAAATAACGGCTTTCAAGAGCAATAGTAAATTCTTTTTTTTTTTAATGGAGTTGTCTATCGGGGTTACTGATAATTGTCAACTGAACCCTTTTGAAACACAGGTTTAAATAAACCTTTTCATAAACATGTCCACTCTCTCCCTCAGTCCCTCCTACCCTCTGATCCTGTTCTTCCCCAGCCTCATAATAACAATTATTATTATTATTATTATTATTATTATTATTATTATTATTATTATTCTGGAAACGCTCAGGCCTGTGGAGCCCTAGAGACTAAAGGGCAGTCAGCAGAGTAATGAGCAAACCTGGGGGCTGGAGAAAGTCCAAGGAATTGAGGAGCGAAGGAAAGGGAAACTTCTGAAAGTTTCCCTGGAAGGTTGAGGGAGTTGCTGGAGGCTGGAGTCGGCTCAGGTTCCAGAGGTTCTGGCGATAACTTTCTGCAGGGCTTGTGGAAGGAAAGGTAGAAATGCCTGTGGGTCTCTGCGCGACGTTTGCGGATTTTCCGTTCTGGGGGTGCAGCCTCCTCCCAGGAGAATTGAGTTGCCGCCCACGCTGCTGACGGTGGAGTTCAGAGGGGCTGAGTTCAAGGCCTGGCTGACCCGGGCTTTCTCTGAAATCCACCTCTCTGCTGCCCAGGGCCCTGGAGCCCTGGAGCGGAGGACAAAGTAAAGACGGATCTGGACCCGTGACCCCTTGGGTCTTCCCGGACTGTGGCCCAGCCCACAGACCAGGGCCCGAAATTGAGGTGGGGGGCGTACTCTGTTTGTCTTCCCGAAGGATGCGGCGCGTGGAAGGAGATGCGCTGACTTGTTCCAACCCATAACCTTTCGCTCGGGTCCCCATGTGCGGGCAGAAGAAGTCAGAGCGGAACAGCCTAGTGCACTGGCAGGGCTCATTGTCTGGGAAGACACCGAGGTCTAGGCAGCTGGGACTGCGGAGTGGAGGCAAGGCCGGAGGCGGCCGGCGGCTTTGTGGAAGTTTCGCGCCGCCAGGCCCTGCGCGCCGCACGGGGCGGTGGAGTTCTTGGGCAGCCCCCGGCGCTTGGCCCACGCCTCCGCTTCCCGCGTGTGGGAAACTCGAGCACCCTACAGGCACCAGGGTAAACTGCCTGTGCCTGGCCCGGTGAGGGTCGCTCCCCCAGGCCCCGTCTCCGCCCGAGGACTGCAGGCCTAGGCCTGCGGGGAGATCCTGAGACCGCGGTGTGCGGGCGCCGGCAGCAGGGCAAGGCAGGGACTGTGCCCAGTCCGCCCGCCAAGGAGATCGCACGCCGGCTTCGCTTCTGAAGCTGCAGACGGAGGCCGTGGTGAGCCTTAGAAAGATCCCGGGACAAAGGCGAAACCCCAGATTAATCCCCATAAGATTCCTAGGAGCCATTCCCCCTTCCCCCCGCACTTTGGCAAACATGAGAACTTTAGAGGTGCCGCGTCCCCAAGTCAGCCTGGACGCTTAAACCCCACAACTGACTCCATGTAACCCGATTTCTTTCTAGTGAGTACCAAGAAACAGTGGAACTGAAACCATAAGTGGAAATATTTGCTGTATTATAACATGCTCAGAGGCATTAGAGTTGGTTTTTTTTCCAGTAAAACATACATAATAAACAGGGAGCCATTTATTTACAAATACAAATGTCCTAGACAAGCCACATTCCATGTATGTAATTCATTAATGGAATTTGTTCATTTTTCTTCCTTTGGAAACAGAATTTTTGCTTTAAAAAATGGCTTGGTCTTGGGGAGGAGGTGGGTGGGAGAGTAGTTTACCTGATCTTTGAAAAGGGAGAAGTGTCCAGCCAATTCCTGTTTCGAAAGAATGCTAAACAATATAAAATAACCTTTTAAAATAGATGGAGAGGCTTTTGTTTTCTTTTTTACTCTTCAGAAAAGAAGTTTGTTAGTTGTAGTTGCTGTCACAGAATTGCCCAGTGGAAATGGACTGTTAATATCACCCTAGTTGACACGTGCGTGTGTGTCTGTGTGCGCGCACATGCGTGTGAACAAAATTGCATTTTAAATGTCTTAAGCTGGATGGGAATCTACCAAAATTGTATCTGTAAAATATACTCAATTGCCACAGTTTTAGAAATGTCTGTGGAAATGTCCCCACCGGCCTGCCTCCTTCCTGAGAGTTTATATCTAGGTAGAGTGTTAGGTGATGACTTCCTAGTCACCGGTATGCCAGGATTAGTTACCTGGCGAAACTGAGTCTGGTCTTTAATTCAAGAAGTTTTCTCTAAGTGAATCTCCTTTCCCTATAAGTTGATAGAGGGGTGTTGTTTGAGGGAGAGTTGTCCAGAGGAAGGTGGAATCAAGTGTGAATCATCTGTGTGACCCAGTGAGCAGTGAATAAATATGAAAAGTGCAGAATACACCTGAGGTATGTCTGGAGCTTTGTAAGGTCCTAACACTAGACATGATTACATAGGACAAAAAGAATGATCACTGCTGCCCATGTTTCTTTATTGTAGCTACAAAATAATGGAATGGACATTGAGATGGAAGCAAAAACTTTTTAAATTTTTTTTCTTTTAAAGAAAAGGGACAAGAGGTGTTCTGATGAGCTTCCTGGGAGACCACACATTAGCTCTGTCCTGCAGGACTGCCTCTCCGCATAAGGCAAGCCCATTAAGTCGGCTGGAACATTGCACACTGAAATAGAATAGATGTTCATTTCAAAGAATTTTCCTTGAGCCAGCAATAAAATAAAAGGTGACAAAACCCACCACGCTCATTGTACCCAGGTTTAGACAGGGAAACTTCCAGGTGTGAGGGGGGCTAGCCAGATTTGTTCCTTTCTGCCCCTATCAAGGTCTCAGAAGGAGGGTGAGTCTGTGTTTCACTTACATTTCCAAGGTTGAAAACTCTCCTGCAGAGTTAAAAATAAATTAAATAGGTCTAATCAGAAAGCACAGTATCACCCAGAAACTAACCAAATGAAATGTCTTAGTAGCTTGGTCTTGAGAATCTTTAGGTGACAATGGTGAAAAAGCCATCACAGAACAAAACAACATCTACAAACTATTTTAAATTACCATTTCATGGGGAGAAATCTTTCAAATTTCAAAATCGCTCAGGCAAGTCTACTGATTCTACTTTGTACGCCTTAAAGACTTATGCCAAGCACAGCTTTAAAAACGTTTCACTCCTGAAAGAAGGTCTTTAACTCTTCCAATAACTATTTAATAGTTGTCCTGAATGTTTTTAACAAGAGACGGGTATTAAGTGAGTGGCCTTGAGTCCCAAGCAGTCTGGGGGAATAGAAGTGGTGGACACTCAAAGGCACGGAGCAGCCTGCACCTGAAACGGGCTTTCTGCTTTTCGGTGAGGAGGGGCGGCCGAGGTCAGCAGTATTTACATATGTACCTGATCCCACGGGCTTTCCTCTATTTATCAAAGAGGAGGGCCTGCAGGTGAAGGGGTGGAAGTGAGGGGAGAGAAAGACCAAAAGAGAGATCAGTTACCTTTCCCCTTTGTTCCTGGGCCTTGAACTGGGGCTTCAAGGAGGGGAATAAAAGCCCCCAGGGAATGAAGCTTCCACCTCCATTTGCATCATCCTGACACCCCCGCCAGAAAACCAAGTGCTGGCTGAGTTGGGGCAAAATGGTAACTTGAGGAATCCCAGTGTGAGTGTGTTACATAACATACAGAATCCTCTGTGGGGAGAAGTGCACTCACTTGATTTTCTCCAAATGACTGTGTGCAGGCGGAAAGCCCTAGAAAGGAGGATTGAAGACCAGTTAAATAGGAAGACTGTGGGGAAATGGGGAAACGTGTAGCCATATATGACAGGGCACATGTAAGCTTGTGTGCAGGTAAAGTCATACCTGCACCATCTGTGTGCCAGAGCATCCTTCAGAGATCCTGCCTAGAGCTGCACGTTGGCTAAGCAGGAGTCCATACTTTACAATGGTGGTATGGTGGGGGCAGTGGTACCCAAGACTACTGGGACCTGGCTGCCCTGTGGGGTAGTAGGAGCCAGGTTAGTTCACAACTGTGTCATCCTCAACCAGCTCTTTTTTGTCAGAACCCTCAAATCCTTAGCCTGGGTGGGCAGATTACCCCCTCCTCTGTGCGCCCTGCTGTGCCCACCGCAGTCGCCCTGCGGTGGCAGGAGAGCTACTCATTCAGCAGTAGCAGCATTGCGCCGCTGCAGCATCCCGAGGTCACATTCAGAAAGCCCGTTCTTCCAGGACAGCATCGCCCCAATACTGCAGGCGGGGCGAACCGTGTTTATCTGCCCCAGGCACGGAGGGGAGATTGTAACCAAAGGAAAAGAATCTCGCAGAAGGGGATCTGGAAGAGGGCAGTTGATCCTGGGCAGATCCCCTGCGCCGGGCCCTCTCCGCTGGGGGCGAGCCCGGAGGGAACCGAGGGGCCCGGGAGGGGGAGCTGCTGAAGGCGCGCAGGCTGACAAAGCTATAACAAAGGCTCCCTACAAAACTAGTACTAAGGATCTTTAAAGGATCACACACCTTGCAGGCGTGTCCCCAGCTCCCGGGACGCAGAGCCCGCTGACTGTTCCCCCGGGCTCCGCAGACGTGCCCGGGTTGTCAGAGGTGTGGGGCTGGAAGTCCAGCGTCTCGGCCTCTGCCCCTGCGCTCCCACAGGCCTGAGCGGGTAGGGGTAGGTGCCCGCGCCTGGGCCCGCGGGGCTTTGGTCATGGCTGTTCCCCGGGAGGCTCAGTTAGGCAGCAGCCTTGCTGGGCAACAGGCCCCGCCCTTGGTTAATCCGGGAAGGTCGCGGGCTGCAATCTGGCCTGACGAGGCAGGCCCTGAAGTCTCCCCGCTGGGCGATCAGAAGAGCGTTCGAGAAGCCGGGAGCTGGTGGGGTTGGCAGGGCGTCTGAGTCACCCGAGCTGCAGAACGGACGCCCCCACGACGCGCTGTGGGCACTCACAGCGGCTAGTTGGGCATTTCCCAGCAGCCAAGGCTGCGCACTCCGCCCCCGCTGAGGTCCCCTTTGGTTCCCGAGGACCCAGCTCCTCCCGCCCCTCTACTCGGCGCCCCCTGCCACCATAGAACTCTGGGGTAACCCTGGGCCCCGACCTCCAGCTGGTGGGTAGGAATTGTTGGGAAAGGATTGGCGCCCCAGCACCGGGAGACTGGAAGAGTTGAAATCAACGCAGGAGAACAATTAGGAAAAAGTAAGAAAAAAATCACCCGGATGACCTCCAACTTCACCCCCACACCCCCATGGGGTTCTGAAGGCTCCGGCGCAGCTCCTACAGGCGTCTAGGAGTTGGTGGGAGAGGCGCTGCTCTGGCACCTCGCGGTCTCAGGAGTGGGGCTCAGCGCAGAGCGGGCGGCAGTGAGGAGCTCAGGGCCCGAGTTCAGGGCTAGGAGCAGGTGCAAGAACAGTGCAGCAGTGCAAGCATCAGGCAGCAGTGTTTCTCCTCCGCCGACAAAGTGGGTGGTGAGAACACAACTCTGGGAAAGGGGTAGGCGTGGATGTAAAATATAGTCAGTGACTGTTCCCCTACTTCTTGGTGTCCCCTTTCTTGAACTCAACTCAGGAGAAGCTCAGAAGCATCGCTGCAGACCTCCAACTTCCAGCTGTGGTCACCCACCGGCCAAGCCTCCCAGAGCCCAGGTCTGCCAAAGTTGGTCCAAGCCCTCAGGCCAGACCTCCAGACACCTTCTCTATCCACCCCGCACCCCTGCTGGACTGGGGTGGGCTAGGGCTTCCACTTCCCAAATGGCTGCTGCCTTGGGGCCTGCTCTGAAATTCCAGCTGGCGGGTCTGGTTTGGGCAGAGGAGGGGGAGGCAATGAGTGACACAAGCCCCCACCCCTGGTTACAAACAGTGCAAATGAGATGCATTTAGGCTGATCACGCTACTGTATTTTATGCAACTGAATGTGTCTATGTCTTGTCAACTCTTCTAGTCAGGAAGAATAGCAGAAAAAAATCTTCAAAGATTTTCTATGTGTGTGTGGTTTCCAACTATAATTCCATATAGGACAGTGGGGTGAGGGTGGGGCAGGGAGACTTGCTGACGTGAACAACATTACATAAACCCTCCAAAAATGCAATCTTAAGCCACAAAGAAAGAACTGAAAACAGGTGGGGATGGTGGTGGTATTACCTTAGACACCTAGGGGTTCAAAAACCTCAGTGGAATGAAATGGGCCTGGGGTATTCTCCCTTTGGTGCCTCCCTAGGGACAAGCCCTTTTGGCCTGGGTTATGGCTGCTAGCGAGAGACCTTGATGAAATTAGGTGGATTCCGGCTGGGAAAAGTTTAAAGCTGTAATATTTCTTTTAAAGAAACAAACTCATTTATATTTATTTTGGTACAGGGGACAGGTTCTGAACAATGTGTAGGCCCACCTAGGGGAATGTCAAGGGTGCCCTAGGAGGGGATAGGTTTTGTGACACAAAGGAGGCCCTGAAGGGGCGATGGAGTGTCTGTTCTTCTCTTTATGTCCATTTTCAAACAAGTTGTGAGTAGAGGAAGTCTGCCTCCAAATCTCACCAGACTCTCCCACCAGGTGTCCTGGGAACTGAGTGATGTGGGTCTCCTGTAAGGTAAGTGGAGGGGGTGCCAGGTTCTAGGAGACAAATAGCTTCTGGTATTGTGCCCCAGTCCTACTTGTGCAGTTCCTCATGCACTTTGGGAGAGCTCTGGAACTCCCTGTAGGACAGCTGGACAGGATCACAGAGTCAATAAACCCAGAGCCAGCACCACCACCAGCCCTTCAGGCTTCTTTGCCTCTGACACCAGAAAGGGGAACAACTGATTGTCTTTTCCCTGTTCAGGGACTCTGCCTCTCCACCGCCCCTCGCTCCCCCCCACCTCCCAGCCAGGCTTGGTGGTGGGCAGATCCCAAGCTGAACTTGTTTGCTGGGAGTCCTTGCTGGGAGTTATAAGATGAGCCTTGTGGCAGCCTCTTGCCCCCTCCTTCAAGGGGTGTCCAGGGTCAGCAGGGAATTTGCTTGAGGGGAGCCTCTGGGTCCTCTGAGTTCTCAGGGTGCCTCTTGGTGCCCTGGAACAGAAAAGAAATTGTTGTGGACACCTCAGGCTCTCCTCTTTAGAACTGCCTCTTGGGTCGACTGTCCACTTACAGAAAGTGACTAGCTTCACCTTCAGGACTCAGGGCCATCATACATAAGCTGCCCACAGTCTAGGCCAGGCCAAAGAGGCTTGTCCCTAGGGAGGCACCAAAGGGAGAATACCCCAGGCCCATTTCATTCCACTGAGGTTTTTGATCCCCTAGGTGTCTAAGGTAATACCACGCCATCCTGTTACATGTGCAGGATTCCTTCCCTGCTGTATTTCTTGGCACTGCCTGAGGTGTGAGCTGCCCCACTGCAGGGCAATTAACTCTGACAAATAGAAATGGGGAGGGGGGCTCATGGCTTCACATCAAGAGAAGAGGCCACCCAGTGCTCAAAAAGTATCAAAACTTTTCGCTGCTTAGCAGAGGAGTGTGCTTGTCACTAGCAGCTCAGGTTTCTGCCATGCAGCCTGGGCATTTCCATACCAGCCCGGTAAACACATCAGAACCAGATGCTGCTGCTGCTGCTGTAGGCTTCTACCTAGGAGGAAGGTGAAGGGGAAATATCCCAAGCCAGGGACTTGAAGTTCATTGTTCCAAACACTCCTTGTGTCCTGAAGAGCTAAACTATGGGACAATGAGCAGAGATGACCTACATCAAGATGAACTGCTGGCTCCTCCAAGTGCCCAGCTGCCTAGCCTGCCTGCTTCATGGTGACTAAAGAATCCCTACTAACTGCCCCCTCCTTTCTTCTCATGGACTGCAGCAGAAATTTATTCCCTTCCTCCCTCCAGGCCTCTTCCTCCTATCCCAGAATGAACAGGGACTTCCATTTGGGATAAGAAGGGGTGTCAATCAAGAGGCAAGGAGGGTTGGCAAATCATCTTCAGTAATAAATAAACCCAGCTACACAGTAGCCTTTACACCAATATACCGTTCTCAGTAACCTTTTCTTTTCAGTCACTTAGCTTATGACAAGCTAAAGGCATTTCAACCCATGAGCAAAAAGAAAATTCAAAACATAGGCCCAATTCCTTCTTTCTCTTTGCTGCCTGGGTTCCCCATTCTTCATTTCCTCACCTTCCAAACATCCCAATAGCCATTACCCCATCTGAAGAATTAAAACACTTGTTCCTTAAAATCGTCTAGGGTCTGCCGGATTATCAGAGTAATTGAAGACAGAAAGCACCCCTGCTCCATCCCAATTCTGCATCCAAACCAAGTACCATATATTGTGTAACCACCATCATCAGTTACACTTTGCGTAACTTGGCAGAGCCAGAAAGGAAGACTCCATTATTTACCAGCAGTAGCAATAAACTTTCTGAGAAAAATAAGTTCAACATTGACCATGAATACCTACTGGAGAACTCTTTGAAAACATTACCTGTTTTTTTTTAACCTCCTATTTTGGGGAAGGAGTGCGGTAAAAATATTAGGTAGCAGAATTTTAAAACAGCTTGATTACCTCATTTGGGTTTGGAGTCCTCAACTCCAGTCATTAGTAATAAAGTCATTAATAGTCATAATTGGTATTTAATTGCTTGATCTGATTGGTGCTTTATTCCTGATTCCATTTAGTTTCATGGAGAGGTACAGGTGGTGCAGTCAGTAAACGGAAGCCAGCCATTTGCAGGCAACTTTTCAAGCATAAGGGAAAGTACTTTTGTTATATTTGCAGACATGTGTCTCACACATTTCCCCCCTGCTTTTGGTAAACTATCTAAGAATAAACATTACAGATCTGGGCTTTAATTTCTCCAGATGGGATCATAAAGTACCTAGGAGGTGTGTGTGTATATATATGTGATATAGAATTGAGGTCACATGGCTGCTGTTCACACTGCAAGTCAAAAAGAAACTCAATGCTCAATGCGAACGCAGAAAGAACTCAACAACTGAACCGCCAGTGGAATCCAGTATCTGGGCAAGTTCACTTTATTCCTTCGCAGGAAGAGGGTCAGCGACGGCCAGCGAAAGTTTCCCCCGCTCTTTGAAGAGGGAGGTGACAAGACCTGCCAGACCTTCCCACGCGCGGGCCGCCTGGGTTCTGGGGCTTTCGTGACGTCTTCCCTCATCGCGCTCCCCACCCCCGAACACACACACACAGACACACACACACACACACTCTTCCTTGCTCGGGAAACTTGGCTTCAACCTGGCTCCCCCTTTCAAAACCCCCTGGAGAACTTCCCCTGCAGGGATGCCCTGCGCCCGCCGGCTGCGCCCTCCCTCTCCTCAGCCCTGCTCCTCCTGTCCGCTCCCCGGCGTTCTGGACTCACCCGGCACGGTCCTTCCATTCCACATACAGACAGGAAACCGGCCTCTTCGGGACAACATTTGAAACCACATTTTATCAACATCATCAAAGACCAGAGCACACACTTCGGGCTCTGAGCTCTGGAGCCCGCTTCTTGCAGAAAACCGGGTATGGGGGAAGGGCTGCAGGGGCGAGAAATCCTGCTTCCAACTGCGATTTCAGCTTTCTTATGGAAATGAACGCGACGGCCCGTTCGCCCCGAGCCTCCCTCCCGTTCCCAGCCCCTCTTCAGCTTACCCTTTCCTCCCGCTAACCCCCGCCCTCCCGGTCCCCGAGTTCCCGCGGCGGCCAGGCTGGTGGGGACGCACTCGCTCTGCGCCCGGGTCTCGGCGCGCGCGGAAACCCAGGCCGCGGGCTCCCCTCCGCCCCGCCGGCCCGCGTGCAGCATTAAATATTCATAGGGATGCTACTTTCTTAAAGGAGAACCTACCGCGCGGGAAAGTTCACAGCCAAGGAGAGGCACAAAAGAAGGTCTCCGCGCTGGTTCTCAAGGGCGAGGAGACGCATCCCTTCTTGACAGTGCGCCTCCAGACTGGCATTAAGGAGAGGACTAGGGAATGGGATCACCTATCGTCAAGTCACTTATTTTAGAGGGGTTTGGAGAAGAGGTGAACTTGGTGGTGGAGAGAAAGCGCGCTCCCTAATCACCTGTTAAACAGTTATTTTAAAATTAGCTGTCGCATCTGACGCCCTAGGGTCCCCAAGGGCCTTTTCATAAGGGAGTCTGTTTAACTTCACTGGCTTTGGGAGCGAGAAAGTTTGCCCTTTGTTTCTGGAAACACGCCCACGCAGTACGCTTAGGTAACCTTACACTGAACAATTTCCTTGGAGCGGCTAAAACCGCAACAACCAAACTTGCACCTGCGCCATTCTCTTAAAAACAGGGCAGCGGCTGTGAGCGCTGGGCCGGTAAGTAAGGGCAGAGAAAGGGGCTGTCGTGTGCGTCCCAGCTCTCCGACCCGCACGTCCGGGACCCCTTTCCGCCCGCGCACCGCGGTCACTTGCAGCCGGCGCTGGCTGCTTGAGCCCGCGGCCGGGTCGCCCGGCTTCTCTCCGGGAGAGTGGCCAGGGCCTAGGCGCTCGCTCAAGAGGGAGAGCGAAGGGAAAAGAAGAAAGTTCTCCGCCGGCCGCGCGCAGCTCCTCCCGTGAGCGCGCCCCAGCCCTGGGCCGGCCCGACCCGACCCGCGACGGGGCCACGCGTAGTGCCAGGCAACTCCTGTGCCCTGTGGCCAGCCCCGCGCGCGCACTCGCACTCACACACACTCATACTCACACCCCACGGTTCTTTTTGTTCCGGGCCAGGAGCACTTTCACAAGTGGTTAGAAAGTCTTGGGCGCCATCTAACGGGAGCAGCAAAAAGTTGACGCTGGGTGGAGGTTAGGCCCGACAGGAGCCCAGGATGGGCGGAGGAGATCCTCTCTCCCACTCTCTGCACTCCTGGGTCTTGACCCCCTGCTTCCCAATTACCACCACCAAAAACATACACACACACTCGAGAACTGAGGGGCCTCCGGAAACCTCCTTGCCCAGGGCCTGAGGGCAGCCCTGACTGCCCGCTCGGGGACCCTCCCCTGAGCCCCAGCCTTGCATGCCTTCGGGCGTTCCCTAAGGCGCACAGAAGAGGAAGGATCGTTTTGCGCCTGTCTTAATACGGACCCGGTGTCATGCAAGCTCTCGCTGGTTTTCCTTTGGCCTGTGATGGAAAGTCCGAAGAGGCCCGAGGCAGGCGCACCTGCTTCTGGAAAGGAACAGCCACGCAATTAAGGAGTCTGCAGCCAGAGGGGCTTTTAGAGGAGAGAGAGGGAGTTCAAAGAGGATAATGGCAAGGAAGCAATTGAGGACTTGGTCCAGCAGTGGCCCCAGGAGAGCTGAAACCTGCGGGTCTCCTGGGAGGAAGGGGTAGTGTCCTGAAGAACTGTCCTGGGGATTGGGAGCTGCTGTTTGGAGGACCATGACCAGTGGTGAAGCCCAGGAGAGACCTCTGGAGAGGACAAAGGAAGTTGGACACAGGACAAAGGCACCGGAGGGACTCACCCATCCAGAGGGACTGGAGCTTGAGGAGGCGCAGGCCTCCCCGCCAGGGTTCCCAGCCACCGTGAGAGCCAGTGGTCATGGGAGGTAATCGGGAACATGCACTCCTGTTGGATTAGGAGAACTGGGTGGAGTCTGAGAAGCTAGCAGAATGGGAGTGCCCCTGGCCAGATGTGAAAGCAGGAGAAGGAGGAGAGGTGCCAGTAAGGCCCAAACCTCTTCTCCTCTGACCCCACAGCTGCCATTGGCCCTGGAGTTGAACAGTGTGGGGGACCTATCTTTATGCCTTCAAGCAAAGGGTGAGGCATCCGGAAGTAGCTGGGCAGGTGGCTGATTGCAGGGGAAGATGATAGATCTCACCAGTCCAGGCTCAAAACTGTTAGAGGACTGAGGCCTTCTATCTGTCTTCCTGTGTTTATACGCAGATTAGAATACCTATTCTTTCTCCGTCACAAATGTTATGGAGGTAGAACACGATGTCAGATGTTCAAAACACTTTTTTATAGTAGTAAAATATGTATGACATATAATTTACCATTTTTACCCTTTTATGTGCATAGTTCAGGGCATTAAGTACATTTACATTGTTGTGCAACCATCACCATCATCCATCTCCAGAAGTTTTTTTATCTTACAGATCTGAAACTCGCTACTCATTAAGTAATAATTATAATTCCCATTTTCCCCTGCCCCCAGCCCTTGGCAACCACCATTCTACTTTCTGTCTCTAGGAATCTGACTACTCTAGGGACCCCATATTAGTGGAATCACACAATACTCATCTTTTTGTGACTGGCTTCTTTCACTTAACATCTTCCAGGTTCATCCATGTTGTAGCATGTAGCAGAATTTCCTTCCCTTTTAGGGCTGAATAAGACCCCATTGTGTGTATTTACTACATTTGGTTTACCCATTCATCTGTCCCCGGACACTTGAGTTACTTCCACCTTTTGGCCATTGTGAATGATGCTGCTGTGAATATGGGAGTGCAAATATCTCTTGAAGTTCTTGCTTTCCATTCTTTTCAGCGTGTACCCAGAAGTAGAATTGCTGAATCATAAGGTAATTTTCTTTTTTGTTTTTTGAGGAACTTCCATAGTTTCCCCCAGAAGCAGCACCATTTTTCATTACCATCAGCTATGCACAGGAGTTTTAATTTCTCCACATTCTCACCAACACACCAACACTTGTTATTTTTTGTTTCTTTAGTAACAGCCATCCCAGTTGGTGTGAAGTGATATCTCATTGTGGTTTTGAAACATTTTTTTTTTAAAGAGCAAATGTACAAATACAATGAAATAAGACTTGGCAAATTAGCTACAAGTTTTAGCAGAATGGAAATATCCCAATACTTATTTTAAATCTCTTTTAACTTTTGTTTTGTTGTGTTGTGTTTTTGTTTTGTTTTGTTTTGTTTTTGAGATGGAGTCTCGCTCTGTCGCCCAGGCTGGAGTGCAGTGGTGCAGTCTCGGCTCATTGCAACCTCTGTCTCCTGGGTTCAAGCAATTCTCCTGCCTCAGCCTTCCAAGTAGCAGGGACTACAGGTGTGCACCACCATGCCCAGCTAATTTTTTGTATTTTTAGTAGAGACAGGGTTTCACCATGTTGGCCAGGCTGGTCAGGAACTCCTGACCTCAGGTGATCCGCCCACCTCAGCCTCCCAAAGTGCTGGGATTACAGGCATGAGCCACCATGCCCAGCCTCTTTTAACTTTTGAATCTAGCTTTAGAAACAGGAGGAAGAGAAATGACAAAAATGGAGAGGTACACAGAACGAACACTATTGGATGATTATGTTTAAGCCCCTGGTTCTAATCAGAAGCTGGAAGTTCAAAGGGCTATATTATTAGTGAGTGCTCTTCCTTTCTTTATTTCTAGAAAGTAACCAGAGAGTCACCCTCTCTTAAGTGTAGAAGACAGAAAAAAAATGTTCCTTGTCTTCTTCCTGGATTCCTTGCTGTATTCAAATTGAAATGGAAAGAAATACTAGTGCCTTAGACATTGGCCATGTGGGTGATTGGTGGAAATCTTTGAAGTCCTTTTTCCTAGAAAAGGGCTGAGTAATAGCCACTGTGCAAGCAGGAAGGCTGTCATTCCATGCCTGGAATTCCCTGGTTTTGGAGCTCTCTCAGGGACAAAGTGCCCCTCTATCTCCTCACATGGCTGTATTTGCCATTACCCCACGCCAGGCTTACTTAGGATTTATGTGTAGTGTATCTACAAAATGTTCTATGATCCTTTTTTCCCCTTTTTTATATTAGTCATTCCTTTTTATAGCCTGGGGAGACAGGTTTGTGTTTTTATTTCCCACATTTTAAGTGAAAGTATCCAGAGTGGGCACAAAATAATAAATGTAAACGACTGTGGAGACGGGGTCGTGGCTGCGGCTCCCAGCTTGAGCTTTGACTTGGCGCATCGAACCACACTGTTTCTTTCATCTGACAGGATGGTTGGCACAGGCCAGAGATGAGAGAAACCAGAGCAGCAAGCCTTGGCAGAGACCTCGACCTCCCTTCTGCCACCAGGCCAGCTTTGCCACTTGCTGAACCGCTAGAGCTCTGTGCTGCTTTCGCTCTTCAGGGTTCAGGGGGCTTGAAGGAAGGGGATTGGGAACACCCAGCACCTCAGTCTGGCCCTCCCCTGTAATTGCTCCATCTGCCCCCAAGGGAGAAGGGTGAACTGCACATCAGGAGTACCATAACTTAAGACAAAAGGAAAAATCATGACTGTGGTATACACACACACACACACACAGAGTCATTGCCTCTTCCCTTGTTAAAGCTACTTCCACAAGAAAGAGAACCACACAAAAGGGTTATGTTTGGGGGCGCTGGGACCCGGAGACCCTCTCAGCTTTCTGAAAGGGCTTTGTAGTGCTTGGATCCAAGCCATTTGTTTCTAGAGAGAATCACGGTGGGTAGGAGCTTGCTTTTTCCATTTGCAATGGCTTATTAAGTATAAGCATCTCTCTTTCTCTCTTCTCTCTGTTTACTGAGCGATTAGCTCTCCCTCCAACTGACCCTGCCAGGGGAGATAGCCAAAGTGTATCCTTAACACACAGCTACCCTGCAAAATGCCCTTTCCATCAACCCAGAGACCACAGGCAGGACTCTGCAGTTCATTTTGGTGTCCTGTTTTTATATCAGTGGAGGATCTCCACTGATGGTGGAGTGTGCGCTAATGCCACCCATATTTACACAGCTCCATTCTAGTCACAGTGCAGAGAGAGTGGGACCTGGCTGAGACAGAGCCAAGAGAGTGATGTGTGCAGTGTGTGTGGCCTGGCTGGGAGGCCACAGTCTCTGGGCTCAATTGCCATCACTGATTCTTTTATTTTCTTTTTTTCTTTTTTTTTTTTTTTTTGAGACGGAGTCTCACTCTGTCGCCAGGCTGGAGTGCAGTGGCACAATCTTGTCTCACTGCAACCTCCGACTCCCGATTCCAGGGATTCTCCTGCCTCAGCCTCCTGAGTAGCTGGGATTACAGGCACACACCACCACGCCCAGCTAATTTTTGTATTTTTAGTAGAGACGGGGTTTCACCATGTTGGCCAGGATGATCTCAATCTCCTGACCTCATGATCCGTCCTCCTCGGCCTCCCAAAGTGTTGGGATTACAGGCGTGAGCCACCACGCCCAGCCACTGATTCTTTTCTAAGCTGTACAATGACCCTTCTTCCCACAGAATACTGTCCTTCCTGTCCTCATGGGAAGAAGGACAGGTTCCTTCACCCTCCTGGATGCTGGCAGTTAAGTAATCTGGGAACTTGTAAGCAGGACAGACTAACCAGAAACTGGCTGATTAGTAGCTGGTTGCCTGGCTGAATTGGCTGGTTTCTAGTAGGTCAGCTTGGTGGAAGGACAGATCAGCTGTGCTAGCAGACCGAGCCTTAATCAGCCAGATTCTAAAGGTCAGAGTGGAAACAAAAATCATGCAATTTACCCAAATTTTAGAGACTGAATTCAATTGTAGGATTTGGTCTGGAAATAAGAATGAATTATTTTCAATGGAGTGGATCCTTTTTTCCTCCCTGCCAGTTTCTCTACTATGCTATAGAGAAAGCCTAAGATATATCATTGATATTGTTATAGAAATATTGTCTACCTGCACGTACTACAGTATAGGCTGTAATGAAATAATTAAATCGAACTACTTTCAACCTTCTGCATATTCTCAATGGAAGCTTGGTGCTTTTATTCCACATTATGCTTTTGTGAAAAGGCTGCACTCTTACTATTCTAGTTAGAATTACTGTGTGACTGTTATATTTATTGTATGAATTTAGTGTTATTTAACACTTGGTAGACTACAAGGCTGGGGCAAATCCTGCATACAGAAGTTGGCATCTTGCCTGAGGGTTGGGATTATTTAATCTGCCAGTCACCCCATCCTTACCACCTCCTGGTGAAGAATAAACTTCTCCGGTGGAATTACTGAGGGGGGTGTTTCTGGGTGGGTGGCAAAGGTAGATTGGAGCTCTGTGCTCTGTTTGGTCCTGAGAGTCACTGCACTATGTCCAGATTTGTGTGTGTTTCACACAATACACAGCACAGCACACAACCCAGCACACAAATGCAACACACACACAGCACACAACACACTCACAACATGCACAAGCACACAAATGCAACACACAAATACAACACATAGCACACTCACACAACACGGCACACACAACACACAACATACACAACACAAAACATATACAGCACACACAACATATACATACAAACCACATACAACACACAGCACACCCAGCACACACTATACACACACACCACACAGAGCACACAACACACTCAAAATCTTCAGTACACACGTAATCTTCAGTACACACACAATACACATGGCACACAACACATGCATACAACGTATGCAGTACACACACCACACACATACAGATGGAGAGAGAGAGAGAGAGAAGAAACCGAGAGAGGAGCCTATGTCTTAAGCCGCGATTGGGCTCTGACCACAGTTCCTTCTCGGGGTGTCCGGGAGACCAGCCCTGGCAGGGGTACGTGAGCTGGTGCTGGGTAAAACAGCTGCACAGTCTTCCGGTCATCTGAGGTAACGTGTGGCTGTCACAGGGGAGGGTACATGGAGAGGGAAGAAAGTTGGTTTTTTATTTTCTTTGTACTTATTTTCCTATTTCTCCTTATTTTTTTCCCAATTTCTTTGAAAAAAAAAATTACCTGTCTCAGCTAGGTTAAGAGAAACCACCAGAAGTAAGTTGCATCCACATTTGGGCTGGGGTGTGTAAAGGTGGCTGGTGATTGAGTCCTCTGGTGAGCAGAATGGGGTGGCCCTGAAGTGGGGTGCCCTGAGGGGCAGGGCACTGGCTGCATTGATCACCCCTCCTTCCTTGCTGTGTGACCTCCTTCTGCCCCTGTGGCCTCTCTCTTTGTTTCAGGAGCAGATCTCCTGTTCCCTAGCTGTGCTTGTGAAATTCATACCTACCAAGAGGTGCAGGGGGTGTATCCAGGTTGCAGAAACCAAGTCACAGAACAAGTGTGGGGTGTCTTCCTGCAGCATCTCTTCACCACGTGGTTCTTTGGGGAACGAGCTAAGTAACTTAACTGAGAACTTCAAACTATACATTTATATTAAAACAATCACAGATCTACTATACGATAGAATACAAAATCATCATACGATTTAAAAACAAAAGCTAAGATTTCGAATGCATTTTGTGACTATAGAGGGTGGCTTTGGGCCAATACCTGCTCGTTCTTATCCAAGCATAAGCAGTTTCTTCTGATATTTCAGTGGAAGTTTTTGGGAGTGCTACCTTAGAGCTTATTCTTTCTCCTTCATGTGGTTCAAATTTAAGTTTCAGGACATTATATTTTCAGATTCATCCTCTCCCCACCCGCCTCCGCCCCCCACCACATAGACAGATTTGGGACCACCTGTTCACTCCACAGCCAGGAGGATGGAAAGATTCCTCGTGCCAGATTCTCCTTCATTCACGTAGTCTGCAACAATGCCCTCTCCAACGTTAGAGGAGGAGAAAACCCTCCCTTGGCTCCATTTCCAAGTTCTGTGCTTGGACAGAGTGCAGTCTGTACAAAGATGAGCTCAGCTGGGGCCAGCTGGAGTGGAGACCGTGAGACCTGTTCTTCTAGGGGAGCAGCCTAGGAGTCCCCACCATGCTCACAAATCCTGCCTGATCCCAGACCTGCCCTGTGCCCAACCATGCTGCAGTGGAGATCCTTGGCCACATTTGTAAGTGTTGCTGGTGACTGCCTCCCTGCAAGTGTCCACATCAGTCCACTCTTATTTTCTCAAGTCCATTCTGATTTGTTTGCCTTTCCGGGCCAATGGATAGGTGCCAGAGCACAGAAAAGAGAAACACCTCTTCACTCCATTTTCCTCTTTTGTCCTAAAGGTCAGGGTGTGTTTTGTTGTCCCAGTCCTCTGGGAGTTCTGTGCTGTCCCTGTGTTCTCTCAGCAATGCCCGAGAGCACCATGTCACGTCTTCTGTGGGCCAAGAGCTTGGGACAGGTTTTCTTTATCCGGGGCAGGGATGGGTTAGGAATGGTGGGCTATTCCACTAGATAAACCCATTGAAGTCTGCCCTGTACCCCTAGGCAGAGGTTGTGGAATTAGACTCAACTTATCGCCTCAATGCTCTAAAGAGTCCATAAGACAAAGACAGTGTATCAAAAATAACTTATTACATTCATAAAGTGAACATATTATTTCTTATAGATTTTAGACCCTTAGAGGGATGAATAACATACAGTTTATTTCACATACAACCTACTTTTATTCATATATATTTTCTCTTTCTTTCTTTATTTCTTACTTTCTTTCTTTCTTTCTTTCTTTCTTTCCTTTCTTTCCTTTCTTTCTTGTTTGAGAGATAAGGTCTCTCTCTGTTGCCCAGGCTGGAGGGAGTGGTGCAATCATGGCTAACTGCAGCTTTGAACTCCTGTGCTCAAGCAGTCCTCTTACCTCCACCCCCTCAGTGACTGGGACCTCAGGTGTACACCACCACACTCACATAACTAAAAAAAGATTTTTTTTTTGTAGAGATGGGGGTATCACTGAGTTGCCTGGGCTGTTCTTGAACTCCTGACCTCAAGCAGTCCTCTTGCCTCAGCCTCCCAAAGTGTTGGGATTACAGGCATGAGCCCCCACACCCATCCTAATCTTTTTCATATGCAATGGTTACACAGACGTTCAATGCATCCTCTCTCTTTCTGTCCTCTCTCTTTCTCTTGCTGTCTCTCTGTCTCCGTCTCTCTCCCTCTCTCTCTACACACATACACACACATAGGTATTATTTCAAATTGGCTTTTCAGTGGATTTTCTTGATTTTCATTAGACATAGACATAGGTGTATCTATAAAAACTAATACATTTACTAAATTCAGGAAAATAATCTTGATTAAAGTTTTAAACAATGGTGATTTGTTGGGAGGGTTCCGATGGAGGGTTCCATGTGGCTCACAGGAACGCATGTGCTTTCCTGCAGCTTGAGCTGGTGCTGCATGAACACGTAGCAGAGTGAGAACTCTCCCTCGGCCTCAGACATGGGCAATCCACCTCTTCTACCGGGATATCTGTCAATAGATGATTATCATCGTTCCCACTCCACCGCATCTCTTGGTTGCTCTTCTTTTCTTCTGTCTTTGAGAATGGAGAAAGAAGGATGAGTAAAACCTGGACTTTAAAGAAAATAATGAAGCAAGTTGTTATTTTGCTTATTGCCCAGTTGGTAGAGTTATTGACTCACTAAAAGATTATTACAGCAGATAAAATCTGTTAAGGAATAGGTTTCTAAAAATATATGCAGAGTGTTTCAAAGTGAAAGGTTGTTTATATGTTTTTCAAGTCTTATCTGAGTTTAAAATTTCAGGTATTGGCCTGACAAAATCAGCTTTCTGATTGGAAAAATCTTTCTGGTTGGAAAGAAAACCTGAATTTTTTTTTTTTTTTTTTTTTGAGATGGGGTCTCACTCCGTCGCCCAGGCTGGAGTGCAGTGGTGTGATCTCGGCTCACTGCACTGCAACCTTCGCCTCCCAGGTTCAAGCAATTCTCCTGTCTCAGCCTCCCAAGTAGCTGGGACTATAGGCGCCTGCCACCATGCCCGGCTAATTTTTGTACTTTTAGTAGAGACGGGGTTTCACCTTGTTGGTCAGGCTGGTCTCGAACACCTGAGCTCAGGTGATCCACCCGCCTCGGCTTCCGAAAGTGCTGGGATTACAGACATGAACCGCTGCACCCTGCATATTTTTAACTGTGCTTTTCTTCCTTCAGCCTCACCTAGGTTCTATATAGAGTGGATATTGGAATTAAATAAATATCCACAGAGTGAATACTGGAATTAAAAGCTGTCCTGACTTTTAAGATCTCAAACATTGATGGTCAGAGTAATCTATGAATTCTATCATCTTCGTATCTGACACTATGTGACTAAAACACTTGAAGTCTGAATTCAGAAACAAATTCACACTCTGTTTCGAGAGTTATGTACACCTTCCCACATGATTATTTTCTTTCCTTTTTAAATTTTAATTTAACTTTCTTCCTCTAAAAAAACCAAGAAATATCACAGAACAAAGTGGAAGCTTTGCAAAGAGTATTAGGATTAGAATTGAATACCAGAACAACAGGTGAAAATGACAGGTGGTAGTAAGAGGAATATTGAATATGAGAAAGTAATAGCCATCTAAATGTAATTCTGCACCTAGGTAGGTCCTAGGAGGAAAGTCATTCCCACAGCAGTTTGCAAGGCAAACTCACCTGGCAGGGAGAAGAGATGACCAGCTTGGTTTCCTTGTGGAAAACTACTCTTTGCTGTGGAGAGTTGCTGGGATTAAAAAGTACTGCAGAAAAGGAGCCTGCATTTCTGATCTGTGTTCAGGGAGAAGCCCACTACAAGTGCCCAGGGCCATTAGCGGGGCAGAGCCATCCTGGTGGGTAACACAGCAGCACAGCATCATGTGTGAGCTACACCCCTCCCCCCAGGCACATCGCAGCCTTGACCTTGGGGCTCCATGAAACAGCTTAAGACCCTGGATTCACTTTGAGCAATAGAAGCCACACAATTACAGTTTTGGTTTTGTTTTGTTTTGTTTTCCCCCTTCTTCTTCAAATTGGCCATGCACACACATTGGTCTCTCATTAGACAGGGCTGAAACCAGCAGGTCTTTCCTCTGTGGGAGCTCTGTGCACAATGTGCTATCATACATGGAGGAGCTGCCCAAGGAAGAGTCAGAGAGATTACACAGCAGCTTTGGACTCTGTCCAGCTCACCATTCTCATCCCATTTCTCTTCTTTTAGCACCTGGGAGACTCTAACAAGTGCAATTCCCGACTCCCAGTACAGAGGGGAAAACATATTTCTAGCACTCTTCCGTAGCCGCTGGTGTGTTTAATGTCAGAAAATCAGCATATTGTGTTCTGAAGTTGCAAACATCCAGAATAAATATCATTATGGTTCTGAATGCTGGGAGGCTATAGAGGGTAGGAGTGAGGGGATGCTTGTAAAAGGCTCCTTCACTGGTAGGAAGACAGCATGTGCTTGGGATAGTGGGGAGGCTGGTTCAGAGAGAGATCCCTTCTCAGAATGGCTGAGCTTGCCAGTAGCTCAAGGACAGAACTAGGAAAGGGCAGGAAATGGGAGGAAGACGGGAAAAAGAATGTTTCTGCAACTCTCACTTCCCTAGGTGAGTTCCCAGTGGTCCCTTTCAAATTGCTGCAGATGAGGTAGAATTGCTCTTACCTGTGGGGACTGATGAGAATAGAGACCATGCTCATTAAGTTAGAGATGACAACAATCTGGCATGATCTGTAGAGTGGACTATGGAAGGGGTGACACGGAAGAGTGTGACTCTACCAGATAGAATGTGATTAGAATTCAGAATTACTTTGGAGTAGTGGTGAAATTCAAAACACATTTGTCTGGGGGTGGTATCAAAAGAAGTCTTTCAGAACAAACACAGGGTAATACTAGAGGTTAGATGCACCCAGCAGCAGAGGATGTCTGGTCAAGTGTAGGATGAGAATTTGTGGAACTGGAGCTACTGGCAGAGGAGCCCTTCCCTCAGCCCTGCACTGATTCTCTAAGAAGGCTGGGCTCACATCGACACCGCAGGGGACCACTGTGATCTCCCCAGGCATCCAACTAATGGCTGTATATCAATTTAAGAAAAGCTTCTCTGTGAGCCTCAAGCCAACTCAAGAAGAAACCTGGAAGCTGGTTTTCTGAGGAAGCCAGAACACACCACTCCACTTCAACACATCTGGCACTGCAGCTAACAGGGATAATTGCAGGGCACCCATGTCTCAGCTGAATTAGGCAAAACCCTCTAGCCCTGTAAAAACCAACAAAGGGTGTGGTGTTGTAAACTTACAAGGACTCTTCTCTAACTCAGAAGGGCCAACAGCAGTCAGCCATGTAGTCTTGTATTGTGGCAGAAGCACCAAGCCCCATTGTGGGATGAGTTAGGCTTGCAGGTTGGACGTCTTAGTGATCGTCTTATTGGGGAGGGACTTCTGTTTTGGAAAACCTAGGTGCTCCAAGCGACAAATAAGGAGAGAAGGAGAGGTTATTTCATAAGGAATGTGGAAGTGTGGGGTCACTGAAAACAGAGCCACTTAAAGGTGTCTGATACGGCTCCTCACACACTTAGTGTGCACTGAGACCTGTTTGGTGGGACGGGCAAGGAGCAGGAGGGCAGCATTCTTACACAAAATGTAGGACACACAACCCAGTCTGTGACAAAAAAATGTGATCATCCATCCTTAACCAGGGTAAGAAGGGGGAAATTGACTTAAACATTAAGCATAAGGATTTTAGGTTAAACTCTGTGTTACTGAAAAAAATGTCTGTCCAATGATCTAAACAGTAGAATACTCTCAGCTGTGCAATCAATCCAAGCATTTTTTTGTGAACACCACAGTTTATATGACTGAAGAAAGTCTGCTGACTTTCCTTCCTGCTACTAATGGTATAAACAGTTGTCAGAGGCGTTTGAACCAGGGTGACTCCATCTTGAATAGAGGCTGGGTAAAGTAAGGCTGAGACCTGCATTGCTGCATTCCCAGAAGGTTAGACATTCTAGGTCACACGATGAAATAGGAGATCAGCACGAGGTACAAGTCACAAAGACCTTGCTCATAAAATGATGCAGTAAAGAAGCCAGCCCAAACCTGCCAAAACCAAGAAGGCGATGAAAGTGACCTCTGGTCCTCCTCACTGCCCGCTATATGCTAATTATAATGCATTCATATGCTAAAAGGCACTCCCACCAGCACCATGACAATTTACAAATGCCATGGCAACCCAAGGAAGTTACCCTATATGGTGTAAAAAGGGAAGGAACCCTTAGTTCTGGGAATTGCTCACCCCTCTCCAGGAAAACTCATGAATGATCCACCCCTTGTTTAGCATATAATCAAGTAATAACCACAAAAATGGGCAACCAGCAGCCCTCAGCTTCTCTGCCCATGAAATAGCCATTCTTTCCTTTCTTTCTTTTTTTTTTTGAGACAAAGTCTCGCTGTTGTCCCCCAGGCTGGAGTGTGATGGCGTAATCTCGGCTCACTGAAACCTCTGCCTCCCAGGTTCAAGTGATTCTCCTGCCTGGCCCCCAGAGTAGCTGGGATTACAGGTGCCTGCAATCACGCCCGGCTAATTTTTGTATTTTTAGTTGAGACGGGGTTTCACCATGTTGGCCAAGCTGGTCTCGAACTCCTGACCTCAGATGATCCACCCGCCTCAGCCTCCCAAAGTGCTGGGATTATAGGCGTGAGCCACCGTGCCTGGCCTGTTCCTTTACTTTCTTAATAGACTTGCTTTCACTTTACTCTAAGGACTCACCCTGAATTCTTTCTTGCACGATGTCCAAGAACCCTCTCTTGGGGTCTGGATCGGGACCCCTTTCCAGTAACACAGTCATGTGATGCGTAACAACATTTTGGTCAATGTCAGGCCACAAATACAGTGGTGATTGTATAAGATGATAGTATATATTTATGGTACTTTTTCTGTGTTTGGATATACGTAGGTAAACTCTTTTGTTGCTATTGCCTACAGTATTCAGTACAGTGACATGTTGTACAGGTCTGCAGCCTAGGAGCAATAGGCCATTCCATAGAGCCTACGTGTGTAACAGGCTATACCATGCAGGTTTGTGTAAGTCCATTCTGTGATGTTTGCACAACAAGAAAATCACATAACTGTTACAGGAAAGGGGTCCCAATCCAGACCCCGAGAGAGTTCTTGGATCTCGCACAAGAAAGAATTCAGGGCAAGTTCGTAAAGTGAAAGCAAGTTTATGAAGAAAGTAAAGGAACAGGCCAGGCGTGGTGGCTCACACCTGTAATCCCAGGACTTTTAGAGGCTGAGGTAGGTGGATCACCTGAGGTCTGGAGTTCGAGACCAGCCTGGCCAACATGGTGAAACCCCATTTCTACTAAAAAATACAAAATTAGCTGGGTGTGATGGTGCATGCCTGTAATCCCAGGTACTCTGGAGGCTGAGGCAGGAGAATCACTTGAACCTGGAAGGCAGAGGTTGCGGTGAGCTGAGATCACGCTATTGCACTCCAGACTGGGTGACAAGAGTGAAACTGTCCCAAAAAATAAAAAATAAAAAAATTTAAAAAATTTTAAAAAAAGAAAGCAAAGGAAAAAAAAGGCTACTCCATAGACAGAGCAGCCCCGAGGGCTGCTGGTTGCCCATTTTTTTGGTTGTTTCTTGATAATATGCTAAACAAGGCATGGATTATCTGTGTCTTCCCTTTTTAGACCATATAGGGTGACTTCCTGACGTTGCCATGGCATTTGTAAACAGTCACGGCACTGGTGGGAGTGTAGCAGAGAGGACAACCAGAGGTCACTCTCATCACCATCTTGGTTTTGGTGGGTTTTAGCCGGCTTCTTTACTGCAATTTGTTTTATCAGCAAGGTCTTTATGACCTGTATCTTGTGCCAACCTTCTATCTCATCCTGTGACTTAAAACACCTCAACCACCTGGGAATGCAGCCCAGTAGGTTTCAGCCTCATTTTACCCAGCCCCTACTCAAGATGGAGTTGTTCTGGTTTACATGCCTCTGACATAACGACACATGTCTTAGAATGCATCTCCATCGTTTGATCAAGACATTACTTCAGTTGCGTAGATAAGGCTTAAAGGAAGAACCATGGAATAGTGCAGGATCTCTGGAAACTTTCTTCCAAGAGGACTTTAAACTTACCCTGGCGTCTACCAGTGTGGGGTGATTTTAGATGTGGAATTGCTGATTGTCCCCAGCCCAGAGCAAGAGACACATGGATGGAATGGTTCTACCTGCCAAAAAAACTTTACATTTCTAAAGTTTGAGCAGAAAATCTTATTCATTTGTGACCTCAAGAGAGCGGTGAAGCATGCCAGCTCATAAGGCCTTTCCTAGTCCCAGGTGCATTCCGAGGAGAGTAGTGCAAGCTGTTCAAGAGCTCCAGAGCCCACGCCCAGCCACAAGGATGGATGCGTCCATGGTCCATGAACTTACAGCAACCCTTTCACATGCAAAAGCATTTTATTTTCAGGCTTTAAATGGAGGTACTAAAAACAGTGTTAAAAGCGGGGAACACTTAAGAAGTGCAACCTTTTATTCTGAATAACAATTAGGAGCAGTTAGCTATTTAAATCATCTAAAATTTTTCTTTTGTAGGAACACTGCAAATGCTATACAGCACGTGCTTTTAAGAAGAGTGATGGGTGGGTACCAACAATAAGGAAGTGCTATCATTCATTATCTTTCAAGAGTGCATCCATTTCAGATATAATGCGCCTGTAGTAACAATGCTGCACTTTAGAAAGACATCTTTCATCTGAAAAACACACACCTCGCTCTTTCTGTAGGCAGCCTTGTTCTGTGTGTGCGAAATGGACATATTTTTACAGGTTCTTGTGGGGCAAACATTAGATACTCTTTAAAGGGTTAACGTTTATTACGAAGGTCTAACATATTAGTTTCTGTTGTGCAAGAAATCGAGAAGCTAGTGTGGGTTTTGAAAAGGGTGCATGTGAAGCTCTGTGTGGTGAGATGAAAACATTTCTGGATAGAAGGGCAGCTGGGACCTCAGGCTGGTGGTAGAGTTTGCCATCTCCTCGTTCTTCATTCTGCCATGCTTTGGAAGGCTTTCAGAACATGGTGAGGACATTTTCTGTTGTTGTTGATCGAGGATCTCTGAATCTTGGAAGGTACCAGCCTTGATTATGGGCAGAAAAAGTGAAATGTCTTTCAAGGCATGGTTTTGTTATCTGGACTCAAGAAAATGCTTATGTAAATCCCACCCCCACGAGAAGGAAGGAAATTGAGGGAGTATCTGTTAAGATGCATCATATGGAGTCCTTGGTTTCAGGCCTGATTTTGCCACTCCTACCCCACCCATCCACCCACCCACTTCCTTCCCCACTCTCAGGAGAGTCACAGTAACCAATTTGGGGTTTGTATTTAACACCTGCAAATCTTGGCTAACAGGCCTCCCTCTTTTCTCCTTCACCACCACCCTCCCTTTCTTCGATCCAAACACTTTAGTCAGTGCTTCCCAAATCATACCACTGAAAAGAGGGGAAACCCTTTTTGCATCCATACTGCAAAGACCTAAAATGTTTGTTTCCAGCTGTCCTACTTGTAACCTTTCAGCAAATCTTGATGATGCTTTTGAAAATAAGCTAAACCTAGCCTCTCACAAATGTGTTGAGGCCTTGCTCTGCACGCATGAGTGGAACTCCATGTAGAAGGCCCACCTCCTTAGCTGTAATAACAATGAGAACCTACTAGGAGCCAGAGGCTGTGCTACTGAATGTTTTCCGTGATGCGATTTAATCTTCAAATGTACTCACAAAAAAAGAGATAGTATTGTAGGATTTTCTCCTTAGTTCAGCTAAGAGCCGGGTCCTTGACACATGGCCATGAAATACTAGGCTCACAGACACTTTGAAGGGTGAGAATAATGGAATTTACAGAGCAGAAAAGAAAAAAGGGAAACAGGGACTCTCTGCAAAGCCAAGGTCCTGCTAGTGCGGCTTCCCACCTCGCAGATTGAATGCCAGGTTCCACCCAGGAAGAGGAGGGGCCAGGCTCCTCCCAGCTGCAAATGGGGAAGTTCCCCATGCTCCACCCTGGTGTGCATTCCTCCCAGTGTGCAGGTCGGTTGCAGGTTCTGCCACGGAGCCCCTCCTACCTGGCTGTCTCAATAGTATTTATATACCTTACAAATGGGAAAACCAAAGGTCAGAGGAACTGAGTAACTCAGCCAAGGTCCCGGAGCTGGCCAGCACCTCCAAAGCGTACTCTTCCCCTCTGATAAGGGCCACCTCTTTAAGATGACACAGAATGTCCAACCCTGAGACCCACAGTGGAAGGGGCACCATCATAGTTAAATTGTCAGGTAACTGTTCTTCATGTTCCTACCTGGCATCGTTCAAGAAGGCACATGGCAAGTGCCAGGCAAACGCTTGTTAACTTGAATCAGTTTACAACTTTCATAAACATTATAAAGTCTGGCATGAGGAAGAAGTTCAACATGCCTAATTAACAGCTGTTTCTGATATATAGCAAATCTATTTTTAAATAATCTTTTCTTGTAAGTTTTTTTTTTCACTCACTGGCTTATCAGAACCCAAAGGGCAAGGAACAAATTGAACCTGGGTAGCCTGCCTGGATGACAGGCAGGCAGCGCACAGCAGTGCCTTTCCTCCCTCACCCTGCAGCTCGCGACCTCAAGGTTTAACCTTTGGTGTCTTACTGTGGTTGACCGTCACGGGACTCTCAGGTCCCAAGCGAGATAGCCAAGTAAAAAGGGCTCCCCAGAGAATCTCTGACCAGCGTGCGCACTGGGAGGACAGGGTGGAGCCACGAGAAGTTTGCACAATTTGCAGTGGGGAGGAGCCTGGCCTCTCCTGTTCCTGGTTGGGGACCTGGGATTCAGTCTGTGAGGTGCAGAGCCTGTTAGCAGGACTCCATCTCACTTTGCTGAATTGTTTTTCCTTTTTCCTTTTTGCCCAATAAATTCTGCTCCTCACCCTTCTAGGTGTCCGCGAGCCTGATCTTTCTCGGTTGTGTGACAAGAACCTGACTTTTCCTGCAGCACAAGGTTTGTCCTTCCTTTATTCTCTTTCCTCTCCATGGCCACAATAACATCTCAGAGGAGAGCGACCTCATTCGCCCACCTCCCTGTGTGGGGAGCAGCCTGCTTCTGATAAGAGAGGGGAAGTGGCATCAAGCATTGCTGTGAACCAGAAAAAATGCCAACCCCTGAATGTTTCGGGTTTTCACTCCTCCTTCTCTGTGGCTATCCTGGGTCTCCTGGCCCCTAAGTCAGTGCTTTTCAGTTAAGGTGGGAGGTGAGGGTCCTATCATGTCAAACCTGCTGGGCCTTAGCAGGCACGCAAGGGCATAGTCAGCCCATCTGATATGTTCCTCCACACTCGGGTAAAAGAGGCAGAAAGATTCCTACCCCACCTGTCCCACCGCGGGCCACATGGGTGCATGTTCATCACGGACGTTTGGAGTTCTGCTTTCTAATCTTGCTGAGTGCACACAGTGGTAGAATTTTCCAGGCAGAGTCGGGATGACTACGGGAACCCTATAAGGGAGCAGTTTCAAGGGAGCAAAAAGGGGTGAAGCCACGGCCTGTGGAACCAGACTGGCCTAGATTGACTTTCAAGCTGCTCTGGCTACTAGCTGTGCAGCCCTGAGCGAGTTCCCTCACTTATCTGAACCTTGAGGCTTCCTATCTGTAAGCTGGAGAAAGTAGGCTCTACCCCCTGAGTTTCTGTGAAGATTGAATGAGATCATTTAGCAAGCAACCGGCACCACACCTAGCACCTACTTCATATTCAGTAAATATTAGCTCCTCTTTCCATCCAGGGTCTTGTAGCTCTTTGAATCAGATCATTTTACTTACCCATATATATTAGCCTTGAGGGATATCATTCAATTCAATATATTTTATATTCTTAATTATACATTCATTTATATCAATGTTTTATTACTACACAACATACAGTAATTATATGTTAATATTTTAGTATATTAAAATTAATACATATTTAATATTGATAGAATATATACCTAATGAATATATATTGGGTGTCTTATGCACAAGTCATGAAATCAGTCTGGCTGTATTTTTTGCAACTCAGGTGACTTAGGCATTTTAACCAAATATTCGGGCTTGTTTATTCAAAATTACAGCAGCCAGATAGCACAAATCAATCGGAAGAGTAATTCTAAAATGTGATAGAAGGGTTTGAAGGCAACTAAATCCTGAAGAGGGGCTTCGGTGGCCAGTTTCCCAGGTGGCAGAGCATGGCCATGAGTTTGGAAATGGGCCTTTGGTTGGTGTGGGGGCAGAGAAGGCACTTCTCTTCCATCACGGAATTTCTGTTCATAGTAATTCAGTGAAACATAAAATATTTATGGGAGAAAACTTTTATAGAAATCTTCTTTCCTCAGAGGATTTTAAAGGCGCAGTCTCCCCGACATCAAACATTCCTGTGAAAAATTAAAAATCCAGTCAATCAACCAGCTGTTTCTAAATATACAAAAATATGGCACAAACCATCTGAGTTTTTGCTTTTTGGTTGGATAAATACATTATTTAGACACAGCCTAAAGCGCATTATGCTTATAGCTCACTAAAGAAGCAACGTTCTTGAGGTATAAACAGGGAGACATTCGTAGCAAAATTTTTCCATCAGGCAACACAAGCGCACACCTGGGCTCCGATCAAACCCCCTGATGATGTGAGCTGGACACAGTGCCTGAGAGGGAGACCTGGAGACCTGAGCAGGATGCCCTGAGCCTTCTGCACACTGCTGGGCCAGGTACCCTTCACCTAGCAAGTGACAGGATGGGACAGAGTGAGGCATACTTTCTAACTCCATGATTTTGTCCTGTGGTGAAGATGGCCCATCACAGAGAGAGCAAGAGCATGGGAATACCTGTTGGCCTCCATGTGGGACAAGGACAGCCAACTGCATTGGCCCAGGATGATGCCCTCAGGCTTATTCACTTCATTAGTGGCAGAATTAGTGAGAATCTGCAGCTTTCAAGCAACCAAGTCACTTTAGTATTTAATAATCTCAGTCATGAACATGAGGCCATGTGAGATATTCATGCTTATTTATTTATTTACTTATGTATGTATTTATTTATTTTGAGACAGAGTCTCACTCTGTCACCCAGGCTGGAGTGCAGTGGTGTGATCACAGCTCACTGCAGCCTCAACCTCCCAGACTCAAGCAATCCTCCTGCCTCAGCCTCCCAAGTAACTGGGACTACAAGTGCATGCAACCACTCCTGGCTGATTTTATATATATATATGTACATATGTGTATATATATACACATATGTGTGTGTGTGTATATATATATGTATATATACACACATATGGAGAGAGAGAGAGAGAGAAAGAGAGAGGGAGTCTCAATTTGTTCCCCTTTGAACTGCCTGGATCGAAACTCCTGGGCTTCAATGATCTTCTGGCCTCAGCCTCCCAAAGTGCTGGGATTACAGACGTGAGCCACTGGGGCTGGCCGATTCATGCTTTAGATTGATAGGAGGGAAGATGAGTGAGAAGACTGAAGAGGACAGCTCTCTTTGAGAGGTTTACCTGTACCAAGGCCTGTACAATTCGACTCAGGGGTTGGCTAAGGGCATTCATGTTATTTCACTAGATTCGAATGGCAGGCTTATTCACAGAAAACCCAAAATGTGTAAGGAGAGGGTGGCTCTGCAAAATTAAATTTTATGGACGATTAGCAACATATAGATATATGTACAACTTTCATGTGCACGAACATAAAGTTAGAATTTCAGAACCCTCCAAGTCACTCAATCACTCAATGGTGTGCTCAGGGCCCCAGCTAACACTCTTCTGAAAACAAAATAAACACAGGTTGACAAAGATGAGTTAGAAACTCTCCGATGGTGAGGATGGTCCCCAGTGTGATGGATCCCTCGTCATTGGACCAGCTTCCTCTTGTGCTCACCCTGGGTCTGGATGTCACCTTGAAAAAGCCTGGGCCAGTGTCCTGAGCAGTGAGCTACTTGGATCAGCTCTTTGGACTTCAGAGAAGGCAAAACCCACCACTGGGTTCTGTGGCCGCACAAGGGAAAGGAAGCAGTCTCTGGGTATCTGCAGAGGGCAATGGTTGACCTACCTAAGGAAAAGAAACGTCTTGGACCAGAACTATCTATACGGATGCTGCATTGTTTTCAGTGAGGATGGTGATTGCATTGACTTCACTGAGTTGGATGATGACTAAAAGATGCAGCTGGGCTCAGTGGCTCACACCTGTAATCCCAGCACCTTGGGAGGCTGAGGCGGGCAGATCACCTGAGGTCAGGAGTTTGAGACCAGCCTGCCCAACATGGCGAAACCCCATGTCTACTAAAAATGCAAAAAATGAGCCGGGCATGGTGGCAGGTGCCTGTAATCCCAGCTACTCAGGAGGCTGAGGCAGGAGAATTGCTTGAACCCTGGAGGCGGAGGTTGCAGTGGGCTGAGATCCCACCACTGCACTCCAGCCTGGGCAACAAGAGCAAAACTCTGTCTCAAAAAAAAAAAAAAAAAAAAAGATGCAGTGCGCGCCAAGGGGTTTGTACTAAGTACAAGTAGGTGCTTCAATCATGTTAGCTCCTATGGCACGGCTATGTACACACCATATTGTATGAAATTGCATAAATATAGGAGGATGGAGGATGAGCCGATGGGCTCCAGAATCTGGCTGTTGCGGTTAAGATCCTTGCTCTGCTAGTCAGCTCCATGGGCTTGGCCCATTCCTCAGCCTCTCTGTGCCTCAGTATCCTTGTGTGTCCAGTGGGGTTTTGTGAAAGTCTCTGTGAGGATCAGATATGCATCGCACATGAGTTGTACCCGGTGCACAGCACATGTTAGGCATTATCACTATTAAATTAAGAATTTTATGTAGAATGGCCTTTTTCTGCATTGACCACACTGACATATCACTTTAATCTAATAGTCTGACTTTAAAAACTGCTTCTACATCATTATATGAAAGGATTAGTTAAGCTTTTTCCTATGATTCCTGTGAGATATACGTTGACAAGAACTTCCATTTATAGGTGAAAAAAACAAGATGGTGAGTTCTGGTGGGTTCCCGGTCACAGCCCCATGGTTGATGGATCTGTGCCTAACAGTTCAGCCCAGGCTTCCTCTTCCTCCCCTGTAGCCTGCCTGCACGAGTGCTGGGTCTGCATCCACCATGGGGTGAGGAAAGGGGATTAGTCCAACTGAGCGGTGTGGTCACCTCCTGACCCAGGTGCCCCATGGAGTCAACTGGTGGCCAGGCTGTGCTTTCAGGACAGAATTCAAAAAACACAGATAGACAGTAAGAGTTCCTTTACCAAGATCTTTGCTATTTCAGTGAAAAGCACACTGTCCAAAAAATCTGCATGGAGATCATTATAAACGACCCTACAATGTAGACATGCTAAGGGGAGCTGGTCTTCCTCCTGCATTGTTCTGGAGACTCAGCCTCAGCCCTGATCCCTGCACCCACAGGGGTGAGAACAAGCAGGGAGCTCCCAGGTCCTAGGGCTGCCTTATCTATTTCTGGGCCTGGTGTTCTCTTTTTTTTCTGTGCATGTGCTCATCTTTTCCTTAACTGTACTATTTTCCTGAGGGATTTTATTTAGAGCTTTACAAAAAATCCAAAAAAATCAAACCTCCGAGCCCAGACTGGGGCATCTTCACCATGTGTGTGCACAGGTGAGTGTGTGTGTGTGTGTGTGTGTGTGTGTGTGTGTATTTTCTCACTGGCCCTATCCCTCAAGCGTCATCCACACTTCACATACAGCTGCACCTTTTTGGGCTGAGCGGTCCTCAAAGCCTTTGCTATGTTTATTTCTCTACAGGGCCCGACAATTTCAAAGCCAATCAAACTTGATGAAAACTCAAAGGGTATTTTTTCTTTTTAAATCTTCACTACCAATTGCCCACATATTTTAGGTAAACAACAAAATACAAGCAGGCGCTATGACTCTCTTCACTTGGTTCAGTTCCTTCGGATGCTGTAATTTACAGGACTTTGCTTTCTACCTTATGGTTGTTTATTTTCCTTAATAGCCTTTTAGGAGGGGCCTTATCAGAAGCTTTCCGAAAAGTACACTAAATTATGTCTACTGGGTCAATTTTGTCTTCAGTTTTATTAATCTAGAAATTATAACTGTAATATTTCCTGAAAGTGTCTGATACTACGGAAGCCACAAATGCAGTAATTAACATGCAATTTGAAAAATTTATTCCCAGAGATCCAAACACAGTGAAAAACAGAAGAGCCACAAGAGACAAACAAATGCAAATGAGAAATAATTCTGCACCCTATTCCTGCTGCTGCTTATGTTACTTTCCACTTCCTATGCCCCTATTTTTCTATTAACCTCAGAGGTAATCATTGGGTCTATTGGATAAAAATATTGAGGGGAAACTTCGTTCATCAGAGGTTTTGAGCATTTCTGTAACTACTTAGGATTTGTTTGCTGGTTCAGAAATGGGCATAATTGAGCAAAGAAGCATCTGACCTGGAAGACCACGGGCTAAAGGCCAGCTAGCCCTGGGGAGTATGAGTTCTCTCCAGGAAGCTTCTAGAGTCACCTCCAAGAAGGGCCAGCACTGCCCTGCAGGTGGGCAGCTGGGGCAGATGAGCAGGGAGTCTGTTTCAGCACACAAGGGCTCGGTAGCTGGGCAGTTAGCACCGGGAAGCCTGAGCGGCAGGGAGCAGGAACTCGAACGTGGATACCAGGATTTAGGATCCAAGAATAAGGCAGGATTGAGTAACAGGATGTGGTGCTGGAAGCTTCCTCCCAGCTCCAAGGAAGCCAGAAGGACTCCATAGTCTCTAGCTGTGTGTTGCTTGGCCCTCTCATCCCCATACCTGTTAGACCTAAACCTGGCTGGGTAGGGGTCCCTGCATGGAACTTCTGCCCTCAGCCCTGTGTCTTGGGGGAATGATGGCCCCAGCCACCTGCACCCCCAGGCCACGTGGTGCAATCCAAAGGACGTGGACTTGAGGCCAGACTGGGATCTAATTCCAGATGGACTAAAGAGCCCTGCAGGATCCTAAGCCAAAAATTCCTGAAACCCCAGAAGCTTGTGAGGGAGGTTCTACGAGATAACACGGCATCTTTCAAAGTTCAGTCCAGTTGTAACACCTGCATTGTTCACCCATACTTTTGTAATAACTCTATTTTAAGTAGGTTTTTAAAATCCCCTCTCAACTTCTTCCACAAGTAGCACATGAGGCATCCTCAGGAAAGGCTGAGGTTGTGCAGCTGAATCATGTGGCTGAGAGCTGGCTTGCAGCCAGACCATCCCCTCTGCTCAGTTTCCTCATGACACTCCACGTCCTGGTCCCTTTCTCCTCCTCATTCTCTCGTCGAACCTTGGTGAAGCCTGAGTGCTGACCCCTGTGCCCCGCCTCTCCTGGAGAAGCCTGTTTGAGTGAAGATGGACTGACGTGGGATCACGATGGTCTCATATCCTGCTGTTGTGTTCCCTTCATGTGTGGGATCTGGATGCCTGCTTGGGACACCAGGTCAGGCCCCTTGACATGAATGCAACACAGATTGGTCCTCGGAGCTTCAAATCAAGGGACTCTGGCTGTTGGATGCCCTTTTTCAGGGGCAGTCCTACACTGGCATTGCACCTTTGAGTCCTTGTCCTAAATAGTCCAGTTTCCTCCTCTCTCCTTGAAAGCTTACGGTTAAAATCCCAGCACACCCGTGTCAGGAATACCTGATAGTCCAGAAGTAGAGGAATTGGGAAGGGGAGTTAACTCCAGATCAGGGGTGAGATGCCAAGGTTGGCATTGCATTTTAGAGTTGAAAGGACCTGACTTTAGAGCTAAAGAAGGAGAAGCCAGCAGCATAAAGTAAGCTGCCTAAGATCACACAGCTACTAAGAGTCAGAATGAAGAACCAGACCCTCAATTATACTGAGTCTTTATTCCTACAGAAGCTGCCCGGAGCTCCTCCACCCAGAACTGGGGACCTGGGTCTCTGCTCCCCAACCCTGGCAGGTGTTTAGGAATTGTTCATTTTGGTAGAACCACACCTGGGAGAAAGGAAAACAGAGCATCCCTTTGCTCATCCATTTTTACCTTCCCACCTGCAATAGTGAGAAGAAGGAAGGGGAAAACCCCCCTCCCCCTACAGCCCACTCAGCCAATCCCCAGGAGCACTGCCAGCCAGCTCACAAGCCCACTTAGTGGTGAGTGGCACAAACACCCACTCCAAGACCCAGGACGAACCCCAGCCCCGCCCATGTGGGGAACACAGATACCCCTGCTCTCAGGCAAAGGAATCATCAGTGCTGGAAAGGAATGGAGAATCAGTCAGCGATGACTCAGAAGTCGATCTTTTTGTCTGCACACTGCTGAAATGTTTAGATAAAAAGTGAGACATCACCTCAAACCAGATGTTTATATGCATTTCAACCAAGGTTTAGATATTTGGAAATGCTGGGTGGATATGACATTTCAGTATCCCTTCAAAGACCAACACATGGAAGCCAAGAAAGGCTTTCTTTCTAGGGCCTTATGAAGATAGATTAAGAGATAAGCTTGGCTAGGTTCAAAACCACAACTCATGTGGCTACTGAAATACCCAAGAAAAAATTGTTTTCCTAAGTTATAAGAGGGACTGAATGTTCTTGTCCCCCCAGAGTTCCTATGTTGAAATCAAATCCCCAAGGTAATGAAATTTGGAAGTGGGGCATTTGGGAGGTGATTAGTCACAAGGGTGGAGCCCTTGTGAGTGTCGTGAATGGGATTAGTGCCCGCTTAAGAAGAGGCCGGAGAGCCAGCTCCATCTCTCTCCACCCACTGAGGACACGTGGAGAGGTAGGCAGTCTGCAGCCTGGAAGGAGCACCTCACCAGGTCCCAGCCATGCTGGTCCTCTGATTTCGGACTTCCAGCTTCCAGAACTGTGAGAAATAAATTTCTGCTGTTCGTACGTCACCCAGTGTATAATGCTTTGTCATAGCGGCCTGAACTAAGATGCTGAAATGAAGATACGTTTTCCTGGGGATATTATTGTTTAGATTAGAGGCATAAAAATATGATTATAGAATAAAATAAAATAAGTCTTCAAACCAGTGTGATCAATTATGCTATCAAGCTTAATGGCAATAATTATTAAGTAAAATTCCCATGTAGAATAGAAATTCTAGTGTCAAAAATGTAAAATATTTGGTACTAGAGTTTCTATTACATATAAAGAGTTAATTAAAGACTGTCGTATTTTATGACTATGAAGTAAAGCATATCATAGTGGTCCTTTGGTAAGCCTTACTAACAAAATGTACAGATAAAAAGTGTTTTTAAAAAATAAGACACTTTGAATTTTTCTGCTTGAATTTTTGAATATTTTCCTTAGATGCTGGCTTTAGAATGAGATCATTTCCCAATCTTTTCGTACCTTTTTCTGCCTGAGTTAAAATGTTCACTAAAAGGTAAGCATTTTGAAGGCTGTTACCCACAGGATAAGGAAAGAATGTATTCCAGTAGTCCACTTTGGGGAATCAACATTTTTTTTACCTGTTAAATTTTTCATGGAATTCCTGCTAATAGTATGACAGGTATCTGACAGCAGAACCAGAAGATAAAATAGATACAGAAAGTTATTCGATTGGTGATTGGAAGGAAGGAGGCCAGAGAGTATTCAGTGACTCCTGAAAATTCTCCCTATACAGTGAATGCCAGTGAGATGAAACCAATAAACTTTGACCAAAGGAAGAAATCTGAATTCTAATCCAAGGAGCATGGTGAGCATGAAGTGCCATGGAGATACTCAAAAGGATGATTCCTCCCTGACACGGGAAAATTCACAGACCCAGCACATAAGCGACGGATCGGCAGTATGGGTTGTGTGTGCCTGCTGTGCCTGGGTTGTGTGTTTCCACACCCACAGAGGAACTCCGGGGCTGCAGCATGAGTGCTGTGTGAGCCCAGAGCAGAGCTTCGGGACAGCCCTGATTCTTTCCTTTCCCCTTTCCGGTAAAGCAGAGAAACTAAAAAGAGACCCAT
Organism: Homo sapiens; assembly: GCF_000001405.40. Taxonomy (NCBI): domain Eukaryota; kingdom Metazoa; phylum Chordata; class Mammalia; order Primates; family Hominidae; genus Homo; species Homo sapiens. Next base: position 104,899,375 of record NC_000002.12, read on the forward strand.
TTTTCTCCTCTGTGCCTGAGTATATGGCATTTCTGGCACAATAGAGAGGATCAGATCCTTAAGCCTGAAACACAGCTCTCTCTATAGAATTTATCTATATGTGGTGTGTCATAGTCTATTATGGGTTTGTGTGGGGCTGGATCAGATTAATACCCTGGATCCAAGTCATCTTTCCAAATGAATCCAAATGAAAATATTGGCTTGGAGAAGATTTCTTGGTAATGAATATAATGCAGAATAATGAACAGTAGCCAAAAAGAGAGAGGATGTAGAACCAATCAAAGGAAGGGCAGATGTTTAAAATGTCTTTTGCTGTTTGAGACTGTGAGCCAACAAAGGTAATTATGTCTGTGCTTTCTCAATTTCCACACAGGAGAGAGGCACTTTGAGGTTTTCCAAGCTCTCGTCCTATCTATGCTTTGGGCGCTGAACAGGGAGGGGACCGTGATGCCATGCATGGCCAACAGCAACGGATGCCAAGCAAGGCTCATGGCATAAGACAGACTCGAGGTGAGGGCACTCCCAACCACGCAGGTGAAATACACACATTCGAAGACTGCCCTTGTGGGTGTGTGTCCAAGTGCAGAAGCACATAGCAGGGAGCCCACTTAAATCCTGCCCTCCAGGATCACAAGAATCACAAGATGCCATAGTTCCAAATTGAAATGGAGATGATGTCAGATAGTTTGTCTACGCACTGAGGGAGGGAGGTGGCCTAGGCCTTTGATGAAAATGGGCAGAGCAGCAGGATAGAGTTTCTAGTGACTCTAGGATGGGAGACTGGGTGACCTCCAATTCTTTTCACCAATGGAGGGCTGGATAAAATAAAAATGCTATGGTTTGAGTGTATCTCAGACAAGGGCCATAAACGATGTACACTGCGCATGGTTAGATGACACTTTAACAACTGACACTTACACATCAAGTGAGGGCGTCCTTCCACTGCACAGCTACATAGAAAAATATGGAATGGTAAAGAAGAAAGAAGAACCGTGAGCAGGAGAACCATTCCATTTTATTCCTTATATGTACAAACATGAATAATTTGACATGATGTTTAGACAGTTTCCCCCTAACTTAAGTCTTTTAATTAAAATGAAAGGAAGAAAATACGCTTTAAATATGAATGCGAGAAGGTGTGAGTTGACAGCCCCCAGCCTTCCTACTCTTCTCTCGCTGTTGTTAGCAAGCACAATAAAATCTCATCTTCCCCTGTCGTCTTTTCATAATGTTTATGGTTGTTTTAGGTAACACGTAAACCATACTGAATGTGATATTCCCCTTATGACATGTCAGGGGCACATATTAAACTAGAGCCTGTCCCTTATTCGGCTATTTACTTTTGTGGCAAATCAATGTATTTTCCTTGACTCACCAGGCAATATTGCAAGGCTGCCCGTGGCCAGGAAGGTAAATGCTAACTTTTCAGCCTGCGCCAAGTGGCACACCCTCGGCTCACTACCGAGTGAATGAGAGCAGTATATTCTGGACTGAAAAATGGGCTCGGATGTTGGCCCTAATAAATTACATGATTATTAAAATGCTGTGCAGTTCCTGCCCATATCACTTTATTTTACCTCTTGCTGTCTCCCCCTGGTTGCCTGCTCCACTTTACCTCTGTTTTCTGTGTGCTTAACTTGTAAAATGCTAAACAAGTTTTGATATTTACCTGTTTATGATTAAATTGCAAAATGATCTGCTTAGTTCTGTTCTAAATTAAGGTCTGCATTAAATGTCATAGCATTTATCTTTCATAAAATGAGACAGCAAGGACACTAATTTCCTAGGTATTCAATCACTGCCCTGTGCCACTGGAGAGACAGCCCAGGAGCAAGCCTGCCCACAGTTCACAGCTCACTGACAGCCCTGAGATGGAATCATAAAAGTCAATTAATCATTAAAAGCTGTTACAAGCACATATTGAACCAGTCTGGCACAAAATGTTAATCAGTCCAATATCAATATAATAAATTCCTGCAAATTGGAGCGATCGATATGTTTTGGGCCTAATGAATCAATTTGAGGGCACTGAGCTGCTCCTTGGGGTCCCCATGACACGGCAGCCGGGTGAGTGCTACATCTCTAGGCGCACTGCCAACAGAGGTCACCTATCCTAACAGGCTGTTCACTTCAGCCGCAGTTACCACGGTGACAGCATGTCACCATTGCCCTAGTGTCCTTCTAGGTAAGGTGGAAACCAATGCATCACTGCCCTTGATGGATTTGTCAATAATACTTAGCAGGGGAGGGGAACTGCTCACATAACACTCGCAGGTCTCCAGTCCCCGAGCAGTTTGGTGTGATTTAATTGTCTGAAGAGGTGTGTGCTTCTGCATATATGCAGGAACTAAGCAGTGGTCACAGGCAGAGGGAGTTAGCAGTGGAGCTGACTGCATTGGAAAGCCTTGGGAAAACAGCACGGAAAATAACAGGCGGCCGGAGCCACGGCCAGGTTGGTGTTCCATTAACCAAGTCGCTGTGTAAGTAAGAAATAACCTGGAGCTTCTCACATTAAGAATTTATTAGCTACAAAATTTTAATACATTACTCATGAGTGGAAATGGAGTTGCGTATTAATGCCCCAAGGCTTAGACTCAGCAGCAACATTTCTAGACACCTGCTTACAGACTGTAGATGTTCACCAGGAAAAGTCCATCAGGGGAAATTTGGGGAGTCAGGAATGATGGGCGAGGCTCCCTCCCTCTTTCTCTCCTCCAACCTCCCTCTCCCTATCTCTCCCTCTCTTCCCTCTCTCGCCCCCTCTCTCATCACTCCCTATTACCTGCAACCTTCTCCTTGCCCAACAGAACCACAACCCCAAAAGTGTGAAGCAAATGGGACACTCAGAAGGGGGATTTTAAGCCAGTCTCTTCATCATCTGTTTTTAAAAACCAGAGTTTTCATGTTTTAAAACATTTTATCTTTTGTTGCACCTATTAAAACTGACCAGTGAAGAGGGAGCCAAGAGCATTTCGGCATTGCAGAGTGGAATGAAGCCTCTTTAGAGATCAAAGAAATCTCAGCTCCCGAGACTCGGGGGAATCACCGTGTTCCAGAACCTTCACTGTCATTTAACATAAAACATAAAGGTTAACATTGAATGAAACAATACCCTGGCTGATTATTTTAATAGTCTCAAAGTTCAACCTTTTCCCCTGGATTGCTGTTATAGACCATGTGGACTGTACAGGCTTTGCAGTTGTTTGCCCCTTTCCTGCTGTACCGATAGGAGAGTAGCGGTCAGTCAAATCCCCAGCAGTGACTGTGTGCATCTCCCTCACAGTCATTCATTCCCTTATAGCAAAAATATGGCAGCTATGGCAATCTGAAGAAATGTTAATTTCTACTAGCTAGTTATGTTTAATGATTTTTTTCTTACCTGAATAAAAGGGAGAAAAAATAATTTTTATAATGGTGGTCTGAATTATAAGAAACATCCAAATAAATTACAAATTCTCCACTAAAGAAATAACTATTCACCACACTGAGACAGGGCAATGTTAAGGGTATGCAGACAAAGGTAATGCAGGGCCTCCGCTTAATTGCCCTGACATCGCGCTTAGTTCCTCCAGCGACACTCTGAGAGCTAAAAATCTCTCATTGTTATTAATTGTATTCCTTTTAGAATGTAATGTCATATCGCTGCAGGCTGAGCTAATGAAACATACCCATATTACCAAAATAGGCATATTTCTTTTTGTTCAACGCGTTCTATCAAAACTGTCTGCTAAAGACATTGTGTTAAAGATCCTTTCATAGTGTAATATAAAGAATATCTCAACTACCTCAACATTTCTATTACACAATTACTAAAATGCCCAGGAGGACTAAACAATATAGTGTGAATTCAGTTATCCTATAAGACTTTAGAAATATTGCTAATTCCTACCTCTGATTTATGTTAATATTAATGCTAGATTACATGCTATGGCTTCTGAACAGCCACTGCATACCAATTGGTACAAAGGCAGGGTGCTCCCATGCACCGGTGCTATATGCCTCTATTATAATGAGAATCTGAATTATTTATCTCTATTTATCCTACAGGAGTTCACCTGACCTCAGTCCCATTTTCTTTTCCTACTGCACATCAATACATGTAAACATGACTTCAGAGCTGCTGCACGCTTTATGTGTGCTGTTCTGTTTCAGCCACAAGGCACAGTAATAGGCAGTAGACAAAATGTTACACCACTAAGAGAATTCATTTAAGCATTTATTTGAGGTAAACTCTCCTAATTAAGTCAACTTTAACACAGACACGCAAATGGCACCAGGCATATGTGTCTGGCGCCTAAACGTTGTCTGGTGAGCCCAAAGGAAGTCAGGCAGTGGCAGGACAAGGAGACGGTTAATAAATTCAGCCTCTCCTTCCTATAACCTTTCTGTTAGAAAAATGTTTGTCTGTGGGGGTTAAGAAGCTCTACGGGTTCTTGCAGGAAGATGGGCTTTTCATTCTTTGGCTTGTACATACATCAGCTACATTAAGATTTGGTTCTGATTTTGCTTTGATAGTTACTCAAGTTGGTCTGCTGAATGACCAGCAAGTTCCTTTCCTTGCTCAAGGAAAGGCCAAGGTGAGTTGAAATGATTGGAAGTCGTAGGTAAGATTCAGATTCTTAGCTGAATGGCCTTAAGCTTTCTGAGATGGGGAAGGTTCCAGAGGGCCTAGAGTATGAAAGAGAACTTTCATGGTAGGTATTGTGGGGATGAAGCATTTGCAAAGCACTACAAAGCCAGAATTTCCATCAGAAGAAGAACAAGTTGCCAGCAATTGGATTTGCAATAATTTAGGTAGCCCAAAGTAGCACATTAAAGTGGCACTCTCTACTCTGCAGCTGTGGGGAACGGTTGGAGGGTCAACTACTTAGAGCTAATTATCAGAGAGTGAACCATTAAAACCCTCTTAGGTGATCAAATGATGTACCTTTAGTTCATCTGAACCTATTACAGTATAGTCTATCATATGTCACCAACAGGGCCACTGTAAAGTGTACATAAAGTAGGAGTGAAATGGGTATAGCAAAAAGTCCTGGAAATGTGAGTTTGTATTTATATAAAAAATCAACCAAAAAAATCAAGAAATAAAGTATTAATGAGTATATACTGCAAAGGGCAATCCAGTGGAACGAATCCAGTTAATAACCAATAACCTGTGAAATGTGAATCTCAAACAAGAATATGAATTTATTTGTTTACTATAAATGTTCCTTACTATAAATGTAAGGAACATTTATAGTGTTCCTTATCTAAATTGTGGTATAATATATGGCATGGCACACACTTCTTTAACACACCTTGTAGAAAGGCAAAGTCAAATGTATACTGAGGTACATCAGTTCCTGTCCTTTACACGTCTCATGTATAGGACGATGTATATCAGTTCCTGTCCTTTACACATTCCAAGCCCTCTAAGACTGAAGCTCTTAAGGCTGTGGTACCTGGGGTGCAAGAGAGGGGCGTGGAGGGGATGAGAACCAGGCAGATGAATAATGCAGTTTGGGAAGAGAAAGGCAGAGAATGAGTCTCTGGGCCCGCTGAATTCCTCAGGCCAGACTTCCCAGTGAGCTCACGAAACATGTAGGAAATGGAGCCATTATTCCAGAGATCCTAGCCAGCCCTAAGACCTGGTATCAACCCCATGGGTATTTAACCAGCACAGACAACTGCCATCGCAGCGACAAGGTCCAACTGGGATGAGCACGGATTTGGAAATGAGCATCTGGACACCTGGAACTCCTAGCTGGCTGGCTGCTCATGTGCCTCCTGGTCTGTTAGCTCAATAACACGACCTTTCATCTCACATGATTGATTTTGTTGGATTCCACTCATAGCATCATGACAGACTTTTACTACCTATTTTCCTTCTTTTAAAATTTCATTCTATTATAAGAGTAATACATGCAATTTTTTAAATAGACCATAGTATTTAGTACATAGACTATTTTACAAACTGCATACTTCCACTTTATGCATATAGTGGAAGTCCCTTTATTCTTACCCTCCAGGGTTAACTACTATAACTGTCTGCTGAATGGTATGTCAGATTTTACTTACATATGTATTAATATGTAACTGAAGAAGAGTTTTGTTTTAACAAAGTTCAGTGTCCTATTAGACATTAATGTGTGTATTAGTTTTCTGTGACTGTTGTAACAAATCACCACAAACTGGGTGGTTTAAAACAACAGAAATGTATTCTGCAAGCCAGAAGTTCAAAATCAAGGTGTCGGCAGGGTCATGCCTCTGAGGTTTTAAGAGGGAATGTGTTCCAGCCCTCTTTTCTAGTTTCTAATGGCTTCCAGCGATCCTCAGCCTCCTTAGCTTATAGCTTCATTGCTCCAATTTCTGCTTTCCTCTGCAGGACGCCATCTTCCCTCTGTGAGTGCCTGTGTCCAAAATATTCTCTTATAAAAACACTGGTTCTTGGATTAGGGCCCACTCTAATTCAGTATGACCATCTTAACTTGATTGCATCTGCAAACATCCTGTTTCCAAATATGGTCACATTCTCAGGTTTTGGGGGTTTGAACTTGAACACACCTTTTGAGGGGACACAATTCAACCCACAGCAATGGGAACATATTTGGCTGGTGATAGCCTTTGAAAGTCATGAACAAATAGATGGGAGAGTTTTTGGTTGGCTTGCTTGCTTGCTTCATTGGCATACAAACAATTTTCTATATTCATGTAGTTCCAGTTGGCAATCATTCCTCACACAGCTTCTAATTTTTGTTTGATGCATAGAAAGGTCTTCCTCACTTTAAGATTATAGAAATAGAGCATATTCATTTTTTTCCTGTTGCATCTTTGATCCATTTGAATTTATTTTGATGAGAAGTAAAACAGAGATCCAGCTTTATTTTTTCAAAGAGCTAGTTGACTAGTTCGCAATCTGCATGTAATACCCCAGCTTTTCTGCATGGAATGCCCTTTTTATAATACAGACAATGGATCAGTAGCTGGGTTTATTTCTAGACTGTCCATTGGATCTATTAATCTGCTTGTTAATTCCTGTCCCAGTACAATGTCTCCCAGTTTTTATTAGTGCAGCTTTCTGTTGCGTTTTAGTGTCTGGTAGAGATTGTTTTCTATTGTTGCTCTTCTTTTCTCCTTCTAGAATTGTCCTGGTTAATCCCAAATAAATGTTTATTCTTCCAGATAAACCTTGGTGTCCTTTTTGTCATGTTAAAAAAGGAACTTCTATTGGGATTGTACTGGGAAGGACTGACTTCTTCAACCTGTCGATATCTGCCCTGTTCCAGCAAAGTTGTTTCTCCATTATGCGATTTTTTTAAGTCCTTCAGCAGATTTTTATAGTTTTCTCCATATAGATTTTGGACATTGCCTGTGTAATTTATTCTTAGGCATGTTGTGTTTTTGTTTGTTTTTCTATTGTGAATGGAATCTCTGAATTACACCCCATTTCTCCTCCTACTTATTCTCCACATCAGTCTGATAGCAAGTACTGGTAGTTCCTTCCGCATCTGAAATATACGTCTATGCATGTTTCCCTGTTGCCACCTCACCACCATCTCTCTCTTGCCTGGGCCACAGCTTTCCACCAATACTTTCAACAATCTATTTCTGCGTATCTGTCGGGGTTGGCTTTCTCAGCAGTCCACAAAATCATACGAACACCCCTACCTTCCTGCCTTTCAGTGGCATATTGCACGCGAAAAAAGACCCAGCAGGCATCCTGTGGGATCCTGCCCCAGCCCCTCATCGTCATCCTAGCTCCTTCCCCCATCTCTCTAACATGCCAAGCTCCTTTTCCACAGCTCTTTCCCCGTTCCGTTTGTGCTTCCTTCTCTGCCTTCCTCTGGCTCTTTGCATGAGTGGATAATTCTCATCCATCACATCTCAGCTCCTATTCCATCTTCTAGGAGAGGCCTTCCTGGGCCACCCTACAGAATGCAGGACTTTCCTCACCCATCTGTCCCTGACCTCTCTAATTCCAACATCCCATCCCCTTATTCTCCTGAATTCCTTCATAGCACTTGCCACTGCCTAAAAAGCCTTGTGTATCTACTTGGGTATTTGCTTTTTAGTGTATTTTGCTTATTTCCTTTAATTACAAAGCAAGCGACTAGAGAACAACTACTCTCCTATTTTAGCTACGTCCCTAGGGCTTGGCACAAAGCAGCCTCTCAAGTGAAAAAGCATTGAGCAAATAAGTGGATGTTACCTCTGCTTTTTTCTCCTGTCTTATATTTGCAGAATAAGAAGCTACTATTATTATTATTTTTTGAAGTAGCTATCCATTCCTTTTGCTTTTGGCTAAGGCTTGGTTTAATCCTCATGGGATTTTCCAGGTATACAATCCTATTACATTATCTGCAAGTAATAAAAATTTTGCCTCCTTCTTTCCACCATTTATATTTCTTATTTTGTTATTTTAATTACTTTGACTAGTACTTCTAGAACAATTTTAAATAACATTGGTGATAACGGGGCCCCTTGACTTGCTATTGACTTTAGTAGAAACACTTCTCTTGTAGGGTTTTACTATAAAGCATGATACTATGATATGGATACTGGAATGAATGTGTGAGAGTGTGTGTGTATGTGCATGTGTGTGTGTGATTTTATCATGTTAAGAATGTATGCACCTAGACCTATTATAGAAAGGTTTCTAAAAGTCAGGATTGGATATTGTCTTTATTAAGACACATTTCAGTACTTGTTCAGGTTAACAAATGATTAATTTATTAACATGGCGAATTGCATGAATAGATTTCTTAATATTAAACTATTATTTCCTTCTGAGGTGAAGTCCATTTGGTCTTTTTAAAGAGTGCCCTGCCATTTCTATTTACCAATATTTTATTCAGGATCTTTGCAGCAACATGCATGAGTACTCCCAGACATGGATGGTTCACTTTCCAGGGCTGTCATTGATGAAAATGCTTTGGGATGAGTACATCTCTAGAAGCAAAGTTAAAAAAGAAAAGAGAAAAGAAACCAAGATTCAGAACTCATGTCTTCCCACAGGTTTATAACATGGTAAAACAGTGATAATTTTGTAGAAATAGCTGTGGATAAGAAGATGAGAGAGTACAATCATTCTTTAAGAGTAAGAAGTAAAGAATTGTAGAAGAAAGACGAGTGAATTTTCAAGAGCACGTGACCACCTTGTCCAAGGAGAAAGGAGCAACTGAGGAATCTCCCACTGTCCTCACTCATCAAGGAGTCTGCTGTGACCTCATGATCCTCTATGATCTAATGATACATAAGCAGAGTAGGAGAAGCTGAGATCAACTCTATTTGAGCAAGAGTGAGGAAGATTTCCCTGTCTCCCAGCTGAGTAACCACTCAGGTTTATTTAAATCCAGTTTAAATATGGTTTCAGTAATGATTTTCCAATGGTCTACAGCAAAGAATGTAAGAATCAATCCTTAAGCTAGGCAATGCATGGAGACATCAATTATGCTAAAATATTTAAACTATTTCATAAGAGTAGATAATGATGCATAGTAAATTGTGTCCTGCTGATAATATTAGAAAATACTTAGGCAAGATGGACATACATGTATATTTTAAAACAATTCTTTTTCTTTTTTCTTTCTTTCTTACTCTTTTCTTTTTTTAAGTACTTGCACTTTTTAAAGATTCCTAGAGAACCAGATGGGTGATGAAATATCTCAAAATACCAGGTTTCACACGTGATAGTAATATTGGGAGAAAAAAGTGACACTAGAAATTATTTAGTTATTCTGAAATCTGTCACTTCTTGAAAACAGCACCAGAATTAAGAAATAAAATTAATCGTGTAACATTGTGTTCTCACATTTTCAATTCAGCTAGTGAATTATGAGGCCAAAATTCCTTAAGACAATTACCCCAGGGCCTTAGTCGGCTCCCAAGTCTCTGCCTTTCACCTGAGAAAGAATTTCCAAACTGCCTGATGAGGGAGAAAACCATATCCATGGTCCCAGCGGTCTGGAGGATCCCAAGAATCTGGATGGGAAGCCAGAAGATATGCCAGAAAAGACCCACAAATGGTACCCTGGGATACAAAAGGAAGACTCCTTTAACGCCAGCCAAGAGATGTGTGTGTTACTGTAAGAAGCCAGTGTCATGAGCTGAAGCTCTAACTTGCCTGTGATCCATTAGTCTCACCTGGTGCTTGCCGCTGCCCCTGTTCCGGCCGGACATGGCCCTCTGTGTCTGTGCCTGCCAATCAGCCTCTTGCCCATGCCTGGCTGTGCCCTTCACAGCTGCCTCTGCCAGGGCACTGGCTGCGGGCTGGGCCAGGTCAGGCTGCTTCCCAGCTGGGCTCCCCACAGCCACAGTCAACTCCCATTTTGACATGAAGCCATTTAAATGGAAATCCAGTTTTACAAAGCGCAAGTGACTGGTAATGAAGACGTGACTGATGCTTATGCGAATTTTATTTAATTTTAAATCAATTGTGGATTCTAATTCATTAATAAGGGGGAAAAAGCATGCAGGAATGCCTAATCTCTTGTCATTATTCAAATACAAGAGAGTACTTCTTCATATATAATTCTTAGGGAAATTGTCAATTTCCCATTTTCCCTGAAAATCTATTTTTATAGAAAAATGTGGGCCCAACTCACTCTTTAAAAAATTAGATTTGGCTTTATTGGACATTACATAAACAAGGATAAAAAACGTCCAACCAAGCACTTGACTGAATTTTTCACCATTTCGTCATTTTTGTTATTGTATAGATGGTCTAAAAATCACATTATGACCAACCAACAACTTGGCTTTGGTGATAATTAAGTATCTGAGAAAAATATGGTAGCCCTTATGACAGACTCAAGCACTAAAAATGGGCTACAATAGAAGAGTGACTTGGGGTTCTTTATGGGGTTCAAGCTCTTCAGCCCATGTCTTCTTTGGGCTGCTCAACTTTCTCTGGGGTCAAATGAAAGTCAAGTTTGGGCAACAGTGATCGTTACAGCTCTCTTTGGCTCCCCTAAGACTCAGAAGAGCAATATATCTACAAGCGGCTTCTTCTCTACTCTACAAATTAAGTGGAAAGGAAAGAAATGCTGTCTGAATTCTCTTTTCCTCCACTCAATGGGCCCTTGCATTCTCCTTATTCCACCGACAGCCATGCAACTACAGGCAGATCGTGTAAACTCTCCAGGTATTATTTCACTTATCTGTAAAATAACAATACCTACCTCACAGGACTAATGTGAGGGTTAATTGAGAGATGATATATCAACTATTGTGACAGTGAAGTGCTTAGTAGGCTGCTAAAGATATAGTAAGTACTCCAAAAATGTTAGCTAATTCTACTGTTGTACCTGAAGGAGATCATAAAGCTCTCCAAATGGAAGAATGGTTTCGAATTTACTGAGAGTTTTTGCAAAATGAGATTAAGTTGATGTTAAGAAAGAGGATAACTGTATACAGTTGGCCCTGTGTATTCATGGGTTCCACATCCATGGATTAAACGAACTATGGATGTAAAATGCTCAGGAAAAAAAGAAAGAAAAAAGAACAATAAAAAGACAAATACAACAATAAAAACAATAAAAAAATACAAATTTAAAAATATAGTATAACAACAACTTACATAGTATTTACATTGTATTAGGTATTACAAGTAATCTAGAGACGATTTAAAGTATATGGGAGGATGTAAGTAGGTCATATACATATGGCCATTTTATATCAGGGACTTGAGTATTCATGGATTTTGATAGCCCAAGGAGTCCTGGACCCAAATGCCCATAGATACTGAGGGACAACCGTATGGTCAAAATGTGCTACATGGGCCGGGCATGATGGCTTACACCTGTAATCCCAGCACTTTGGGAGGCCAAGGTGTCATGTGAGGTCAGGAGTTCAAGACCAGCCTGGCCAAAATGGCAAAATCCCATCTCTACTAAAAAGTACAAAAAAAAAAATAGCCAGGTGTGGTGGCAGGCACCTGTAATCCCAGCTACTAGGGAGGCTGAGGCAGACAGAATTGCTTGAACCTGGAAGGCAGAGGTTGCAGTGAGCTGAGATCGCACCACTGCACTCCAGCCTGGGCGACAGAGCGAGACTCCGTCTCAAAAAAAAAAAAAAAAAAAAGTGCTACACGGCCACAAACAGTCATAAGACATTGCAAGGGATGTGCTGAAAGGGAGATGCTGCCTGTGATGACCCAGGCAGTGAACAGAGTGGAACATAAGAGAAGTGTGGTGGGAACCATGTCCTGAAAGCCTGGGAGAAGAGCATCTCCCAGCAGGTTCATGGCTGGCTTTGAGGACTTGAAAAGCCCTACATACCCCCTGACACAGAGAAAATAAAAAACATGAATTTATCCATGAGTGTTAAGGTAAGGAGGAGAGTGGAGGAAAAGATGTGGAAGAGAAAGGACAACTACAAAGAGAGGAACCATCCGAGACTGGGAAGCATGAAAAGCTGATTCAGGAAACTCTACCTACCCCAGACCCAAACAAGTGGTCTCGAGAGAGAGAGGGAGAGAGAGAGAGAGATGCGAGAGAGGGGGAGAAGCTGTAAGTGACACAGAAAAGTATGTTGTGTAAATAAATATGCAAATACAAGCTGATATATAATATTATTATATTAAAAACTTAAGAGCCAATTTTCCAAAAGTCTTTATCCTGAAGTCAAGTCTATCAATAAAAGTGTACCTCTGACTGCAGCGCGCCTGTTGATAGCTTTTTGGGTGTGCACGCCACTCACAGGCCCAAGCCCGGAGCCCCACAGGCCGTCTCTGCCTCCAGCACCCAGGGTGCCGTCATGGGAGCCATCCCCTCCAGGGATTCGGAGCAGTGTGTTTGATTGCCGTCACTGCACAGAGCAGTGCCGAGTTTGTTCGTGCTGGTCGGGCAAGCATCAAGCACAGAACCTAGCGCATTGTGGGTGCTTGACAAGTGTTTCTTGAATAAACAAAGGAAGGGGGAAGGAGGGAGTTTGGGGCTGGGGAAGCCTCCATCGTAGCTGAGATCACTCACCGGCATCATTGGCCACTCCGCCCTCACGAAAGCCAGTTCTGCTTCTACTCTTGACTGGTCCTTGCATTCCCACGCCAAAGCTGTTGAGCACCATTTAAAAGCATGCTTAGAAAATCACTATGTGGTGTGGGGGGCCCCCACAGGAGTTACTAACAGATGGGTAAGGATAATCTGCTCAGATTCAATACCTGAGTAGCTTGACTATTTTCTCTTTCACACTTCCAAAGAGCCATTTTTAATCCCTTATCTTTAGGGTTTGAAGAGAAGACTCAAGATGTGTACTTTATTTTCTTATTTTCTCTTATTTTATTTCTATGTAAGGGTGCTCCAAGCCTGAACATTGAGCACGACCCAGGTCATATGCACAACACGACAGGTTGAGCGTCCATGTGTGGCTACTGGGTTTGCTGGGGACACCTCTTGCCTGCCAGGGTGAGCACACGCAGCAGTGAGCAGCCCCGTGTGACCCCACGGGATGAGGATGCCATGATGTCAGCATCCCTTCTGACTTGGAGGTATGTGACATTCATGGTGCCAATGCCACTGTCACCTTGCAGATCAGTCTGGGTTTGCTTCAGACAGAAGATCCTGGAATATGTTCAAGCATTACTCATCTCCAGACTTTTTCAACCCAATAAATTTTCATACTACTTGAATTATTACTCTCAAGATGCGTGTTTTTATTTCATTTACCTAGATTGAAAAGAAAAACATGTAGTGGGCTTTACTGGGTGAATGGCCACGGGATTGCAAACCACTTGGATGTGGGGCAATTGAAACGCAGCTTTGTTGGGCCTTGTTCTCCAGCCCGCAGCCAGAGGCAATGCTTGTGACCGTGACAGGCCATTCAGACTTGGGCCTGTTGGCTTTTTTTTTTTTAAAGAATAGATTCCCTGGCTGGCTTCTTGCAGTAACACACACATTCCTTGGCTGGCATTAAAGGAGTCTTCCTTTTGTATCCCAGGGTACCATCTGTGGGTCTTTTCCAGCATATCTTCTGGATTCCCATCCAGATTCTCAGGGGATCCTCTGGACCCCGTTGGGACCATGGACATGGTTTTCTCCCTCATCAGGCAGTTTGGAAATTCTTTCTCAGGTGAAAGGCAGAGGCTTGGGCACTGACTAAGGCCCTGGGGTAACTGGCTTAATGTTCCTGACATCACCCTCTGTGTCTATCAGAGCTAAAAATGCAGGTACTATCAGAAGACTCAGGTGACCAGTGCTGAAGTCACCACTCAGTCCAGGAATCACACAATCAAAGGCTCTGCTGTGGGATTTAACACCCATCAGAGCACTCAGTAAAACGTATGTGAATAAGGTTGGGTCACCAAGGCCCAGACAAGAGCTACGATCTTCAGCATTGGCATTTTTAAAACCTTTTCACTGAAGTATAACACACATACAGAAAACGTACCTGTACCTATGCACCCTGAACGTAGAGCCTGATACATCTTCACATCGTTATTTTCACATTCTTGTTACTGGGATGAATAGCTCTGTGTATACTTTGAAAATAAACAAAAGCTAAGCACATTTGATTATCTATCATTAAAACGAAAAAAAAAATACCTAGAAGTATACATAGCTTTTGCCTTTTAGCGGAGGCTCATTCACAGTGAATGTCCAGTTTTTGGATCTGGGAAACCCCTGGAAGATACAGAAAAGGCAGCTAGCTTTTCTATTGTCTCTCACATTCTGTTTTCCTTCCAACTCTCTGTCAAAGTCACATACTTATTTATACTCTCTGCATATGTTCTTGGGATATTTCTATTTAGTAAGAAAGCAATATCAGTGAGCATCTCTGTTTTATTAAGTTTGTCAAACAACAGAATATCCGGTCTGTTGGCCAGAATTTGTTAATCTGTTATCACGGCTCCATCCCAATACAACTTGGAGAGGCTGTTTTCCAGCACATTCTTGGGTTCATACTTATAAATGGTGTTAATCCACTCGTTAACAGAGGACTAGTTGTTGATGTAAAATCTTAGTGCCATTTTCTGCAAGTTCTTACATTTATCAGGAAAACATCCTCTCCACCTTCCAGCTCCTCTGATGGGTTGATTTAGGATAGGAGCTGATCATTTCTTCCCAAGCTGCAGAAGCCTAGACTGTGAGACCTAGAGGAAGAAACTGAGGAGTAAGACTTCTTTTTTATGAGGACAGAGTGGGGAGAAAATTCCCTATATTTGCCCAACCAGAACCCTCTTGGACCTGATGTCTTTAAAGTATTGCTATGAAATTACATTAATTAAGTAGCCAAGATCCCAGATGGAGCCTGTCAGTGTCCGTGGTGAGGGTGTGGGTATATCTGGTGTGTCTGGCGATTGGAAGACTGGCTGACTCAGAACCAGACGGCTTAGGGACTTTTGCTTTAGCTGAAGGAGGAGGGAGTTATAGCATGATGTTCCCTGCAGAAGGGGATGTAGAGAGAAAAGGGAAAGAGACAGTGTCTATCTCCTGTCCCTTCTCCCCGCAAGGAGAAGATCTGACCCGGACAGTAGGTTTGCCATTAGCACAAGCTGCAATCTGGAAGAGACTCCCTGAGACCGTGGTAAAAGCAGGGACATTTCAGGGCTAGAGTGACAGAGGGTGACAAAGAGTTGCGGGGAGCAAGGACAGTCTGCTGACCTCTCTGTGGAGCCCTGAAGGCCTCACAGGTGCCTGCAGGACCTATATTCATAGGCAGCAGCAGACACAGCTGGGGATCTGAGGTAGCGCAGGGTCACTCGGAAGGTCACACTTGTGACAAGCTGCAGACCTGCACAAAGGCGTGGCAAGAGCCTGGAGACCTGAGTCACTTCTAGCAAATTGATTCCCATCAGAATTCTCTATCTGGGGAGACCCAGGGCAAATCAGATTAATTAAATAGCAATTGTATTAGTCTTTCTCAGTTTTGACAGAGTGCCCTGTTTCAGGTAGTTGACAATGTGGCCACGGTAAGTCCTGAAGTTCAGGAAGCACCTGCAGATACTTGCTTTTGTGAGCTAGCCTGAGACAACTGAGAAGTTCAACCATGTCAGGTTGTTCAGCTGAATATGAGTAGTGGCCATGGATTGAAGGCAGATAAATGCTATTTGTCTCCTGCCCCGCAACCCTTTGTTACACATAGAGCAAGTCTCTGGCAAAATTATGCCACACAGATATTTATTAGCACAAGGAATGAAAAAAGAATCGTGGAGACCCATTCTGAGAAGTTTAGGGAAGTCCCACTCTGTCTTGCACTCTGAATGAAAGGCTGGCTCTGTGGCCCACAAGTGGTGTCTGTGGCAGCCTGGCAGGCCTCCTCTAGTGGAGACTGGGCCAAAACTACTCCAGTTCCTTACAGACATAAGGGTGGTAGGGATCCCCCAAATCCCTCAAGCCAACCACTGATCTTCAATGCCATTTCTTTCACCAATGAGAGGTTGTTTCTAACATCTCGGATGCAAATCGCTGGACTGTCCAGGACACGTTTCGAGAATGATACTTGAAGCACTTCCTTTGGAGTGTGGGTTCCTGGTGAAAATCTTTCACCTTATAACTCATCACCCCTGAGGTATGGGTTCTGCTTAGGGTCTTTTAGATGCTAATTGCCATTCCTAGGATGTCCTTTACAGCAAAGGTGAACACACACCTCACATCCATGGTTGATTGTGAAGTATTTAAAGTAAACAATATGACATGCTGTGTGCACCTCCAGCAAGGGTGGCCCCTCATAGAAAATAAAACCATCGGTGCCCTCAGATCATTTCTAGAACATATAGCAAACATACATGATGAAACAATTTTAATATTTGTGCCATCCCTTATAGTTTATAAGATACTCTAACACAGAAGACTGTCTAATTCTCATTTAAAGATAAATAT
Source organism: Homo sapiens (assembly GCF_000001405.40). NCBI lineage: Eukaryota > Metazoa > Chordata > Mammalia > Primates > Hominidae > Homo > Homo sapiens. The sequence goes on from NC_000002.12 coordinate 104,916,171, forward strand.
AACTCATTTTAATAATAAAGAGCTCAAGATTTACAGAGCCTGAGAGCTTATGATTAGATAATCCATTAATTTATACATTATCTATCTAACTAGATTTATTGACAGCCTACTCTGTGCCAAACATTAGGATAGTTGCTTAGATGTAGTGATGAACAAGTGTATTTGTCATTTCTTGCTGGGTAAGAAATGAACCCAATGCTTAACAGATTATTATCTCATGGTTCCTGTGGTTCAGGGGTCTGGGTGTGGCTTACCTGCGTGCCTCTGATTCAAAATCTCTCATGAGGTTATAGTCAGGCTGTCAGCTGAGGCTCCATTTGTCTCAAAACACAACAAGGGCTGGAGAATCTGCTCTCAAGCTCACCTCTGTGGGCCTCTTTCCACAGGGCCGCCTTATGACATGGTGTTTGACGTCCCCCAGCAGGAGGTATCTAAGAGGTATACCCAAGATAGAAGCCACAACCTTTTCCTTAGTCTCACAAATAACCTCTGATTATCCCTCCCATATTCTAGCACAGCAAGTCAATAAAGTGGGTCCACACTCAAGGGGAGGGGATGGGAGTCCCAGGTAGCAAGGATGATCTGGGGCCATCTTAGAGGCTGCCTAACAGAGAGAGCAAATCCCACACTGCTGCGAAGGTTAATCTTATGGATCAACTTGACTGCACTAAGGGATGCCCAGATAGTTGGTAAAACACCATTTCTGAGTGTGTCTGAGTGTGATCCAAAAGAGATTAGCATTTGGATCAGTAGACTCAGTAAACAAGATCAGCTGTCACCAATGTGGGTGGGCACCATCCAATCTGCCGAAGGCCCAGAAAGAATAAAAAGGCAGCAGAAAGATGATTTCACTCCCTCTCTTCTTGAACAGAGACATCCATCTTCTTCTGCCCTCAGTCACCGGTGCTCCTGGTTCTCAGGCCTTCAGGCTCAAACCAGAACTCACACCACTGGCTCCCCTGGTTGGGATGAGACCCACACCACTAGCTTTCCTAGGCCAGCTTGCAGATGGCAGCTTGTGGGACTTTTCAGCCTCCATAATTGCATAAGCCAGTGTGCAATCTAAATCTCCTCTATAATCTATGCATAGATACGTATGGCTCTATTTATCCTATGGGTTTCGTTTCTTTGGAGAACCCTGACTAATACAACTGCCCTGCTCCCAAGAGCTTGAGATGACTATTGTCATAGAGACAACAACTATGACTATAGAGACAATTGTTAATCAAATAATTCCACTATGTTGACTTAGAATTGATTGATATGCTATAGAGGCAAGGCATAGGATGCTACAAGGGTGTATAAGAGAGGGGCCTGAGCAAGTCTGAAGGTAACAGGTTCTTCTGAAGAAGTGATGTTTGAATGAAATTTGGGGGGATGGGAGTTTGAGAAGGGGGCAGCAGGGAAGAGGAAGTGGGCACAGTCTGTGTAAAGGCTCCAAAGTGCAAAGAAACTTTGCTTTGTAAGGAAGTGAGGGAAGGTCAGTGTCTTCATGAAACTATCCACTTGGTTTCAGGTAACATAGAAGTCATTTTCTCTCCAGGAACACTACATGAATAAGCAGCCCAGTACTAGGGTGGTGATTCAGCTCCACCACCAGAATCCAGGATTCTTCTCTCTTATCCCTCCCTTGCTGGGGGGTTGCCCTTTTCCTCAGAGTTTACATCAGCTGCCCCCACATCTATGTTCTAAGCAGCAGAGTTGGGGAATGGGGCAAGAGAAGGAAGAAAGATATATTATCCTCTTCCTTTCAGTATATGACCTAGAAGGGCACCCTAGCCTGAGTTTAGTTACATAACCAAAGCTAGCTGCAAGACAACCTGGAAATATGGTCTTTATTCTGGGCATCCATGTATCTAGATAAACCTGAAGATTCTGTTCTGATTATAGCATAAGAATAACTTCTGCTATGGCTTGTTCCTTTGTCCCTGCAAAGAGCTGTGCATATCTCCCTTTGGAACACACTCACTGACTTCCCAAGTCGTAAAATCCTAAGCCTACATCTGGATACTGCATCTGGTTCAAAGTCTCAGGATTTCTTGCCAGTAAAATTCTTTCAATTTGGAATTCCCTCCAGCAGGCCCGGATGTAGAATTCTATTCTGGTGACCCGTGAACTAAGAGACAAATTATTTATCCTTGACATACCTATAATACAATGGAAGAGAAGGAATCAAGTGTTATGGGTTGAATTGGGTCTCCCCAAAATTCATATGTTCAAGTTCTAACCTTCAGTCACTCAGAACGTGACCTTATTTGGAAATAGAGTCATTGCAGCTGTAATGAGTTAAGATGAGGCCATACTGGTGGAGGGTGGGCCCTAATGCAAGGTGACTGGTGTCCTTATAACATGAGGACACCTGAACACAGGTACACACAGGGAGAACATCATGTGAACAAGGAAGACAGACATGGTGTGATGCCTCTACAAACCAGGGAGCACCCAAGGTCACCAGCAAACCACCAGAAGCCAGGAGAGAGGCCTGGAGCAGATTCTCTCTCGCAGTCTCTGAAGGAGCCAATCCTGCCAACACCTGGATCTCAGGCTTCCAGCTCCAGAACTGGGAGATGACACTAAGCCACATAGTTTGTGGCACTTTGTTAGGGTAGCCCTACTAGGCTAATACATAGAGTAATTATAACACTCTCCTGCCCCGATCTGCAAAGAGAAAGATGAAAAATTTCCAGTGACCGCTCACTCATGAAAACACTTTTTTTTTTTTTTTGAGATGGAGTTTCAAGCCCAGGCTGGAGTGCAATGGCATGATCTCAGCTCACCCCAACCTCCGCTTCCCAGGTTCAAGCAATTCTCCTGCCTCAGCCTCCCGAGTAGCTGGGATTACAGGCATGCGCCACCACGCCCAGCTAATTTTGTATTTTTAGTAGAGATGGGGTTTCTCTATGTTGGTCAGGCTGGTCTTGAACTCCTGACCTCAGGTGATCCGCCCACCTCGGCCTCCCAAAGTGCTGGGATTACAGGCGTGAGCCACCATGCCTGGTCCATGAAAACATTTTATGCTAGCTTCCTGCCTGTGGAGAACAGTATGTGCTGTGTGTGCATGCACATTAGATCATCTGGTAGCTCCACATCTTGCTCTCTGGGAGGAACTTCCCTGCACATTGTCTTCAGTGTTCCTGGACTTTGCCCTCTGGACTTAATCCATTCCTTCTGTGGCAGCATCTGAGATGAACACTGGTGAGTTTGTCCTTCTTGGCAGCTGTCCAGCTTTCAGAGCCCATTCCTGCCAGCGCCACTTCAGAGGCCCAGGAGTGGCTTTAGGGGTTGAATGTTCACAGGCTTGGGCAGGCCAAACATCCGACTTATTTGGCAATGTAATTGCCTCAAAAACTCAGTCACCTCCTGGCCCATCAATCCCATGTACAAGTAACTTCAGCCAATTAACCAAGTTTTTAAGCCTGCAGCTTCGGTTTTTTTATTTACTGGTCCTGTGTTCTATTTACTTCTCTTTCTCTCAACTGAATGATAGCATTTGGAGACTCCTGAAACAATAGGCTTCAGAAAGGAAGCCACACAATGTATTTGACACTGGACTACCATTTACCCTCTCCTCTTCTTCCCTTTCCCCTCGCCTCTTCTCCTCCCTTGTCTCCTTCCCTTCCCTTCCTTCCTCTCCCCTCCTCCTCTCCTCTTCCTCTTCCCCCTCCTCCTTTCTCTCTCTCTCTTTCTCTCTCATTGTCTGGCTTTGGAAAAATCACACACACACAGAGGCGGCTGAAAAGGACTTTGGATCACAAACTTATCTCTTCCTAAGCATGTAGCTTTATTTACAATGGCTTTATTTCGGGGCACAGGAACAGCTATTTATTTATTTATTCATTTATTTATTTTTTTATTATTATTTGAGATGGAGTCTTGCTCTGTTGCTCAGGCTGGAGTGCACTGGCGCAATCTCAGCCCACTGCAACCTCTACCTCCCGGGTTCAAGGGATTCTCCCGCCTCAGTCACCCGAGCACCTGGAATTACAGGCGCATGCCATCACGCCCAGCTAACTTTTGTATTTTTAGTAGAGATGGGGTCTCACCATGTTGGCCAGACTGGTGTTGAACTCCTGACCTCAGGTGATCCATCCGCCTCAGCCTCCCAAAGTACTGGGATTACAGGCGTGAGCCACCGTGCCCAGCCACAGCTGACTTTTTAAAGCAGTCTCTCAGTCAACCTAGATTTTATGTTACAGACATTGAGTTCTGCCCTTTGAAGCACAAAATCCCCTTCCATCCCTGCTTGCCAACTGACTATCTCCAATGTGAATTTATCTCTCCCTTTTAGGCCTTTTGCAAAAAGCAGCAAGAAGCAGGAAACACCCAACAGAATTTTAAATTGACCCGACCAATTTTCTGTAGAGCTAAGATGTGGTCAGTATGTGATCTGGCTCCCAGGTTATTGCAGAAGATGGTTTTACAAAGCATTTTACCATACCATAAAAAGGGGCCATTGCCTTCCAGCCTGCAATTTCTGAGTCTTTGAAACTGGCTTCCACCTTGAAGTCAATACCACATATTTTAGGCACTTCTAGTATCAGATTCTATTTTATTTGGGTATGCTATACATGTAGCTACATGTAGAAGGGCTCTAAAATAAATGTGACATAAATAGGCATTCATTCTCACTTATATAACTGTCCAACAGTAGGTGATCTGGAGCTGCTATGTAGCTCTGCGCCATTAAGTCATTTGCAGTTGTGTTACAATCTCTAAGGTGTTACTCTCAGCGCTATGATCCAAGAAGTCTCCCCCCACATTCATGTTCCAAGCAGCAGGATCAGGAAGATCCTGATCCACACCTCCTCCCTTTAAGGACTTTATTCAAACTTACATCCATCTTTTTTGCATACATCCTCTAATACTTAGTCCAGGGCCACACCTAGTTGCTAGGGAGGATGAGAAATATCTTTACTCTATGAGATAGGGGCTCAGCTTGAGAGGTCTAGTACTAAGAGAAAGAAGAGGACCACACAATGGGAGCAACCAGCTGTGTATCTGGCCAGCAGTGACAGAGGCGAGGAGGCCATGATATGAGGCTAGTGGTGTACGCTTCATAGCCAGCGTCCAAACTGGATGCTCATGTGCATGAAGGGGGTGCTGTCAAAAATCACACCAGGATTAGACAGAATTCTGGGAAGATGGCAGAGTAGGAAGCCCCAGGAATCTGTCTCCCCACCTAGACAATAATTGCACTGGCAGAATCTGTCTAATGTAACTATTTTGAAACTCTGGAGTACATTTGAAGTCTTGCAATTTCCTGGGGGAAAGCTTGGACAGTAAATTATGGCTAGTTTTGATCAATTTCCACCCATAACATCTACTCAGATCCCAGTCCCAAGTCAGGCAGCCATACATGGGTTCCTGGAGCAGCTTGCCAGCAGCATCAAAGATCCAGGGTGGGCAAAAAGGACCCTTCTCCTCTGACTGAAGCAACTTCCAGGGGATTTAATAGGCCAGTGCCCTCCTCTCACTTCATTTTTCTCATCTTTCCTATTTTGGGAGCCAAGCATTTTAACTCTAGGACATTCAGAAGTGACCACATAGCCAGGCATGGTGGCTCATGCCTGTAATCCCAGCACTCTGGGAAGCTGAGGCAGGTAGATCACGAGGTCAGGAGTTTGACGCCAGCCTGGCCAATATGGTGAAACCCTGTCTCTACTAAAAAATACAAAAATTAGCCAGACATGGTGGCACACACCTGTAGTCCCAGCTACTCAGGAGGCTGAGGCAGGAGAATCACTGGAACCCAGGAGATGGAGGTTGCAGTGAGCTGAGATCACTCCACTGCACTCCAGCCTGGGCAAAAGAATGAGACTCCATCTCAAAGAATGAAAAATGACCACATATTCAGGAATTTAGAAAGTCACAGTGCATGCTCAAGGATAGATGCAGGCCTTTAAAAATACCTGAAAAGACTTTAAGTTTATACCTCATGCTAATCCCTGGTACAGAGACAGCTTACAACAATCACAGGACAAAAACAAAAATAGAAATCAACAAACTCTGAGGAATGGGGAGAATCTGATTACCGGAGTTACTACATTATTAGATTCCAATGTCTTGTTTTCAATTTAATAAAAAATCATAAGGCATACAAAGAAACAGGAAAGTATGGTTCATTCAAAAACAAAAAATAAACCAACAGAAGCCATCCTGGAGAAAGACCAGATGACAGCCTTGCTAGACAAAGACTTTAAAACAATTTTCTTGAAGATGCTCAAAAAAAAAAAAAAAAAAAAGAAAGGAAATCATGTAAAAAGTCAAGAAAATGATGTATGAGCATGATGAAAATATCAATAGAAGAAACCAAAAAGACATTCTGGAGCTGAAAATGCAATAACTAAAATGAAAAATTTACTAGAGGAATTTGAAGGTAGATTTGAGCAGGCGGAAGAAAAAAATCAGTTAACTTGAAGTTAAGACGAATGAAATTATTGAGCTTTAAAAACACAGAGAAAAGTAAACACAGCCTCAGAGACCCATGGGACACTACCAAGTGGGCCAACATACATTGTGGACATTGTGGGAGTTCCAAAAGGAGAAAAGAGAGAGACTGGGGCAAAGAAATTTTTGGAAGAAATAATGACCAAAAACTTTCCAAATTTTATGGAAGACATAAACATCCAAGTAGCTCAATGAACTCCAAGTAGGATGAACTCAATGAGACCCACATCAAGACATATTATAATCAGCTTGACAAAGGCCAAAGACAGAGATAATCTTGAAAGCTACAAGAGAGAAGTAAGGGATCTTCAATAAAATTACCAACAGGTTTCTCATCAGAAATTCTGGAGGCCAGAAGGCAACATGCTGATATATTCAAAGTGCTGAAAGGAAAAAAAACTGTCAAGCAAGAATCCTATATCTAGCAAAACTATTCTTTAAAAGTGAGGACTAAATTAAGACATTCTCAGGTAAACAAGAGCTTAAGGAATTCATTACCACTAGGCCTACCCTGAAAGAACAGCTGAAAGGAGTCCTTAAAGTTGAAATGAAAGGACACTAGAGAGTAACATGAAGCTCTATGATGAAATAAAGAACTCAGTAAAAGTAAATGCATGGGAATTTATAAAAGCTGGTATTACTGTAACTTTGGTTTGTAACTCCAATTTTGTTTTCTACATAATGTAAGACATTAATGCATTTTAAAAATTATTTGTTTGGTTTTGGCCATGCAATATTTAAACATGTAAGTTTGTAACACCAATACCTGAAAGGGGGTAGGGAAGGGACTGTATAGGAGCAGAGTTGTTTTTTAATTGAAATTAAGCTGCTATTAATTCAAATCAGAGTGTTATAACTTTGGGATGTTAAGGGTAATCTTCATGGTAGTTGCGAAAAATATATAGCTGTAGAGTATACACAAAAGGAAATGAGAAGGGAATTTAAACATTTTACTACAAAAAAATCAATTAACACAAAATAGTAATGCAAGAAATGAAGTACAAAAAAGCTATAAGGCATATAGAAAACACATAGCAAAATGACACAAGTAAGTTTCTCCTCATCAATAATTATTTTAAGTGTAAATACTTCAAAATCTCCAATCAAAAGACAAAGATTGGGAGAATCTATTTTTTAAGAAATACATTATTCAACTATGCACAAGAGACTCACTTTAGCTCCAGGGACCAAATAGGTTGAAAGTGAAAGGACGAGAAGATATTCTATACAAATAGTAACCAGAAGAGAGCAGCAGTGGTTATAAACAAGGTAGTCACAAAAAGACAAATACTGTACGGTTCCATTTATATGAGGTGCATAGAGTAGTCAAATTCTGAGAGACAAAGTAGAATGTTGCTTGCCAGTGGTTGGGGAGAGAGAAGAAGGGGGAGTTAGTGTTTAACGGATACAGAGTTTCAGTTTTGCAGGGTAAGAGTTTTAGAGATGGACGATAGTGATAATTGCACAACATAAATGTACTTAATACCACTGAACTATGCACCTAAAAATGGAAAAGATGGTAAATTTCATGTTATGTGTATTTTACAATGATTTTTAAAAGCATGTTATTTAAAAAATCACTCCAGAACAAGAGGCACAAGCCAGACAGTCCCAGGCAAGCCTGGACACAGACCACCTATGGAAAGATGATGTTACAGATTTTGGATTTTTAGAAAGATGAGAAGCTACTGACCAATTCTAACTAAGGAAGGGCATGATTATATTTGAGTTGTTTAGAAAAGCATTTTGACTGCTATGCAGAATCGATGGGGAGGGGAGTAAACTCAAACCCCAGTCTTCTGTCTGCAAAGACAATTGGTTATTTAAGGTTATGGAAAGACCCATTTGCCCCCAACCAGCCCTCCCTTGGCCTACTCTGATGCTTTTGTTCTCATTACTTCGGATTAACTGTAAGATTTGTCTCCAAGAAGCATCACATTTCACAACTTTGGACTCATATTAACAGGATTTTCAACACTATGAAATAATTGTCGATCCTTCTCCTTTATAATCTCTAACCAAAATGGTTTTCGAATTCATTTTCCACTTTCAACTCTTCATAACCTCATCTCTTCATCTTTTGATCTATTCATCCTCTCTTTTTCTGAATTGATTTTATTCTTTGTCTGAAATCTTGCATCTCACTTTTGAACTTCATGTAACTGATGAAATGCAACCTCTGCTGGCTACACTATTCACTAGTTCCATTAACCAGTCCCAAAATTTTGCCAGTTTGTAAAAGGTGATTAGTTTCACTTCTTCCTTTGTGAATCTAGGGTATTATGAAAATGGCCCTGTGTATCTATTAATTGCATCAGATTTCAAAAATAAAGTAGGGAGCATTATAGACATGGCAATTTTTATACTGCAAAGATATCTTAATCCAGCAACTTTCAGTGCAATTTAAAGAATTTGCAATTTAGGTTCTATCATGAAGCCCTTTAATGAGAAATTAATCCTTGGAAAAGTGAATATTCACTCCTAGCCTACCTTGGAGCAATCTAGGGTTTTCTTCTCTGGGTTTTGTACTCATGCCTACAAGTGATTAGAGGAACTGGGAAATCAACTTCTCCACCAGCAATCCTGTCTTCACTTTGGTGGGCATTGTTGGCTATCATTTGTGCCTGGGAAAGGTAGCCCTTTATGTCTTTATTAGAGAACACTTTGTTGATTTGTATGTCAGATCATCACATGAGAATAAGATGAGAAGGGTATTAAATGGGAATGAACATAAAATTGATTCTAGGTTTGGAAGGATGTGCTTGTGAGATTGGAAATAAGAGAAGAAAGAAAATGAGTAGGTAAGAAATTCCCAAGGTTTCCTCTTACTCTCTTGACTCATGTCCCTTAAGTTAAACCTCAGATAGAAGCAAAAGAGGGTGGGGAGGAGGCCACTGGACCAACTAAACAGAATCTCTCTGGATTATGCAGAACTGGGTGCTACAACTGTGAGCCATGCAGAACCTAGAGAAGGTGTAAGAGAAACATCCTCGAATGCAAAAAATAAATTTAAAACTGTAAAAAGTAAGACCACAAATGAAAGCTAAATGATTAGTGATTATTTAGCCTAGAATAAAGGCTAAGGAGAAAAATCTATTAATTTTCCTCAGAGTTAGATAGAAGAATAGCTTCTGGCTGAACTTTCACTCTGACAGAATCAGAGAAAATTAGCCCAGCCATAAAGAACTTAGACTCTGAGGCAAAATTTCCCACTGGGGAGTTATTTTGTGTGTTTGTTTAAGAAACCATTTTGGACGAGTGTCTTAGTCAGTTCATGTTGCTGTAACAAAATACCATAAACTGGGTTGTGTTAACAGCAAATGTTTATTTCTTACAGTTCTGGAGATTTGGAAGTCCAAGATCAAGGTGCTGCCGGATTTGGTTCTTGTCTGGGTTCATAGAAGATTGTCCTCACCATAGGCATGGGCAAAGACTTCATGACAAAAACACAAAAAGCAATTGCAACAAAAGCCAAAATTGACAAATGGGATCTAATTAAACTAAAGAGCTTCTGCACAGCAAAAGAAACTCTCATTGGAGTAAACAGGCAACCTACAGAATGGGAGAAAATTTTTGCCATCTATCTATCTGACAAAGGGCTAATATCCAGAATCTACAAAGAACTTCAACAAATTTACAAGAAAAAAACAAACAACCCCATCAAAAAGTGGGTGAAGGATATGAACAGACACTTCCTAAAAGAAGACATTTATGTGGCCAATAAACATATGAAAAAAAGCTCATCACCATTGATCATTAGAGAAATGCAAATCAAAACCACAATGAGATACCATCTCATGCCAGTTAGAATAGTGATGATTAAAAAGTCAAGAAACAACAGCTGCTTTAGAGGATGTGGATAAACAGGAACACTTTTACACTGTTGGTGGGAGTGTAAATTAGTTCAACCATTGTGGAAGACAGTATGGCAATTCCTCAAGGATCTAGAACCAGAAATACCATTTGACCCAGCAATCCCATTATACCCAAAGGATTATAAATCATTCTGCTATAAAGACACATGCAAATGTATGTTTATTGCAGCACTGTTCACAATAGCAAAGACTTGGAACCAACCCAAATGCCCATCAATGATAGACTAGATAAAGAAAATGTGGCACATATATACCATCGAATACTATGCAGCCATAAAAAAGGATGAGTTCATGTTGTTTGCAGGGACATGGATGAAGCTGGAAACCGTCATTCTCAGCAAACTAACACAAGAACAGAAAACTAAACACTGCATGTTCTCACTCATAAGTGGGAGTTGAACAATGAGAACACATGGACATAGGGACATAGGGAGGGGAACATCACACACTGGGGCCTGTCAGGGGGTGAGGGGCTAGGGGAGGGATAGCATTAGAAGAAACACCTAATGTAGATGATGGGTGGATGGGCGCAACAAACCACCATGGTGTGTGTATACCTATGTAACAAACCTGCACATTCAGTACATGTATCCCAGAACTTAAAATATATGTATATGTATATATAGTCCTCACTGTGCCCTAACATGGTGGGAAAGGCAAGGGATCTCTCTGGCATCTCTTTTATAAGGGCACTAATCCCACTCATGAGGGCTCTGCCTTCAAACCCTAACCACCTCTTAATACCATCATTTTGGGCATTACAATTTCAACACATGGCTTTTGGGGCACACAGACATCCAGTTCATAACAACGAGGTCAGGAATGCTTCCTTTTGGTGGCTTTTTAAAGACACACAAAAACAAAGATGAGAAGGCAGGGAGAAAGAAAAGGGAAAGGGGGTAGAAAGGGGGTAGAGAGAGAAAAGGATGGGGATTTAACTCTCTGATAAATACTAACATGTTTACAATTTTTAAAAAATGGGTCAGGTGCAGTGGCTCATGCCTCTAATCCCAGCACTTTGAGAGGTCAAGGCATTAGAATTGCTTGAGCCAAAGAGTTCGAGATCACGCTGGGCAACACAGTGAGGCATCTATCTCTAGAAAATTTTTTTAAAATTAGTCAGGTGCTGCGGCATGCACCTGTAAGTCTGAAAGCTGGGGCGGGGGATTGTTCAAGCCCAAGAGTTTAAGGCTGCAGTGAATTATAATTGTGCCACTCTACTCTAGCCTGAGTGACAGAGTGAGACCTTGTCTCAAAAAAAAAAAAAAAAAAAAAAAAAAATGTCGAGTTGACAGGACAAGGAGTTAGGGGAGGGAAAGAAGAGCCAAGATTTGCTAACTTTCCCTCACCCTACCCTAGGCCAGAGCTTATATAGTATTCACAACACACTTAGAAGTGGAGAAATGAAAGTAGACATTATGATCCTCCTTTAAAAAAGATATCCAGTGAGGAAATTGCTGCACAAAGAAATTAAGGAACTTCCCTAAGGGCACACAGATCACTGATGAACAGACCAATGTTCAACATCAGGTCTGACTGAGCCCAAATCCTATGTGCTGCCATGCCTGCATTAGGGCATACTGGGGTCAGCAGGGGCCTCTGGGGCCCAGAATTGCTCAGTGGCCCAGGATGTCCCAGTGATACCTTAAGGTGGGCTGTGGGCTCCTCTGTACTTCCTGCACCGCTCCTTCACTTTCACATGCAGTCTTTCAGAATCCTGTACTCCGCTAGTTAATTTAAACATGTATTTCCACTTATGAGTTAATGATTATTGTAATAGGTGATGTAAAAGATATATCCGTGCACAGTAAAAATTCAAATGCTACAGAAAAATATAAAATATAAAAGTTTTCCTTCCTTCTCCCGACCCTCCCTTTCCACAGAGGAAATCACTATTAAGAGTTTTGTGTGCGCCCTTCTTGAAAAATATCCTAAGCGTATAACCAGGTCCATACTTAGTACGTCTAGCTGGGTAGAGGAACTTGTCTTTATTAATTATGAATAAAACAGGAATCTTAATGCCCCTCTTACATTAGAATCTTTCTGATGTTATTATTTTTGAAATGTGTTTCAGGAAAACCTTATGCTTTAACATCTTAAATCAAAGAAGTGATCTATATAATGAGAATTTGAGGCATCATAATAATGAGAAAATAATTTATTTTTGGGTTTTTATTATTTTTTAAATGCAACTAATTAATGATGATTCTTTTGGATTGGGCGATGTAAAAACTTCTTTATATATATCTTTTTTTTTTTTTTTTTTTTTTTTTTTTTTTTTTTTGAGACGGAGTCTCGCTCTGTTGCCAGGCTGAAGTGCAGTGGCGCAATCTCGGCTCACTGCAACCTCTGCCTCCCGGGTTCACGCCATTCTCCTGCTTCAGCCTCCCGAATAGCTGGGACTACAGGAGCCCGCCACCATGCCCGGCTAATTTTTTGTATTTTTAGTAGAGACGGGGTTTCACCATGTTAGATAGATTCTCACTCTGTTGCCCAGGCTGGAGTGCAGTGGCACGATCTCAGCATCTCAGCTCACTGCTTCCTCCGCCTCCCAGGTTCAAGCGATTCTCCTGCCTCAGCCTCTCAAGTAGCTGAGACTAGAGGCGGGCACCACCATGCCTGGCTAATTTTCATATTTTTAGCGGAGACGGGGTTTCTCCATGTTGGCCAGGCTGGTCTTGAACTCCTGATCTCCAGTGAGCCACCCACCTTGGCCTCCAATGTGCTGGGATCACCAGTGTGAGCCACCATGCCCAGCTGAAGATAAGTCTCTTAAAGTCTTACAGCAATACAGGATTAAACCAAGAATTGAACCCGGGCAGCAGGATCTCTGATCCTGCGTTTCTAACCGCAACACAGATCACCATTCATTGCAGAGATGTTACATTCACCTTGGAAAAAAGGAGAAAGGAAGAAAAATGACACTCAGATTATTCACCCAAATAAAAATCATATTCACGTTTACTCTGATCTGTTTCCTACAGTGATTTTCTTTCCAGAACTCCAGATCTAGACATAGACCCCTGTAACTGATGTAGTTGCCTGGTTTATGAACGGATTCACAATAGGTAAGGAATTCAGCCACTGTTGGTTACACAGCAAATAATAAACTCACCTGAAAAAAGGACTGTTGTGAAAAATCCAGAACTTGCTCTGTCACTAAGTGAAGGAGGGGACTGAGTGATGTGTTTGCTCGTGCCTCTCTCCCTAGGGCCAGTTCCAGCAGGGACCTCAAAATGGGGACAGTGGATGAGCCAGTCAGTAATCAGACCTTTGGGAGCTGGGATGGCAGCTGGATGCCAGTGGCCAAGCCTCTTTCAGCCCCTGACAGCCAGCTGACCCTGCCTCGCTCCCAAAAGACAAAGAGTGCTCAGTGACACAGTCACCAACCACCGCCATCTCCTGTTTTGGGTTGACTAAGAACCACAGGGCTGCTGTACAGCTAAATACAATACAGTCATATTTTGAGTCCTTACCAAGAAAAAAATACTTGCTATACCTGAGCATCACTGTGTTTATAATTGAATCGCTATTCAGGTGGGGGTGGCAGCTACAGAAATTGATTTACAAACTGTCTAGTTGGGTCTAGGTATTTGTTTTTATTAATTATGAAGAAAACAGGAATCTTAATATCACTCTTACATTAGAGTCTTACGGATGTTACTGTTTTTTAAATGGGTTTAAGGAAAACTGACTGAAAAGCGTGAGTTGCAAATAGCATCCTGAGAAAGCTGCTAAGCAATACATATTTCATACCACTCCTGAACGTGGTCAGATATAAATAGCAGCACAGACATTTAAGAGCTATTCTCGCTGAAAAAAAAAGTAATTAATTGGTGTTATACACAAAGGACTTCTCTATTTATTTATTTATTTTTTGGGTAACCAGCACAGCTTTAATTACAAGTAATTGTTCTCAAAATCAGGCGGCTCGTAAGTTCTGCATTCTAGACAGTGATTATGCATCAATACCCTAATCTATCACTTTCATTATTTTAGTCATTTGGGTATGTAAATTTGTATTTAATTCAGACAACAAACTCCGCAGTTCCCACTGTTACTTTCTATGAACATACGCCTTTTTAAGGCACAATAGGGTTGGATGATTTAGATTTACATTCATTTACTTTTACCTAGGAAAATAATGGTACATTCTTGTGGGTTTTGCTGACTTCTAGGTAAATACAGTGGCATTAGATGTACAAGGAGGCAGGTTTGTCCCTAGTTAATTAGGAATTTTAGTAGGTGTCTCTATAGAACTGCATTTGTTACTGCATCATAATGAGCTGGAGTTTGCAGAAATTCCCCTGCAGAAATCTCCTAGTGAAGTAATAGGAGCCTATTCTTTACCTCATTCAGAATTTGTACATTTCTTCTCTCCCAAGTTAGACACTAGAAATGTCGCCTGGATTACTCAACTCCAGTACACTGTTTACTCTCTGCCCGGGCTTTGTATATCTGAGTAAATTTCAAAACAAAACTCAAAAGCCTTCCCAGGACATCTGATGGGAACACATTCGCTCCACCTTGTCTTTGTGGATGACACCACTATTTTGTTTCTGATCTCCTATACAGGCAGATATTCTTTATTTCCTATGAAATATGTGTCCTTGAATGCAAAACAAATGGTGAATGCCCTTTGTTCCCTTTCTAACTTGCTTTTTGGTGTGATGGTCTAATTGCTATGCCACAGAGTTTTAAATGAAAAAAAATTTGAATTAAAAATTCTATCCATACTTACAAAAAACAAAACAATAAAATGATACCTTTGGTAATCACTTATTTGGTTGAATAACTCTCATAAAACACACACACCCACAAATGTTTTAAACTACTCAAATATAAAATTTTGTGGAGGAAGAGATTATTTACAATGTTAGAAAACAATGCCATTGCCAGAGACATTTTCTTGGAGTTGCAAGGTAGGTCAGATAAGGGAAAATACATTATATGATGATGAACTATGCTTTATGCATTTCAAAACCTATTTAAAATTAGAAATTTTGAACAAAATTTACATTTAAACGTAC
The DNA here is from genome assembly GCF_000001405.40 of Homo sapiens. NCBI lineage: Eukaryota > Metazoa > Chordata > Mammalia > Primates > Hominidae > Homo > Homo sapiens. Next base: position 104,931,523 of record NC_000002.12, read on the forward strand.
TCATTTTCTTTAATTATTTTTTAATAAGCTTCCTTGTTAAATGGGAATAATATAGATTTCAACTAGCTCAGAATTATACTGCGTTGTCTACTCTATCCTATCTTTCTTTTTCAGGAATAGTTTTTTATAGACTTCATGGGAATTTTGCTTAAGCGCAAAACTGCCAGTAATTTTTTATTGAGGGACTTCTGCGATTATATTCAGTGAGTATAGGACTCATGATGAAAAGACAAAAAAATAAGAAAAAGAAGATGATGACGATAAAGGATATGTTCCTGTCCTCCTGAAGGAATTAACAATCCACACAATAACACATGCACACACAATAACACACGCACAAGCACACAGAGCATTTGTTCCAGATAAGTACACGAATATAATGAAACTGAAAAACTAAGATTTTTACAAGCCAAAGGCCCTCTGAAGGTGGAAGGACTAGATTTAAATTGAGATTAATTTGGAGAGTTTCTAGAAATATCACAAAATGAATAATATAGATTGTCATCAGATAAACAAGTCCCAAGTTCGATTAAATATTTTTTTATTTCACGAAGGTTATTTAACCAATGCTTACCAGTGCTTTACTAGAGTTTTTACTTAAATGAAAACCTTAGAAAGTTGTTTGGGAATGAGGTGGAAGAGACTCCGGGGTGACCAAATGACAAGTAAAGTTCCCAGGCCAGAATGAACAAATCTAGAGTGAAAGGAAGCTGAGATTGGTGAGAAGACACAGTGTCTGTCTGAACTAGTGAAAAACAAGGCAGGAAGTTCCAGGAGGAGAAGGGATGGAGGAGGGAGAAACTTGTAAAAGCAGGCAAAATTGTTCCAACAGGCCATAGGGCACTAGGTGTCTCACTGGCATTTTCACGTTGTGATTACTCTCACTTTCCGTATCTTCTTGCTTACATCACTTAAATCCAGTCACCCAAACCAAAGATTAGTAAAAACGAGACATATGATAATATTCGTAATAGGTGTTTAGCCTCTGCCTACAGAACCTCAAAGCACATTAATTTAGAGGAAAATAAGCAGTTATCTGACCTATTTGGGGGTGGGGAACCCAAGCACTTATTTACATTTTTAATTTCCATTCCCCTATTAGTGAATGTTAGTGTGTTGTCTAAAACTGCAGTAATCCAGGGATGATCTGTCTTTGAACACGTAGGGAACCATTAAGGGAAACAGCACCTCAGTTATGGGAGTGGGACGAACTGACTGTGTTTCCAATTATTTACATGAACAAGATGCTGAACACGACCATATCTCCAACTGATGTGCTTTTATGTGTAGCTTTTCTGTCACTGGTGTTGCACATAGTGGGTACTAGGTAAATGATTTTGAATTAAAGAGATTAATTTGCCTGTTTCCAATATGATTTTTACCATATGAAAAAAAAAAAAACCCCAGCGACATATTCGTGAACCGAGAGAGTTAGCGGGTGAAAGCTTTACCTTTCAAGACACACGGAGAGCTAAGGCAGAGGTTTTGATTGCACGGGCAGCCCTAGATCAGCCCTTAGCTGGACTAAACACACTTCTAGATATTGTGTTTGTTGCTATTTTGTTGTAAGCAATAGGAGGTCCCTTTGGTAAAAGTTAAAGAATGATAAGCAAAACAATAAATAGATGTTGTTGGGACTTGGAGAATCTAATTTACAAGTACCCACTTAACGTCTTCAACTACAAAATTCAGATATCCACATTTATTTTTGTGATGGCCATGCAAAATTGTGTGGAAGGAGAGATGATTTACAATGTCAGAAAACAAGGCTGTTGCTAGAGAAATTTTCTTGGGGTTTCAAGATAGGTCACATACTATTTTGGCCATGAAACAAACAACATGTGTAAGGCCTGGCAGACATGAAGCAGCTGAAATAACGATCATACCAAACATAAATGAAAATGATCCATCCTGCATACACAACTCCAGTGCTTTCGGAGAAATGAGGGTTTTACTTCTTTTCCAGATACTGGAAAGTTTTACCCTAATAAAGTCCAGGGACAGTGTGATAGTGAATCAGGAGAATCGGGGGATGGAGGAATCCAAGTCCCCACACTCTCAGTGGATTTTGGGAAGAAAATTCAAGGGGAACTGTGGTGCTGTAAAAGGCATGCTGTCTTTCTGAAGAGGCGTTGTTTTGATCATTCCATAGGTAGACGCTGCTTTGAGCAATACTTTTGGCATTACTTTGAGTCATGCCAAACACGCTTTGCGTCCTTGATTAAGAATTGCACCTATACGCACATTCCTGGGCATGGTCTATTCTGTTTCATTATCATGCACCCAGCAACAGACCAACTTCTGCTGAACAATTAGGAGGTCATAGACCTGATCAGGAAGACTGTGGCCCCCACCTTCAGGAAGCTTACAATCTACTTAGAAACATAACACACACATACACCCATAAAGAGATCATAAACCTTAGCAGGGCGTGGCATGCCGCTGCAGTACCAGCTACTTGGGAGGCCAAGGCGGGGGGACAGCTTGAACCCAGGTGTTCGAGGCTGCTGCACTCTGCATCCAACCTGGGCAACAGAGTGAGACCCTGTCTCTAAAAAAGCTAACAATAAATAATAATAATTTTATAAAACTAAAAAGAGACCATAAACTCACTTTTTAGGTGGCCAAGCATTTCCACATAAGCAATGGAGAGTGCTCACTTTTCAGAGAGCCTCCAGAAAAGGGAGAAAGCTTTCTTCAGACCCAGTGGCCAGGGCGCTTTGCAATAGTGCAGAATTCGACACACAAAGATCGCTATTATGGATGGACAAGGAGCAGCCAAGAGAAGAAAAGGGGCAGATCTGTGACTCAAGCGGCAGCCCTTGCAATGGGAATAATCCTCATCCTCCACGTGTGCTGTGTGTGATACAGGCTTCCCAGGAAGGGCACTGGCCAAGCCCCTGCTCCACCGAAGGGGACTGTAGCTTTGCTTCACTCTCCCTCCCTGCTTAATCACTGGCTCAAATGACAATCCACCCCAGGCAAACGATGCTCACACAGAGAAAAGGACAGCCAGGCCAAGAACAAATTTTTCTAAAAGTTTTCTTTTTTTTTTTCTACATCATCTCAACCTTCCTTTTTAAATAAATGGACTTGCAAATAGACCTAACTTCAAAGATCTCATTGGTCGGCCTTCACTGTTTAGGTATCCGGGCAGGGAACCATTCAAGATATTATTCTTATTTTTTTTAAATCTTCTTTTTCTATCTTTTCAATAGCATCTGGATGATCTTTCCATTCTTGTCTAGTGATAATGAAATCATTAAAAAATGTACCAGAACCCTTTTTGCTTATCTCTGTGCCATTTGGAACATATGTGAATAAATTGAACACCACTTGCTCATTGATTTTCTTTTTTTTCCCTCTTCCCTTGTTTTTAAAAGCCCTGTTTGAAATCAGTCACTGAAAGAGCCGGCATCTGAGTTAACGTCTGACGATGGGAGGTACGCCTCAACGTCGTCCACATGGCCTTGATCTAGACAGCGAGCCACAACCTACCCAGCACATTTTTGTGGCTTAAGTGACCTGGAGTGTGGGGCTTTTCTTTGTTGAAGATTTTCTTTAGGTTTCAAGTTGATTTTACACCATTAATGGTAATTCCAGCTTGGGCATTGCACAAATAGTTCATAGATGACCATGGGGAATCCAGCTATGCTGTTGGGACTAGTAGCTAAACTCTCTTAGAGGGCTTGAGTTAGATCAAAGAGCATCTTTCCTTTTCTTGGAAACCACATTGCCAGCCTTTTCCAGCCAAAGGCCTGCTTGTGTTAAGTGAGAAGAGAGAGACTCATCCCAAAAGAGGCCGCCCTGGAAGAGATGGGAAAGACTTTTCCAGGAGGAGTTTGCTGAAAAGCATAAAAGGGTCAGCCTCCAGCTTATCACTCAAAAAAGTTTTTAAAGCCTTTTTAAGGAAACAATTTTAACCCAGCTGCACTTATTGATCAGTGATTTGATTTTGCTTTGTTAGGAGAGACTCGTAATCTGCTTTTAAATGTCTTTTGTTCCTGGCCTTCTTTGATAGCAAGTTCTGCCTAAGGCTACTTCTCAAAACTCATCACTGGAGTTTTCAAGTCTATGTGAATAACTAGAATAATTTTAATCTGGACCTTTCTTTATCCCCTACTACCTACCCACTCCTGTTTGCAGCAGAAAATGTTAGGTGGTTGTAAGAATTTTTTTTTAATCAAATTCTGCCAAACCTAAAACCTATAAAAAGGAATCATTTGTCCTTTCAAAGAGAGAGAGAAAGCAAGGGAGCAAACTCTATTTACAAAGTCAGAGGGAGTCAATCTGATTTTATTTTCTCAAGTACATTCAGTGAGTCTCAAAAAGAATGCAAGTTCTCAAGTCTTGCCTCTGCTTGGTATCAGCCACAATTAAAAAATAAATTTCAGAAATATATCTGAATCACTGTAGAACATAATTTTTTGGCAACAGATAGGTTTTATAGAAGCTTTTTTACTTGTAACTTTCAAAGGTTGTAATCATGCCTTTCATGACATTGTGAACTATAATTTTGTCTTGCTAAGCTACCATAAAAGAGTGGTTGTTTTATTATTATAGTATGCACTAAAAAACAGAACCTATGCTCCTCATTTAACTAATCACTTCTGATATTTCTCAAGCTAATGGGAACCAAAAACACTTATATCTGTTCGTAGATGTTCTTAATGAAATGCACACTTTTTTTATAATGTAAGCATATGCGTACACATGTATGAACTTTACAAGTTTATTTAGCAAGAAAACAAATATGTGAGGAAAACAGACTTTTCAAGTGGTGCTTTAATTGTCGTTCATGCATGTTCTACAGATCATTACTGAATGTTTACAGGTCCTGCACGGAATGACTTTACACCAAAGAAGAGGGTAACGTATCCTCACTGTTTATAAAAATGACAGCCCCTAATGGACCATATTAGCTTTAACACAAACTATTAAATCTCCTTCATTACTTTTTTCTGTGTTCTGTTTCGGCATCTCGTTAGCTCTGAGAAGTGGGTGCAAACTCCTAAGGAAACATGAGCACACATTGAGACGATTAGAGATCATGGTTATTAGATAAGCCTCAGGAGGATGTTTTTCTTGGGTTGCTCACAAGCATTTTGAAAGAGTCGTGTTCCAGGTTTGAGATCCCATGTTTCTTCCTCTTAAACTATGAGCAGCTGTAGCACATGACCTACTTCTGTAGGGCCCTGTAATGATTTCCTTCCTTCGGAGGCTTCAGGAGTTCTCCTTCTGCCCTGTGAAAAAAAGGGACAAATATTTTAATCCAAGCAAAATGCTGAAGCAGGTTTTGTTGGTTTCAGGGAAGAAACTCAATACAGCTCCAGCACTGAATGTAGGCCTCAAATTGGAACCATCTGGGCCGCAGAAGGGCTCAGAGACCTTTGGGGAAGGCAGAGACAGTCTTGCCTAGGGCCGCAGCCCATACACCTGCAGAGATGGCCGACGTCTGGGCAGGCCCTGGGCTCACCCAGGAACTGGAGCCGCTCCTACTGCGGCAAAGCCCTCACTGCCTGGCATTGCAGTTGGGAATACCATGTAAGAAAAGGTGACAACTGCTTAGAGGACGACTTCCTACATGAATATTCCTCACAGTGAAAGGAAGGCCTCATGATTCTTTGGAACACATTTGACACAAATCAGACATAATTTCCTAACTTTTGCTTTTTAGCAGACAGGGAGGAAAGTCCTCAGGAAACCATAGGTGGGTATACACAATATTTTTAGAGTTATCCTTAACTAGGGGAGAAAAAAAAGGCTTTTACAACCCAATGCATGCCTGTTTGGTGTTCTCCGTATTCTTTTCTTGTTTAAAAGGTTGTTATTATTATCTTTGACTAGTTTTCCTTTTTAACTAAGTGAAAGTGCTTTTCAAGTGTTTTCTAATATCTAAACATAGAAGACTAGGCCAGCTGCTGGAAGGTTATTTTAAATAAAGTATTTTTTAAAATTTTATATTGCAAACTTTCCATGGGTGAGGGATGAGAGTATCAACCCATTTCCAAATATAAAGGGCGAGGACTTTTGCTCAAAGATTAGAAATCTTATCATGTGATTTTAAAACCAGTGCAGAATATGTTTTCTGGAAAGAAAGTGGGACATAAAGAGCAGATAGAAATTGTACAAAAGTTGTGCATTTAATAAGTATATTTTCCAAATATTAGTTGATGAGGAATATATCATTTTCAATTTGGGTTTTAAATTATTTACTGTGGTTAGAAGTGCAATGTGGCCATAATAGAATCCTAAAGAATATGACCAAACTTGACATCCTGAGAGTGGAAGCCCCATGACAATCTCAACACCAAGGTCAGAGGATGATTTATTGAGAAAGGATCAGTCCCTGGAAAAGGTGACAATTCAGAAAAAAATAGAGGTGCTTGAAATTTTGAGCTTAAATTCCTAGAAGTGTGAATTTATCTGGTTTCTTCTAACTAATCTTTTTCAATAAGCCAGTGGACCACAGTTTTTTGCTTATTGTAAGTACATTTATTTGTTTATTATAATTAAATCTATTGACTGATGGAAATTACACAGTGAAGACATATATTATATGTATGATTAAAATGTTTAATATTTTTTAAAGTTAAGAATTGTCAGCAAGAATATATTTTTTTAAATTCCTGAATGGAAAATAAGTCCAAAAAATAGTATTTGGACTGAAGGCTCACAGAATATCTCTCATTTTTAAAAGTTCTAAGGATGTATCTGTTGCAAGGTTTCCCAGCACATTCTTAGGGGTGACATGACTGTACGGTGTTTCGGTTCTGAGCTGTTCTCACATGCACACTTCATCACAAGCCAACTGGGAGGGGTGCGGGAGGGTTGTGTGCGTTGGGCTTACTTTTTTTTGCCCTGTTCCAAATTTATATGCATGAATCTAAATTTTTAACCAAATCTTTGTTCTCTTTCCTCTTGAGGCTGCTTCACACTCCTGCCTACGCACCCAGCTGCACCCAGATAGCTCTTCCTCCCTCCCCACCCTGACAGCCTGCACCGCTGCTCAGCTACAGGGTGAGACTTAATGGAGCTGAGCAGAGCATTTCCTAGCGAGCTTCCTGCAGAGCAGTCAGCCAAGACTGGGAAAGGCCCACCACCAAACACCAGGAGCCAGGGGAAAATCAGAGGGCCAGCCCGCTGCAGGGGCAGCCTCCAGAAAGCGTCTTGCTGTCATTTAAGGGTATTAGTTTGATACCTTTAGGAAGGCTTTGGGTTTCTCTAAAACATGGCCACTGTCTCATTCATATAGCTCTGTGAGGATGCCTATATTCAGTATCTGGGCTAAGCTGACCCACCAACTCCATTGAGTTGCGAATTTCTAGCATGAATGCCTAGCCTCAGAAAAGTAAGAAATTCTGCTGTGTGTCTTCATATGTATTTTTATTTTTACTTTATTACTACTGTTATTATTTTTAGAGACAGTGCCTTGTTCTGTTGCCCCAGCTGGAGTCCTGTGGCAATATCCTAGCTCACTGCAGCCTCAAACTCCTGGGCTCAGGTGATTCTCCCGCCTCAGCCTCCTGAGTAGCTAGGACTACAGGTGTACCACCGTGCCTGGCTGATTTTTCATTATTTTAGAGATAGGGATCTCATTACGTTGGCTAGGCTGGACTCAAACGCCTGGTCCCAAGCGGTCCTCCTGCCTTGGCCTCCAAAAGTGCTGGGGCTACAGGCATGAGCCACTGCACCCACCCTCCCTGAGTATATTTTTAAATACAGGGTTTCATATCTTCAACATAGCCCCTAAATTAAAGCAATGATTATAACAATCGCACAGCAACTAAAGCCAGTGTTCTGATGGTTTTATTTGAAAAGCACCATTCTCTACAAATGGAAGCTGATCAATAAAAAATATACATATATTTGAGAGAAAAGCCCACCCTGTCCTCAGGAAAAGCAACCCGTAGAGAGTGGGCAATTTCAGATTGATTTATGAACTGGGAAAGTATTTCTGATTTTGTTTTAATTTTTTCTTTGGCCAAACTGGTCAGGAGGTGATGAAGACTGACTTCCCAGCCCTTTGCTGCCAAATCTTAACTGCCTGAAAACTTACAGAAATGCTTGATTAAAACTAGAATAAAAATCTCCAGTTGCCTTCAGCAAACCACAGCACAAGGGTGGGAAAACCAGTGCCAGGTTGCAGTTTAAGTATAGTCACTTGGCGCCTGCTGAAAGTACTGCTCCCTTCCTGTTTAATAATTAATTCAACTTTAAAGCCCCAAGGATCTGGACTCAGCACCAGTTTCACAAAGCAGTACAGAAACAAAATGCTTCCAGAACTGGAGGGGGGGATAGAGGAAGAAAGAATCTAACATTTCAAGAAACATCACCACATGGGGCCGGCAAGCAGGGGGTGGGGTTTGGAGGTGGAAAGATCCAGGGTGGAGAAATTCAAAATAAAATAAATACACACAAAAGCAAGGTTATTCACGGCCACTGGCACTAGGACTGGGAGCGGCATGGCGAGCCGGAAGTCATCCATTTGGGAGGCAGGCTGGTGCCTGCAGGCTAGTGGGGCCGAGAGGGTAATGGGCTCAGTCTCTGGAAAAGGAGACCCAGCCTTGCTCTTCAGCAGTGGCCTCTGCTCATTAGTCAGAGCATCGTGCTGGAAAAGGCATCCAAGGTGGGCAGTCATCCTTGCTTTCGCGCTCCTCTCCCTCCACCCCACCCCACCCGCACAATTCACCCTCCAGGGGAAGGGCCGGAGAATGCCCGATGTGAGGGCGAAAAACAAGCAAGTTCCCAGGCTTAAATATTCAGTTACAGAAGTTAACACCCAACATAGCAGCAGATAACTGCAAAAATGTGTCCCCGCATCCAGTGGGGCACCTGCACTGTGCTTTGTGGTTTTTCTAAGTCGTTTGCTTTCTCTAAGCTGGTGAGTCCAGCCAGAAAGGTGATGCACTGCAGATGCTGAAAACAGGCAGAAGCTGCTTAAAAGCTTATCAAATCTCGTATCGCACACAAGATAGGAGGGGGAATGTGTCCAGAACGACTGCAGCAGGCCCACCTCCAACCTCACAATTCAATATGAAACCACATGGACTATTCTTCTGTACTCCAGGAAACCTAAGTATCCCAAAGCATTGCCAAGAGATGGTCTCACCAGAAATGAACAGATTAATTAAACAAAACGAAGGCCCGAGTGGCCAAGGGAAAGAGGAAAGCTATTTAACCCAAATTGTATTTACTTTTTGCTTATTTTTATTATTATAAAGAGTCATGGGATAGAACACTCACACATATCCCCTGAGATTCCAGTTGGGTATTTTGAAATCGACATTCACATAATTAACTGGTTGAGTTGGACAAATAATGACCTGAATATTTTCCGTAATCCTTAAAAATGGATGTTTTTATTACTCTGCAATTGTTAAAACTATATGAATTTTCTTTATATTTTACTTCATACATACATTAGTTATAAAACATTTAAAGTACATTTACTTTGTATGTTTCCCTCCACTGCAGATTGATGGTGTTGCCTTAAAACTGTAACAGCTGTATTTTAAAAATAGGATTTTGTATTCCTCTTGACTGAGTTCTTAAAACTATGCCAAATTCAAGTTTGAAACTAGTTTCCAGTTATTAAACAATTTCAAAACCAGAAGGTCAATATGTTTTTCTCTATTTTTGAGGTAGTGAATGTCTAGCTGCTGCTTTTTATTTTTCAATTTCAAGTTTGGTTTCAAGCTCATGCCCCTGTTTTCTTACAAAGCTCATAGTCCCAGACAGTGAATCCTTCCTCACAGTAACATCTTCCTTTGTGATGAGAATAATTATCTATCAGCGTATCTTTTTAAAATAATAAATTTGGGTATTTCTAGGAGGCAGTGCGTTGTCATGGAAACACCGTTGGACTATGAACCAAGCCAGCCTCTGGGCTGGTCCAGCACTAGCTGTACATCCTGGCAAGTTACAAACCCAAGAACACACCCCTGGGTGTCAGTGTGTACCGCTGCTAAAGGAGGAGTTCTCAGTGCTTCTCTCCCTGCACTGTGTCTGCAGGGAACCCCTTTTCAGGGTTGGGAAAGGAAGACTCACACACACACAGCCCACTCTAAATCGATCCAGACTATGATAAGTGCTGAAATAGAACCATGAATTAAATGAACCAGAAGATTTATAAGGCCTGCCCAGCTCCACAGATCTCTGATTCCATGTGAATCATGGATTCACCAACTGGGTTATGCCCAGTCACTGGCCTCACTCACTCAATGCTCGCCGTGTCCTGCTCACTCCTGTCCAGCCTGGCCTTTTTCATACAATCCACGGGGAATTGGCGCTAGTAGGTAGTAGGTAATTTGGAAGATTAGATTAAATAATTTGGAATATACCCATGGATATACATGAGCCCTAAAAAAGGGAAAAGGTGTGGCCCCATGATGAAAGAGTGGAAATCAAGCTTAACTCTTGGGTAATCAGCGTATGTGTAGGGCAAGTGTATTCTATTCAAGATTTACCCACAAGAGGCAAAAATACTGTGTCAGAAGTTAGCAGATAAAACAGGAATATGAAGAAAATGGCACAACTTTTTTTTCTACCTTTTTGTGATCCTCCCTCCTCATGGTTTGAAATATTTTGTGCTAGTTGTCAAGTGTGGGCCTTATAGGCTGATGGGACAGGGGTCCTCACCTCAGTTTTCTCATCTGAAAAATGGGGATTTCAACGTCAGAAGGTTGCTTTGATGATTATCTGAATTAATATATGTAAATCTCTTGGTAGAATACACGGAATTTACCAAGTTGTAAGTTGATGTCAGCCATTATTATTGAGTTAGGAGAGCTATGTTTTTTGTTATGTTTTGTTTTTGTTTTTGTTTTTGTTTTTTGAGACAGAGTCTCACTCTGTTGGCCAGGCTAGAGTGCAGTGGCATGATCGTGGCTCACTACAACCTCTGTCTCCTAGGCTCAAGCAATTCTCCTGCCCCAGCCTCCTGAGTAGCTGGGATTACAGGCATGCACCACCACACCTGGCTAATTTTTGTATTTTTAGTAGAGATGGTCTTGAACTCCTGACCTGAGGTAATCCTCCCACCTCAGCCTCCCAAAGTGTTGGGATTACAGGTGTGAGCCACCGCGCCTGGCCTAGGAGAGCTATGTTTAACCAAAGAGCTAGTGACTAATAATACATAACTAGTATTACCATACTGAAATTTTTTGCCTCTATATGCATTTGCTAGGGCTGCCATGACAAAGTGCCACAGGCTGAGTGGCTTAAACAACAGAGATTTATTTCCTCACAATTCTGGAGGCTCCGAGTCAGAGATCAAGGTGTGGGCAGGGTTGATTTCCTCTGAGGCCCCTCTCCTTGGCTTGTAGATGCCACCTTCTCCCTATGTCCTCACATGGTCTTCCCTCTGTGCATGTCTGTGCCCTAATCTCTTTTTATGAGGACAACAGTCACATTGGATTAGGGCCCACCCGGATGACAAGCTTTAACCTTAGCTTGTTAAAGACTGTATCCCCAAATATCATCACATTCTGAAGTACTGGGGTTTAGGACTTCAACAAGGGAATTTGGTGAAATACAATTCAGCTTATAACAGCCTCCACATCAGTAGAAGTACGGCTTCCATCAAGAGTTTTAAAATAACAGAAGTTCAGATTTGTATACATGGGTATATAAATGAAAGGGATCAACCTGGAGGACATTATTAAGTGAAATAAGCCAGGCACAGAAAGACAAATATTGCACGATCTCAGTCATAAGTGGAATCTTAAAAAGATGCCTTAATAGAAATAGAGAGTAGAATAGTGGTTATCAGAGCCTGGAGAGGGGAGGGGTAAGGGGAAACAAAAGAGGTTGATCAATAGATACAGAGTTGTAGTTAGGAAGGAAGAATAAATTCCAGTGTTCTATTACATAGTATGGTGACTATAGCAGATAGCAATGTTCTGTGTATTTCAAGATGGCTAGAAGAGAACATTTTGAATGTTATCGCTACAAAAAAAAAATGATAAATGTTTAAAGTGATGAATATGGTAATTACCCTGACTTAGTCATTTATACAATGTATATACATGCATTGAAACATCACACTGTATCCCATAAATATGTTCACTTATTATGTCAATTATACATAAAATGGAATTAATTTAAAAAGAAAAACAAATGGGGAAACAGGCTCTATCCAGACCCTTGAATACTTTCACTGAGATGAAGCTGCATGCTCTGTGACTGTTCCCCAGTACAGAATAGACACTCACAGTCTGTAGACAAGTTAAAATCAAGCAGAGGTGAGGGCTATTATAACACCAGTGGAATTGATCAGTGTAATACATTTGTTGACTCAACTCACGAAGCTTGGATAACATAAACCAACAGAAATCTGCTTGAACCTGGGATCATCCAGGCCAGAGAGGAGGCTGACGAGTTGCCTTGGTCCTTGGGTGACTTGACCTAGCACTGAACTCTGTGACCTATCAATCCATGAAAAGACAGAAGGAAATGTTTCACACACGCAGTTCCACACCGTGCCTCCATGAGCTCAGTGACAGACAGATTCGCCCTTTCCCACTGCCTTCCCTGGGAATCTTCTGTTAAATAGCTAGTCCATAGCTGCTTTTTCGCACCATGGCTATGTCACCCCTGCCCTTGTGCCAGAGCAGATTGAGTTAAATATTTAACTAATTTCTATTTTAAAATGTGTTAACTCAATAAGTTTAGATGCATATTCATGATCCTTTCAAATATTTTCTCTTTTGGGCTTCTTCAGACTCTCATTTTGGGATTTGCTAAATATGTCAGCCCAAGGAAGGTATTTGAGAAGCATATTTTCATTAGATATTGGTCACCACGTCGCTTGAGCATGAAGCTTTCAAAGAAAATTAAAGTGAAAGGAAAAAAAAGGTCTAGTATTGGTTATTAACTCCACCTCAGGGTGACTTCTCTTCAGGGGCAATTAAATAGCAGCTCTGGGCTGCTAAGTTTAGTGGCTTTACTTGTAGGTGGCACACTTTTCTTCAAGGACAACCGCCAGTCAGATCTGCTTTGATTTTTACCTGATGACACTGAGGCTGCCTCTGCAAAACCAGATTTTGTTTGAAATTGTAGATGTGACCACATCTATGTGCTCTGACCTTTCTTCTTTAAGAACCAAGTTTTGCATTACCAGGTAAATGCCCTTTCAGTGGAATTTTCATGGAACACTGGGGACATCCTGTGGTCAGCTTGGTTTAAGGCAGCCAGTCTTTTCAGCAACAATCTCAGGGAATAAAGAAATAAATGTCCCACATGAATCCTAGTTTATTTTGCAAGAACAAGAAGATAAAAGAAAAGAAAAGAGAAAAGAAATACACTCTTGTTCTTAATAATTTTTGCAATATAAACCTCTTTTTTTTTGAGCAACACAGTTTTTCAGTGAACGTGGATGGAGCAATTATTTTTGTCAAGGACAGATATTTTCCGGACACAAAATACAGCTTCAGCAGAATAGAGGAAGCATGACATCAGGCGTTGCTCCGCGATCATACCTGGTTCTTACCATCTGCTATTGTAAGTTCCATGTGCCTTGGCTCAACTTCTGGTCCTCGCAGGAGACAGCCTTCTGCAAAAAAGCACACAGCATGGCTTAAAGGGAAAATAGTGGGTATTTTGGCAGTTTTACACCACAGATAGTGTACCAGTGACACTAAATTGAAGTCATTTAGTTGTAAATGTGATATTACATTTGATGGTTTCCACTGGCAAAGCACTGAGCTGCCCACGTTAAACAGAGGCAAAGAAATGGAACTTGGAGAGCAAAGCCAGTCACCAGAGTAGCAGACCAAAGGGGCTTGTAAAAGCGTTTGTCGAGTCATTTAGAATCATAACTCAGCTCAACACACATGGTACCAGGAACAGCCAGCTCAGTTTCAGCAGTGGAAAGCAGGCAATGGAGTTTATGTTGTTCTTCTGTTTATTAAAGACGGATGGGAGCACTCGACAGAAAAATCAAACTTCTGGTCATGGCTCATTAATCCCTGTTGTATCTGTCAGGGGTATGTGTTTGGAGTTCCAACAAGCCTCTAGAAGGAAGATCACTGCTGAGCTTTGGTATTTTCTCTAATTTTGAATGGAAAGAGACGCCAATCACCTAGAAGGAGAAATAGAATACGAGGTTATTTTTAACTCACCTACTTTAGTGGTCATTAAACATAAATGAGTTGGTTTAAGACAAAAATGATTATGGTTAATAATTTTATTGCCAATTTTTGTCATAGGGCTTTCTTTAGGAGAAGCAGTAAGGTAAAGACAAATGTGGAATAAAGCCAGATATTATGGCTGTTCTAGGAAAAGCTCAGCTTTTGGAGATAGATCTTTGGGTGAACCTGTGCAGACTCTTTGTGTGTGCCTGTGGTCATTGAAGTGCAGCTTCTATCAAATTGTCTCCTGCCTCCTAAGCTGGAGATGGAGATAAGACCCTGGTCTACCCAGACTGTTTACAACAACCCAGAAGACAGGAGCAGCGCTATTCTGATCCCTGTGTTGGAAACAATGGTCCTTTGTGAGACGATGTATGTTTCAAAGCCTCCACTCTGTGCTGGCTGCACCAGCACAGCTGATCAAGACTACAGGACCAGGAGAAATGCGGGTTTTCCTGCTGACTCAGGGCTTGGGCTCTCAGATCCACATTTCTGAATCTCCCAAAGCCTCAGGTTTCTTGTGTGTAAAAGGTGCATCATGACACTCATTTAGCACACACCTCAGAGGATTTCTTAAGGATTAAATGAGGTAATGCACATAAGTAACTTAAACACAGTACGTGGCCCATAGGTGGAAGCACTTGTAAATGTTGTTCTTGGGGTTGCTATTAGTACTATCATCATCTCCATCATCAGAGACAGCGTTGTTTGCTCTAGGTTGTGATCCTCCACACAATAGCCTCAATCCGCTTGTCAGGACTATGTGGGAGGGACAAGGAGAGGTTGGAGAAGGGTCCTATCGGCTCAGCTTGGCCCACTGGTTGGGGCAATGATTGAATTAATACTTTTGGACTCCATTCTGGGCTACGTGCTGTGAATGATACAGTGAAGTTTTAAATGTCGTTTCTGCACTCAATAAAATTTAATCCATGTTAGTGGGTACAGGAAATTATCTGCGCAGGCAATCTTAGGTCAATAGCTTTCAAGTAAAGTAGGTGGAACCCCTAAAGGGAGACCAGTGCTGAGTGGATTGAGAATTCAGGAGTAAGCGGGGAATCAAACTAAGCACCTGCTACACATTTGGGTTCACCCCTGGAAGCTAAGAATTAGCTGGAGTCATGCCTCTGAGGGCTTCCAACAGGGTCCGGGCCTTCATTGCATATTCCTGTTTCTTTTCAAATTTGGTTTTTTGTTTAGAAACACACACCGTTGGCCAGGCGCAGTAGCTCACACCTGTAATCCCAGCACTTTGGGAGGCCGAGGCGGATCACGAGGTCAAGAGATCAAGACCATCCTGGCCAACATGGTGAAACCCCATCTCTATCAAAAATACAAAAATTAGCTGGGCATGGTGGCATGCACCTGTAGTCCCAGCTACTCGGGAGGCTGAGGCAGGAGAATCGCTTCAAACCAGGAGGAGGAGGTTGCAGTGAGCCGAGATCGCGCCACGGCACTCCAGCTTGGCGACAGAGCCAGACCTGTCTCAAAAAAAAAAAAAAAAAAAAGAGAAAGAAAGAAAGAAGAAAGAAAGAAAGAAAGAAAGAAAGAAAGAAAGAAAGAAAGAAAGAAAGAAAGAAAGAAAGAAAAACACACATAGCAGGTCCCTTCCTTTGCCTAATGGCCTAATGTTCCCTACCAATGAAGAACAGAGACCAAACCGTCTGAGCATGGAGCCAGTCTGAGATAGAAGTTAGAAGCTCTAAGAGCCTCTCCCATTATGGTCTTTTCTTCATCCATGACCTAAACTCCAAGGAAATCCTTCTAGAAATAACTTCTGAGCACCTACAATGATGTGTATAAATCATGACACCAGAACTTGCGGGAGATACCCAGAGAGCACGGCTTCTCCATGAGGGAGGCTACATTCCAGGCAGCAAGGAGCTGAGTGTACACAAATGAGTCTGATGTGAGGCAGGAAATGTTAGGTGACGTACATGAAAAACCAGCAAAACAGGACAGGTTTCAGAGCAGGAGAGAGTGCTTCTCTTGAGACCAGTCAGGAAAGCTGTCTGAATTAAGGGATTGTGTTTTAACTGGACCTCGGAAGACAGTAAAGAGCCGGACGTGTGATAGAAATGTTTACCAGAGGGCTTCCAAGTGGAGGAACCAGCAGAGCAGAGGCTTGGCACCACAACGCTATGTGTTAGTGCAAGAAGGAATATTAGGAAACCTACTGAAAGTCCACTGGAAATCTTTGCTTGGTGAGGACAAACAAATATATTTCAAGGAATGCTTTGTTTATTGCGTCCTGCTAATCTTGTCGGAACCATTTCATTCCACGTGAAGAGGTGAATCCACATTTGGGAATCTAATTGACCCTGTGGGTTTCATTTATGTTGTAACTCAAGCCTGATTACCCCCCCGCCAACCCCCCACCCCACTCCCACTCTGCCAGAGCCCGGGAACCTGAGGACTGTGAGAGCAGCAGCGTCCTAAAGGAGCATCTCAGCTGTGAGCCGTATTTTCAATTTTTATTAGCCTTTCTTATTTGCCCACAGCCTGATTTCTTTTAGGCTTGACACAATTTGCATGACTGAGTTAATCCAAGTGTGAAATGCAGTAGGGACCCGATTCAATGGATGGTCAGAAAGGCAGCATTATTAGGACATAAAAGAGATGGGGCAGGGTGATGCCCCCGCAACTCCAGGTGCAAACAGACTGCCACGGGGCACTTGCAGTGATCCGCAGGGCAGGACAGTGCTCCAAAAGAATGAACTGTGTGCACTCAGCACGGGAGATGCATTCTTCAAGGTCCTTCTCACAAAGTATTTATCAGGCCAGGCGCTGTATTTGAGATCGGCAAGCAGACTCCCTCCATGTGGCATCAAAATCTCTCAGCCTAAATCCTCTAACACTCCTCGTAAAAGAAGTATTTGCACATATATATTAAATATATATGTACTTTTTATTTTAAAATACTTTTAGACTTGCACAAGGGCCATACGGAGAATCCCCATTTACCCCCCACCCACCTTCCCATAATGTGAACATCTTACACTGCTATGGTACATTTGTCAAAACGTATAAATTAAAATCAATTCAGTACTATTAACTAAACTGCAGACTTCATTCAGATCTCCCCAGTTTTTTCACTGTCACTGTATTCATTTTGAGAGATGTCACCCTACTCATTTTGGTAATTATCTTTAACCAACAGAAAACATCATTATTGATTTCCTTTTGCAACCTGCTGGCCTTGCTCAACCTCTGGGCTCATCAGGTTACAAAACATGCTCCCCACACAGCCAAGAGGAGACTCAGAGCCCCCGTGTGCACTTCACATCCTTGCTGGAAATCTCTGGGGAGAACAGGCTTTCTGCTCAGCCCTTCCTGGAGCATTGAGAAGTCCCGAAAGCCAGCTCCAGGGAGCAGCTGTAAATTTGCTGGCAGTCAGTAGCTTCTGGCTGTGGAGTGCTAGCTGTCCTCAGATATCTTCATACTAAAAGAAAGACCTCCAAGGGTGGCACCAGTACATCACAGAGTGGGCATTTTGTGAGGATCTTACCAAGCAATGGTCCTTGCCTTTTTCTTTTTTATTCTAAACTCTTTTAATAGTAATAATATAATCCCCTAGATCTTCTTAGTAATTGTTTCAAGTAATTCCACTGTTTTTGGTAAAATTTTGTTTAAAAATTTTATGTCAATGTTACTAAAATGTTGTCTTAGAATTCATGTTTAATAATTCTAAATATTATTGTCTATAAAATATGCCTTATTTGCATCAAGAAATAAATGACATAGCACATTTTATTCCCAATAAAGTCATAAATTAGAAAAAAGAATATTTTGTAGACCAATTTGCTTTAAAATGATATATTGTCTCATCATTGGAGACTGAATGAATGTTAAAACATTACATTCAGTTTTGTTTAATGTATGTTAAAACAAACAACAATTACACATTACTATGTCAAATATACTAAAATACCTTTTTATTCCTTGATATAGAGAAATCTTGCATGTTGCCCTTAAAACATCGGCAGCTTTATTTTTATAACTTTTGCTTTTTTTGTTTCTCAATGACAAAATATGGGAGAAAGTTCATACTGATATTTGTTAAAACTTTGCAACTAACACATTGAGAGTATAGTTTTACATTTTAAATTCCCAATAAGTAATAAGCCACACTGGATACATTTAATCTTTTTCACACTGAATTTGGAAATACTGGTGACATGGCTGTGTGTAGATCAATGCAGACAGCTTTAAGAGGAATTTGCAGACGTTACCATTTTTATGCTCCTTATTAACTACTTTACACCAGTGTCCTTTGTGCTTCTGTCTCTAGCCAAATGGACAAATATAAGTTTAAACTTCACAATATGTAACTAAGAAGAAAAGTAAGTTAAACCGGCACACTGGTGAAAACCACCCAGCGGTGGGGCGTGTCTTGTCATTAGCTCATCCGTGCGACCCAAAACTTCCCCAGACACACTCACTAGATAACTATTGGAGGGCTCACAAACTGTTTAAGGGAAAAAATATTCCAAGAGTTATTTTATCTTTAGACCCACTGAACACTGTGGTATTTCAAATTCTAGACTGGGGGAAGGCCCGCAAAGAGGGACCTTTGGACACCAGGGAAGAAGGAAGGGAAGAAAAGGGAACAGGAGAGACACAAACTGGACGTTTAATCCCTCGTTGCTGATGCACCCTCGTCGATTTCATCACTTTTGACTCCTTTCACTCCTGTGCTTCCTGTGTCTGAACATCCTTGCCCTCTAGATTTACAAAGGTTTTCTACCAAAACTTTCTGACGGATCACTCCATGTGGGGAAGACAGGTGGCCAGGTGGGGTGGAAAAGAGAACAGAGCAAAACTGATGCACTCAGGGAAAAAAAATCATACCATAGTCTCTATTCCAGAAAGAAAAACTATAACCCACTTAGTCTGGTGGGACTAAGGCTGGAACATATGTGGGACTCTGGATGTGGAAGATTACATTATCCCTTGTGATAGATATAATGCTATAACAATAAGCAAGGTTACAGTTTGGCATTTTGATTTTGTTTGTTTTTTTCATTTAATTCACAGAGAAGCCTAGGTTCTTATCTCAGTTCTGCTTTCCTGTTTCCAAAGATACAAATGAATAGTTGATTTTCCAGGTCTTACTGTGATCAAATTGTTAAAAAACCATCTCGCATATTAGCATGTGATACAATTGTTGGCAAAAGGTACAATTTATCTTATAGGAGTTATCTTCAACTTCTGAGGAGAGGAAGTGAATGGAAAAACATGTTTCAGAACAAACTGTAAAAGGAAATTTTTATATTATGCACTGGCTAATTCTCAATAGATGGGTGACTTTGAAAGCTCAGGTCTGATGGTCAATTTCCATCTGGTATTGGAGCTGAGGTTGGGCTGTGGGTAGGAAGACAAGTCATGGGCTGTGTCGGGAGACTGATATGATCTGAACTTCCCAGCACTACCCTGGACTTTTCTATGACCTCCTTACTCCTCCATTACTTTAGGTTTGGGGCTAAACCATTTTTAAGAGAACACAGCCGTTGCCTGTTAGCAGAAAGAACTATTAATAGCAGCAAAGGCTGCACCCTTCGCAAATCGGTCAACTCATAAACTCAGACCTATAAATGCTATTAAAAATTAAAAATTAACAAGAAAGAAGAATATTTCTTTTCTTTTTCAAAAAACTACTTTTATTATGGAAATATAAAATATATACAAAAGTAGAAAGAGGTATAGGATGAGTCCCCATGTACCCATCTCTCAGCTTCAGTGATTGATTATCCATGTAAGGCCAGACATCTGCACCCCACTCACTCATCAGCCCCCCAACCTGCACTGGATTATTATCTTTTAATTGTGACAAAACCACATGTAACATAAAATGTAGCCTAGCAGTGATTTTCAAGTGTACAGGACAATATTGTCAACCACATGCACACTGCTGTGCAACAGATCGCAGAACCCTCCATCTTGTGTCTACACCCATGAACAACACCCCTCCCACCCCGCCTCCTCCCCTTAGCCCTGCAGTCGCATTCCACTCTCTGTTTATGAATTTGAGTCTTTGAGAAACACTCATATCAGTAGAATCTTGAAGGATTTGCCTTTTTGTGTCTGGCTTATTTCACTAAGCCAGTGTCTTCAAGGTTCATCCATGTAGCATGTGACAGAATTTCCTTCTTTTCAAAGGCTCAGTAACATCCCATTGCATGGAATATCACACACACACACACACACACACACACACACACACCATCATTTCTTTATCCATTCATCTGTGTATGGACATTTAGGGTGCTTCCACCTTTCAGCTATTATGAATAATGCTGCAATAAACACGGGTGTGCAAATATGTCTTTGTGTTCCTCCTCCCTTCGATTCTTTTAG
This sequence comes from Homo sapiens, assembly GCF_000001405.40. Lineage (NCBI taxonomy): Eukaryota > Metazoa > Chordata > Mammalia > Primates > Hominidae > Homo > Homo sapiens. The sequence continues at coordinate 104,952,009 of NC_000002.12, forward strand.
GCACATACTCAGAAGTGGGATTTCTGGATCATATGGTAATTCTATTTTTAATTTTTTTAATGTGTCAATAAAATTTTATTTACAAAAACAGGCAGCAACTCCTAACTTAAAATAGACAAAACAATTTTGAAGAAGAACAAAATTGGGTGACTTACACTAACTGATTTCCATATTTGTTATAAAGATGCAATAATCAAGACTGTGATACTGGTGTAATGATGGACATATAGGTCAGTGGAACAAAATAAAGAGTCCAGAAATAAACTCATACAAATGTGATCAACTAATTTTCAATGAAAGTGTCAGTGTGATTCAATGGCAGAAATTATAGAATATCGGCATGCAAAAAAAAAAAACCTCCAATAAACCTCGATCCTTACCTCACATGCATAAAAATAAACATGAGATGGAACATAGACCTAAATATAAGAACAAAAACGGCTGAGCACAGTGGTTCACACCTGTAATCCCAGCACTTTGGGAGCCTGAGGCAGGCAGATCACCTCAGGTTGGAAGTTTGAGACCAGCCTGGCCAATATGGTGAAACCCTAACTCTACTAAAAATACAAAACGTAGCCTGATGTGTGGTGCATGCCTGTAATCCCAGGTACTCGGGAAACTGAGGCAGGAGAATCACTTGAATCCAGGAGGTGGAGGTTGCAGTGAGCCGAGATCGCGCCACTGTACTCCAGCCTGGGTGCGACAGGGTGAGACTCTGTCTCAAAAAAAAAGAACCAAAAAAAAAAAAACCAAAAAACAAAAAACAAAAACAAAAACAAAAAGCAAAAGAACATAAACTATAACTTTCTAGAAGAAAAACACAAGAAAATATATCACTGAAGCATGATCCATAATAGAAAAAATTGATAAATTGTATTTCATCAAAATTAAAAATGTTCCTTTTCAAAAGACACAAGAAAATGAAAAGGTCAGCCATTGGTCAGGAGAAAATATTTGCAAAACATATGTCTGACCAACAATTCGTATCCAGAATATATAACTAACCCTTATAATTCAAATATAAGCGCTCTTTCAAATCAATAATAGAACAAAAAGAGAGGGGTGGTGGAAGATTTGGATAGACATTTGCTGAAGAAGATATGCAAATGGAAAATAAGTACATAAAAAGATGATCACATCATTAGTCATAAAGGAAATGCAAAGTAAAACCACAATGAGCTACCTGTAACACTCACTAGAATAGCTAATATTAAAAAGACTGACAATAGCAAGTGTTGTCAGGGATGTGAAGAAACTGGAACCCTCTTACATGGATGGTAGAAATGTAATATGATACAGCCACTTTGGAAAACTATTTGACAATATCTAAAAGATCGAATGTACGCTTACAATACAACCCATTAATTTTACTCCTAGGCATCTACCTAAAGAGAAGTGAAAATGTATGTGCACACAAAAATTTACACTCAAATGTTCACAGCAGCATTATTTATAATTGTAAAAACTAGAAATAATCCAAATGTCTATCAGCTGGGGAATAGATAAACAAAATGTGGTCTATCAATACAATTTTTTTCTATTATGGATCACACTTTGGTGATATATTTTCTTGTGTTTTTTTCTAGAAATTTATAGTTTTGTTCTTTTTTTAAATTATACTTTAAGTTCTAGGTTACATGTGCACAACATGCAGGTTTGTTACATAGGTATATATGTGCTATGTTGGTTTGCTGCACCCATTAACTCGTCATTTACATTAGGTATATCTCCTAATGCTATCCCTCCCCCTGCCCCCACCCCACGACAGGCCCCAGTGTGTGATGTTCCCTGCCCTGTGTCCAAATGTTCTCATTGTTCAATTCCCACCTATGGGTGAGAACATGTGGTGTTCGGTTTTCTGTCCTTGTGATAGTTTGCTCAGAATGATGGTTTCCAGCTGCATCTATGTCCCTGCAAAGGACATGAACTCATCCTTTGTTATGGCTGCATAGTATTCCACGGTGTATATGTGCCACATTTTCTTAATCCAGTCTATCATTCATGGACATCTGGGTTGGCTCCAAGTCTTTGCTATTGTGAATAGTGCCGCAATAAACATACGTGTGCATGTGTCTTTATAGCAGCATGATTTATAATCCTTTGGGTATACACCCAGTAATAGGAACACTGGGTCAAATGGTATTTCTAGTTCTAGATCCCTGAGGAATTGCCACACTATCTTCCACAATGGTTGAACTAGTTTACTCTCCCACCAACAGCGTAAAAGCGTTCCTACTTCTCCACATCCTCTCCAGCATCTGTTGTTTCCTGTCTTTTTAATTATTGCCATTCTAACTGGTGTGAGATGGTCTCATTGTGGTTTTGATTTGCGTTTTTCTGATGGCCAGTGATGATGAGCATTTTTTCATGTGTCTGTTGGCTGCATAAATGTCTTCTTTTGAGAAGTGTCTGTTCATATCCTTTGCCCACTTTTTGATGGGGTTGTTTATTTTTTTCTTGTAAATTTGTTTAAGTTTTTTGTAGACTCTGGATATTGGCCCTTTGTCAGATGGGTAGATTGCAAAAATTTTCTCCCATTCTGTAGGTTGCTTGTTCACTCTGATGGTAGTTTCTTTTGCTGTGCCGAAGCTCTTTAGTTTAATTAGATCCCATTTGTCTATTTTGGCATTTGTTGCCATTGCTTTTGGTGTTTTAGTCATGAAGTCCTTTCCCATGCCTATGTCCTGAATGGTATTGCCTAGGTTTTCTTCTAGGGTTTTAATGGTTCCAGGTCTAACATTTAAGTCTCTAATCCGTCTTGAATTAATTTTTGTGTAAGGTGTAAGGAAGGGATCCAGTTTCAGCTTTCTACATATGGCTAGCCAGTTTTCCCAGCACCATTTATTAAATAGGGGATCCTTTCCCCATTTCTTGTTTTTGTCAGGTTAGTCAAAGATCAAATGGTTGTAGATGTGTGGTGTTATTTTTGAGGCCTCTGTTCTGTTCCATTGGTCTATATATCTGTTTTGGCACCAGTACCATGCTGTTTTTGTTACTGTAGCCTTGTAGTATAGCTTGATGTCAGGTAGCATGCTGCCTCCAGCTTTGTTCTTTTTGCTTAGGATTGTCTTGGCAATGCAGGCTCTTTTTTTGTTCCATATGTACTTTAGTTTTTTCCAATTCTGTGAAGAAAGTCATTGGTAGATTGATGGGGATGGCATTGAATCTATAAATTACCTTGGGCAGTATGGCCATTTTCATGATATTGATTCTTCCTATCCGTGAGCATGGAATGTTCTCCCACTTGTTTGTGTCCTCTTTTATTTTGTTGAGCAGTGGTTTGTACTTCTCCTTGAAGAAGTCCTTCACATCCCTTGTAAGTTGGATTCCTAGGTATTTTATTCCCTTTGTAGCAATTGTGAATGGGAATTCACTCATGATTTAGCTCTCTGTTTGTCTGTTTTTTGTGTATAGGAATGCTTGTCAGTTTTGTACATTGATTTTGTATCCCGAGACTTTGCTGAAGTGGCTTATCAGCTTAAGGAGATTTTGGGCTGAGACGATGGGGTTTTCTAAATGTACAATCATGTCATCTGCAAACAGGGACAATTTGACTTCTTCTTTTCCTAATTGAATACTCTTTATTTCTTTCTCTTGCCTGATTGCCCTGGCCAGAACTTCCAACACTATGTTGAATAGGAGTGGTGAGAGAGGGCATCCCTGTCTTGTGCCAGTTTTCAAAGGGAATGCTTCCAGTTTTTGCCCATTCAGTATGATACTGGCTGTGGGTTTGTCATAAACAGCTCTTATTATTTTGAGATATGTTCCATTGATACCTAGTTTATTGAGAGTTTTTAGCATGAAGGGCTGTTGAATTTTGTCAAAGGCCTTTTCTGTATCTATTGAGATAATCACGTGGCTTTTGTTGTTGGTTCTGTTTATGTGATGGATTATGTTTATTGATTTGCATATGTTGAACCAGCCTTGCATCCCAGGGATGAAGCAGACTTGATTGTGGTGGATAAGTTTTTTGATGTGCTGCTGGATTCAGTTTGCCAGTATTTTACTGAGGATTTTCACATTGATGTTCATCAGGGATATCGGTCTAAAATTCTCTTTTTTTGTTGTGTCTCAGCCAGGCTTTGGTATCAGGATGATGCTGGCCTCATAAAATGAGTTAGGGAGGATTCTCTCTTTTTCTATTGATTGGAATAGTTTCAGAAGGAATGGTACCAGCTCCTCTTTGTACCTCTGGTAGAATTCGGCTATGAATCTGTCTGCTCCTGGACTTTTTTTTGGTTGGTAGGCTATTAATTATTGCCTCAATTTCAGAGCCTGTTATTGGTCTATTCAGAGATTCAACTTCTTCCTGATTTAGTCTTGGGAGGGTGTATGTGTTCAGGAATTTATCCATTTCTTCTAGGTTTTCTAGTTTATTTGCATAGAGGTGTTTATAGTATTCTCTGATGGTAGTTTGTATTTCTGTGGGATCGGTGGTGATATCCCCTTTATCATTTTTTATTACATCTAATTGATTCTTCTCTCTTTTCTTCTTTATTAGTCTTGCTAGCGGTCTATCAATTTTGTTGATCTTTTCAAAAAACCAGCTCCTGGATTCATTGATTTTTTGAAGGGTTTTTTTGTGTCTCTATCTCTTTTGTTCTGCTCTGATCTTAGTTATTTCTTGCCTTCTGCTAGCTTTTGAATGTATTTGCTCTTGCTTCTCTAATTCTTTTAATTGTGATGTTATGGTGTCAATTTTAGATCTTTCCTGCTTTCTCTTGTGGGCATTTAGTGCTATAAATTTCCCTCTACACACGCTTTAAATGTGTCCCAGAGATTCTGGTATGTTGTGTCTTTATTATTCTCATTGGTTTAAAAGAACATCTTTATTTCTGCATTCATTTCGTTATTTACACAGCAGTCATTCAGGAGCAGGTTGTTCAGTTTCCATGTAGTTGTGCAGTTTTGAGTGGGTTTCTTAATCCTGAGTTCTAATTTGATTGTACTGTGGTCTGAGAGACAGTTTGTTGTGATTTCTGTTCTTTCACATTTGCTGGGGAGTGCTTTACTTCCAACTATGTGGTCAATTTTGGAATAAATGTGATGTGGTGCTGAGAAGAATGTATATTCTGTTGATTTGGGGTGGAGAGTTCTCTAGATGTCTATTAGGTCTGCTTGGTGTAGAGCTGAGTTCAAGTCCTGGATATCCTTGTTAACCTTCTGTCTCACTGATCTGTCTAATATTGACAGGGGGGTGTTAAAGTCTCCCATTATTATTGTGTGGGAGTCTAAGTATCTTTGTAGGTCTCTAAGGACTTGCTTTATGAATCTGGGTGCTCCTGTATTGGGTGCATGTATATTTAGGACAGTTAGCTCTTCTTGTTGAATTGATCCCTTTACCATTATGTAATGGCCTTCTTTGTCTCTTTTGATCTTTGTTGGTTTAAAGTCTGTTTTATCAGAGACTAGGATTGCAACCCCTGCCTTTTTTTGCTTTCCATTTGATTGGTAGATCTTCCTCCATCCTTTATTTTGAGCCTATGTGTGTCTCTGCATGTGAGAGGGGTCTCCTGAATACAGCACACCGATAGGTCTTGACTCCTTATCCAATTTGCCAGTCTGCATCTTTTAATTGGGGCATTTAGCCCATTTACATTTAAGATTAATATTGTTATGTGTGAATTTGATCCTGTCATTATGATATTAGCTGGTTATTTTTGCCCGTTAGTTGATGCAGTTTCTTTCTCGCATCGGTGGTCTTTACAATTTGGTATGTTTTTGCAGTGGCTGGTAAGGGTTTTTCCTTTCCATGTTTAGTGCTTCCTTCAGGAGCTCTTGTAAGGCAGGCCTGGTGGTGACAAAATCTCTCAGCATTTGCTTGTCTGTAAAGGATTTTATTTCACCTTCACTTATGAAGCTTAGTTTGGCTGGATATGAAATTCTGGGTTGAAAATTCTTTTCTTTAAGAATGCTGAATATTGGCCCCCACTCTCTTCTGGCTTGTAGAGTTTCTGCTGAGAGATCCGCTGTTGCTCTGATGGGCTCCCCTTTGTGGGTAACCCAACCTTTCTCTCTGGATGCCCTTATCATTTTTTCCCTCATTTCAACCTTGGTGAATCTGACAATTATGTGCCTTGGGGTTGCTCTTCTCGAGGAGTATCTTTGTGGTGTTCTCTGTATTTCCTGAATTTGAATTCTGGCCTGCCTTGCTAGGTTGGGGAAGTTCTCCTGGATAATAACCTGAAGAGTGTTTTCCAACTTGGTTCCATTTTTCCTGTCACTTTCAGGTACACCAATCAAACATAGATTTGGTCTTTTCACATAGTCCCATATTTCTTGGAGGTTTTGTTCATTTCTTTTTACTCTTTTTTCTCTAAACTTGTCCTCTTGCTTTATTTCATTAATTTGATCTTCAATCACTGATACCCTTTCTTCCACTTGATCAAATCAACTATTGAAGCTTATGCATGCATCACATAGTTCTCGTGCCATGGTTTTCAGCTCCATCAGGTCATTTAATGTCTTCTCTACACTGTTCATTCTAGTTAGCCATTCGTGTAATCTTTTTTCAAGGTTTTTAGCTTCCTTGCAATGGGTTTGAACATCCTCCTTTAGCTTGGAGAAGTTTGTTATTACCGACTTTCTGAAGCCTACTTCTGTCAGCTCGTCAAAGTCATTCTCCATCCAGCTTTGTTCTGTTGCTGGTGAGAAGCTGTGATCCTTTGGAGGAGAAGAGGCACTCTGGTTTTTAGAATTTTCAGCTTTTCTGCTCTGGTTTCTCCCCATCTTCGTGGTTTTATCTACCTTTGGACTTTGATGTTGGTGACCTACAGATGGGGTATTGGTGTGGATGTCCTTTTTGTTGATGTTGATGCTATTCCTTTCTGCTTGTTAGTTTTCCTTCTAACAGTCAGGTCCCTCAACTGCAGGTCTGTTGGAGTTTGCTGGAGATCCACTCCAGACTCTGTTTTCTTGGGTATCACCAGCAGAGGCTGCAGAACAGCAAATATTGCTGCCTGATCCTTCCTCTGGAAGCTTTGTCCCAGAGGGGTATCCGCCTGTATGAGGTGTCAGTCGGCCCCTACTAGGAGGTGCCTCCCAGTTAGGCTACATGGGGTCAGAGACCCACTTGAGGAGGCAGTCTGTCCATTCTGCAAGCTCAAACACTGTGCTGGGAGAACCAATGCTCTCTTCAGAGCTGTAAGACAGGGACTTTTAAGTCTGCAGAAGTTTCTGCTGCCTTTTGTTCAGCTATGCCCTGCCCCCAGAGGTGGAGACTACAGAGGCAGCTGGCCTTGCTGAACTGCGGTGGGTTCCACCCAGTTCGAGCTTCCCCAGCCACTTTGTTTACTAACTCAAGCCTCAGCAATGGTGGATGCCCCTCCCCCTGCCAGGCTGCTGCCTTGCAGGTTGATTTCAGACTGCTGCGCTAGCAGTAAGCAAGGCTCCATGGGCATGGGATCCACCAAACCAGATGCAAGATATAATCTCCTGGTGTGCCATTTGCTAAGACCATTGGAAAAGCACAGTATTTGGGTGGGAGTGTCCCATGTTTCCAGATACCTTCTGTCACAGCTTCCCTTTGCTAGGAAAGGGAAATCCCCAGACCCCTTGCCCTTCCTGGGTGAGGCGATGCCCCGCCCTGCTTTGGCTCGCCCCCCATGGGCTGCACCCACTGTCCAACTAGTCCTAATGAGATGAAGCAGGTACCTTGGTTGGAAATGCAGAAATCACCCATCTTCTGTGTCAATCACGCTGGGAGCTGCAGACCAGAGCTGTTCATATTTGGCCATCTTGGAATGGAATCCTCTATTTTTAATTTCTGATGAAACTCGATGTTGTTTTCCACAGTGACTGCACCATTTTACATTCCCACCAACAGTACATGAGGATTCCAACTTCTCCACATCCTCTCCAACGTGTGTTATTTTCTGTTTTTTTTGTTTGTTTGTTTTAATAGTATCCATCCTAACAGACATAAAGTGATATATCATTGTGGTTTTGATTTACTTTTCCCTTTTAATTAATGATGTTGAACATGTCTTCCATATGCTTCTTGGCCATTTGTATATCTTCTTTGGAGAAATGCCCATTTAGGTTGTTTGCCCATTTTTAAATCAAGTTTTTGGTTGTTATTGGGTTGTCAGAGTTTTTAAAATATATTCCAATTATTATCCCCTTTTCAGATATGTGGTTGGCAAATATTTCCTCCCATTTGCAGGATGACTTTTCATGCTGCGGATTTTTTCCTTTGTTGAGCAGAAATTTTAAAGTTTGATGTAGTCCCATTTATTTTTGCTTCTGTTGCCTGTGTTTTTGATGTCATATTCATGAAATCATTGCCAAATCCAGTGTCATGAAGGTTTCCTCCTATGTTTTCTTCTAAGAATTTTATAGTTTCAGGTCTTATCTCTAGGTTTTTAATTAATTTCAAGTTAATTTTTGTGTATGGTATAAGAAAAGGGCCTAACTTTTTCCTTTTACATATGAATTTTCCTAACCAAATTTGTTAGAGAAATTATCCATTCCCCATTGTGTAGTCTTGGTATCTTTGTCAAGGATCATTTGACCATAGATGTGAAGGGAACATTTCTGGGCTCTCTATTCTGTTATATTGGTCTATATGTCTGTCTTTATGCCAGTACCATACTCTTTTGATTGGTGTAACTTTGTAATATGTTTTGAAAACAGTATGTATGAAGCCTCCAGCTTTGTTCTTCTTTCTCAAGATTATTATGGCTATTCAGGGTGTTTTGCAATTCCATTCAAATTTCAGGATTTTTTTTTTGTTTCTGCAAAAAGTGCCATTGGGATTTAGGTAGGGATTTTCTTTGCTTATGTTTATTCTTGTATGTTTTGCTCTTTTAAATGAAATTGCAAATGTAATTCTTTTCTCATTTTCCTTTTTGGATTGTTCATTGTTAGTGTATAGAAATACAACTAATTTTTGTGTGTTGATTTTGTATTTTGCAGCTTTTCTAAATTTGTTGATCTGTTCTAACAATTTTCGTATGTGTGTATGTGTGTAATCTTTAGAGTTTCTACAAATTTGATCACATCATCTGTGAAGAGAGGTAATTTTGCTTCTTTTTTTCACAATTTGGATGCCTTTTATTTCTTTTTCTTGCCTAATTGCTCTAGCTAAGACTTCTAGCACTATGTTGAATAGAAGTGGTGAGAGTAGGTATCTTTGCCTTGTTCCTAACCTTAAAGGAAAGTTTTCCATGTTTCACCATTGAGTATGATGTCAGCTTTAGTCTTTTCATATATAGTCTTTATTATATTTATATATTTCCTTCTATTCATACATAAGTGTTTTGTCATAAAACAGTGTTGAATTTTGCCAAATGCATTTTCTACATCAATTGAGATCATCATGTGATTTTTATTGTTCATTCTGTTAGTGTAGTATATTACATTGTTTGATTTGGGTATGTTGAACAATCCTTGCATACCAGGGATAAATCCCACATGGTTTTGATGTATAATCCTTTTAATGTGCTGTTAAATTTGGCTTGTAAATATTTTGTTGAGGATCTTGGCAACTATATTCATCAACAATACTGGTCTGCAGCTTTCTTTTCTTGTACTATTTCTGCCTAGCTTTGGTGTCAGGTAATGCTGGCCTCATAAAATGAGTTTAGTAGTGTTCTGTTCTCTTCAATGTTTTTGGAAAAATTTGAGAAGGATTGGTATGAATTTTTCTTTAAGTGTGTGTAGAATTCTCCAGTGAAACCATATGGTCCTCTGCTTTACTTTGTGGGGAGATATTTGATCAATGATTCAATCTTTGTACTAGTTATAGGTCTGTTCAGATTTACTATTACATCATGCTTCAGTCTTGGTCTGTTATATTTTTCTAGGAATTTATTCATTTCTTCTAGGTTATCCAGTTTTGTTGTCATATAATTGTTCATAGTAGTCTCTTACTATCATTTTATTTCTGCAGTATCAGTTGTAATGTCTCTTTCATTTCTGATTTAAATTGGTTGAGTCTTCTCTGTTTTTTCTTACTCTAGCTATGAGCTTGTCAATTTTGTTGATCTTCTCAAAAAACAAACTTTTTTAAATTTTCCTATTGTTATTCTATTCTCTATTTTATTTCTTTCTGCTCTTATCTTTATTATTTCATTTTTTCTTCTAATTTTGGATTTAATTTGTTTGTCTACTTCTAGCTTCTTGAGGTGTAAAGTTAGTTTGTTTATTTGCAAGCTTTGTTCTTTCTTAATGTAGGTGTTTACCACTATAAATTTTCCTGTTAGTACTGCTATTGCTGCATCCCACAAGTTTTAGTATGTTGTGTTTTTTTTTCTTTTTTGAGACGGAGTCTTGCTCTGTCACCCAGAGCTGGAGTGCAGTGGCGCGATCTCCGCTCACTGCAAGCTCTGTCTCCTGGGTTCACACCATTCTCCTGCCTCAGCCTCCCAAGTAGCTGGGACTACAGGCGCCTGCCACCACGCCCGGCTAATTTTTTGTATTTTTAGTAGAGGTAGGGTTTCACCGTGTTAGCCAGGATGGTCTGGATCTCCTGACCTTGTGATCTGCTCGCCTCGGCCTCCCAAAGAGCTGGGATTACAGGTATGACCCACCGCATCTGGCCTGTTGTCTTTTTATTTTTATTTGTTTCAAGATACTTCTAATCTCTCTTGTGATTTCTTATTTGACTCATTGGTTGTTCAAGAGTGTGTTGTTTAATTATCACATATTTGTGAGTTTTCCAGTTTTCCTTTTGCTATTGATTTTTAGTTTCATTCCATTGTGTTTGGAAAAGATACTTGATATGATTTCAGTATTTGTAAATTTCTTAAGGCTTGCTTTGTGACCAAACATGTGATCTATCTGGCAGAATGTCCTATGTGTGCTTGAGAAGAAAGTGTATTCTGGTTCTGGTGGGTGGAATGTCTGTATATGTTTGTTAGGTCCAATCGATCTACAATATTGTTCAAGTCCTCTGCTTCCTTATTGATCTTCTGTCTGGTTGATCTATCCATTATTGAAAGTATGGTATTGAAATGTATAATTATTGTGTTACTGTCTATTTTCTCAAGTCTGTCAATGTTTGCTTCATATATTTGGTTGCTCTGAAGTTAGTTGCATACATATTTGTGATTGCTATATCTTCGTGGAGAATTGACCGTTTTATCATTATATAATATTCTTCTTTGCCTCTTGTGACAAATTTTGACATAAAGTCTATTTTGCCTGATATAAATATGTTCACACTTGCTCTATTTTGGTTACTATTTGCATGGAAATATTTTTTCCACCTTTTCACTTCAGCCAGTGTGTATTCTTAAATGTAAAGTGAATCTCTGTAGAAAATACATAGTGGCATCTTATTTTTTTAATCCATTCAGCCACTCTATGTTTTTTGATTGGAGAACGTAATTCATTTACATATTTTTTTCTTTTGGAGATGGAGTCTCACTCTGTCTCCCAGGCTGGAGTGCAGTGGCGCCATCTTGGCTCACTGCAACCTCCACCTCCCGTGTTCAAGCAATTCTCCTGCCTCAACCTCCCAAGTAATTGAGACTACAGGCGAGTGCCACCACAGCCAGCTGATTTTTTGTATTTTTAGTAGAGATGAGGTTTCACCATGTTAGCCAGGATGGTCTCGATCTCCTGACCTCATGATCCGCCTGCCTCAGCCTCCCAAAATGCTGGGATTACAGGTGTGAGCTACCGCACCCGGCCAGTCCATTCACATTTAAAGTAATTATTGATCGGAATGACTTACTATTTCCATTTTGGCAATTGTCTTTTGTCTGTTTTGTAGTTATTTTGTCTTTTTTTTCTTCTCTTGCTGCTTTCGTTTGTGATTTGTTGATTTTTTTTATGCTTTGATTATTTTCTCGTTTTCTTTTGTGTATCTACCATATGTATTTCCTTTGTGATTACTATGGGGCCCACAAAAAACATCTTACAGTTATCACAATCTATTTTAAGCTGATAACAATTCCAGTTGCATACAAAATCTCAAATCTTTTTCATCCCTCCCAACTTTATGTTGTTGATGACACAAATTAGCACCATCATCCCTCTGCATTTGTGGGTTCCACGTCCATGCATTTAACCAACTGTGGGTCAAAAATACCTCCACAACAATAAAAATAACAATACAACAATAAAAATAATACAGATATTAAAACAATACAATATAGCAACTGTTTACATAGCATTTACATGTATTAGATTTAAGTAATAAGTAATCTATTAATGTATAGGCAATCTAGAGATAACATAAATTACATTGGAGGATGTGCATATGTTATATGCAATACTACACCAGTTTAAATAAGGGATGTGAGCATTTATGGATTTTGATATCTGCAGGGGTTCCTGGACCCAATTTCCTGTGGCTACTATGGGATGACTGTATTTTTATATTTTGTGTTTATTAACATGGTTTATAGTTGTAGTTATTTGTTAAGCTTTCATATTTTAAAGTCTATACCAGAATTTAAAGTGATTTATGTACCACCATTACGGTGTTATAGTATTCTATATTTGTCTCTGTACTTCTTTACTAGCAAGTTTTGTATTTTTGTATGCTTTCATGTTGCTATCTTATGTCCTTTCATTTCAACCTGAAGGATGCTCTTTAGCTTTTCTTATAAGGCAGATCTAGTGATGATGAACTCTCTTGGCTTCTGTTTATCTGAGAAAATCTATTTCTCCTTCATTTTTGAAGGATATTTTTACAGTAAATAGTATTCTTGGTTGACAGTTTTATTCCTTCAGCACTTGGACTATATCATCCTATTCCCTTCTGGCCTCTAAAGTTTCTGCTGGGAAATCCACTGATAATCTTATGGGAGCTCCCTCATATCTAACAAGTCACTTTTCTCTTCCTGCTTGCAAAATTCTCTTTCTGATTTTTGACAGTTTGATCATAATGTGTCTCAGAATAGGCCTCTTTTGTTCATCTTATTTAGAGTCCTTTGAGCTTCTTCAATTTTAATGTCCATTTTTTTCCTTCAGCTTTGGGAAGTTTTCAGCCACTATATTTTAAAATAAGCTCATTGTCTACTTCTCTCTCACTGCTCCTTCTGAAACTCCCATTATTCACATATTTGTCAACTTGATGGTGCGCCATGAGTCCCTTTTGCTTTCTTCAATTTCATTTTGTGTTTTGATCTTCTGGCTCAATAATTTCAAATGGCTTGCCTTCAAGTTTGCTGATTCTTACTTCTGCTTGATCAAGTCTGCTGTTGACTCCCTCTAGTGAATTTTTCAATTCAGTTATCAAATTCTTCACCTCCAGAATTTTATTTATTTATTTATTCATTTATTTATTTATTGAGGCAAGGTCTCACTCTGCCACCCAGACTGGAATGCAGTGGCACAATCACGGTTCACTGCAGTCCCAACCTCCCAGGCTTAGGCAATACTCCACCTCAGCCTCTTGAGTAGCTAGGACTATAGGTGCATGCCACCATGCCTGAATAATTTGTTTTTTAATTTTTTTGTAGAAACGGGGTCTTCCTATGTTGCATAGGCTCAGAATTTCTTCTTGTTTTTTCTTCATAGTTTCCATCACTTTATTAATTTCTCATTTTGTTCATGCATTGTTTTCTTGATTTTGTTTAGTTATCCATCTGTGCTCCCTTTTAATTTATTGAGCATTTTTATGACAATTATTTTAAATTATTCATATATCTCTATTTCTTTTCTTATTAAGTTTTTCTTTTGTTGTTGTTGTTGTTTGTTTGTTTGCTTGTTTTAGATACAGGTTTCACTATGTTGCTACCCAGGCTGGTCTCAAATTCCTGGGCTCAACTTATCCTCCTGCCTCAGCCTCCCAAGTAGCTGGGACTATAAGCATGTACCACTATGCTTGGTTTAGCTCTGTTTCTTTAGGGTCAGTTTCTGGAAGTTTAATTTGCTCCTTTGATTGAGCTGTGTTTCCCTGATCTCTGTATGCCTTGTTATCTTCTGATGAGACCTTGGCATCTGAAAAATCAGCCACCTCTCCTAGTCTATGTGGTCTGGTTTGTACAGGGAAATCTTCCACCATTTGTCCCAGCTAGAGTTTGTAGACATCTTGCAAGTCTTTTCTAGGATATGTTCTTTCTGGGCTTGTGCATGTGTGTCATCTCCTAATTGAAGAGGTTTGCCAGTTTCTACCTGGGAGCTCCTCCTATTGCCTATCTGTGGCAGTGCAGACTCTCATGCTGGACTAAGCCACATTTATTGTCTTTGTTCTCAGTGGTCTCTAACCCAGTGCCTTGTTCCTGTCACCACTTAGATCCAGACAAGACAAAAACCCCTCCAGGCAGTCCCCTCCAAAAGTCAGACTTGTTGGACACATATTCTGCTCTTCTCTTTCTCTCCCTGGGGAGAAGTTGGGATTTGGAAGTTTTCTCCAAATCATACAGTACTGTGTGGAGAGAAGGAACTTTAGTGAGTGAGTGCCACAGATTTTCCTGCCTGGCTTTGATTCAGTTGGCTTCATGTTTTCCTGGAGTTCAGGAGCCTCTTAACTTGTTTCTGGATTTTTCACAAAGGCAGCTGGTGTGTGTGTTGTTGTGTCAGTGTCTCTGTAGAGGAAGGAGGGCCTGGGACTTCACATTCTGCCATATTATTCATGCCACTCTTTTGACCTGAATTATTTGAAAGCAAATCCCAGACATTGTATAATTTCATCCATAAACATTTCAGAATATATCCCTAAAAGAAAATTATTATTGGTATATGCAACAGAATTAACAAAAAGTCCTTAATATAACTATCAAATTTCCAACTACCATGAAAATTTTCCACTTTTTCCACGATTGTTTATTAAAACTTAGTTTATTCAAATCACACTCTAAACAAGGTCTTAATTGCACCTAGATGATATGTCCTTTAAGACTCTTGATCTTTTGGTTCCTCCTGCCTCTCTTTTTTTCTTATAATGTATCTACTGAAGAAATCAAATAGATTATTATGTAAAATTTCTCACATTCTGGATTTTTATTGCACTCCTATGATGTCTTTTAATGTGTTCCTCTGTCCCCTGTATTTTCTATAAACTGTTAGATTTAGAGGCTTGATGAGATTCAGGTTTATGTACTACCTATTATGTCACATCAGGAGATTGAACTATCTGACTACCCCTCTTTTTTGTGATGTTAAGTTTGATTAATAGGTCTAGGCATTGTCAGACAGATCTGTTCATTATAATGTTTCCCATCGGCTACTCATCTGATAGTTTAGCAGACATTAATAATCACTGGCTCCATTGATTGTTTTATTTGGGATTTTTAAATGGCAACATGCTACTCTACCATTCCTTGCAGAAGCACATTTCATAAGAACAAGGTAATATTCTATAAGCGTCCATCATCTCATATAAAATGGGGATGATAACACCTGCCTTACCTTACCTTATACCTTGGATGGATGCATAAAGCATTTGGTAAGCTGAAGTCACTATATAAATGTATGGTAGACACCATAGTTGATCCCCCAAGATGCATGCCGCTTCAGAGGGTGCACAGAAATCAATCATGCTAGTAACTGATCTGAGAATGGGCTTGTGACCCTACCCTCATGGCTGAGTCATGAGGGGATGCTCCTGAGAAGCTCCTGGGAAAAGGTCTTTTCTTGCTAAACAAAGCCATAGAAAGAGACAAATAACTTTTGTTTTCTCTGAATAATGCCATATCTGGAAATGTTACTACCAACCTTGCTACTACACCAAGGAGATACTCAACGACACTAGTAATCTGATGAATCAACTAACTCTAAAGCCCCTCATTTTAAGGAATCTCCTGTTATGAGAGAGAAAATATTCATTGCTGCTAGCTAGTTTGAGTTGGGGTTTCTGTTGCAATGGAAAACATTCTAATCAGTACAAAAAATCAAGAATGATAATGGTGGTAATGGTGATGAATATAGCATTATTTTAAAAACTACCAGGATAGATACTGATATTAGAGGTGTTCAGTAAAATTTGAACTGGTAAACATTTACTGTCAGTCAATCCTTCTTGTGTGTGTACTCTGTATAAAGCATTGCACAAAATGATGAAATTTTGCACAGAGAGCTCTCTAAGAACGAGCTATATATCACTTCTAATTTAAAGCTATCAGTTCTGATTTCTGTGCTGGGAAAAGGTACCAGTTCATAATCTTATGGTCTTTCCTGAGTTTGGTTTTCTCTTTTATGTGGGATAATCTAGAAATTTCTTTGTAGGGTAATAACATTTATGAGTGGAGGAAGCACTGAATTCACTCGCAACTCAGGAAAGTTTACATGACTTCCCAAAATTGTAAGTCCCCATACATGGATTGTAAGACACTGTCAAAAGCATTTTTAAAATGTACAGTGTCTTTCTTATTTGAGGAATATTTTTTGACACACAAAATAATGTGATGCATCCTAAAAACTACATTTAAATCCCAGCAATATCCTGTACGCATGCAATCTTACGTATTTGACGAAACAGCTCCTCATCTTAGATTTGAATAGAAAATTGCATATTTTGAAAAATGTAAGAGAATGAATCAGAAAGTCTTTAAGATAATTCTTAAACCTCTAAAATGCTACTGAGAGGTCTCACTGTTAAGAGCCAGGCTGGATATGGGGAGTGCTAGAAATTACTACCTAGCAGAAAATATTAAAATTCATCTCCTTGTCTGGGGAGGGGAATAGTAGAGACACAGCTCAAATCAAGAGAAAGAGATAAATCAGAAAAGGGCAGTAGATGTAAATGTAGAAAATGGAAAAGAAAGGTGGGAGCGGGAACCAGATCTCGGCTCCAGAGAATGTCAACCTGCAGGGTTGAGAAACAGGTGAAACATTAAAATAGACACTTGGAGTCTCTAGAAAAAAAATCAAACCAAAGACTATGCAAGGCACAGCACCCAAGATACATCAAGAGAGAAGAAAAGCCTTATGTGTGATGCAGGGAGACAGAGGCAAACAGGGCTAACAGGGTTACATAGACAGGGTCGGGGAAACCCAGCTAGGATGAGGAAGTGGCTCTATCATTGGTGTGGATTTTACTTTAAACCAATATGGTGATCCTGGGACACTTAAGGAAATGGCCTTACTTTCCAAAACCCTGGCACTGGGGTGACTTAGAGAAGGTAACGAGTGTAGGAATGGGTGAATCCTAGGATGAATCAAGACTCCCAAAGCATAAAGTCTGCAGACAGAAAGGTGCTGTCTTTCTATTTAAGATGGAATCAAGCCAGTTAGCACGCAGAAATGGGAGTGCTGGAGTCAGGTTCCAGGAGAGCAAGATATCAAACCAATGTTTAATGGCAGAAGGAATGCAGGTAGGGTCAAGAACTCAAATAACCAACTAGAAGTCAGATCCTTGTAAGAGTAATCTTAAGTAAAGGTCCAGGGAAAAATCTCAAGTCAAGGTCATTAAGCACTAACAAGAGAGCAAGGGCCAGTGTTACTTCTCTGTCAGAACAGGTAACGGCTATGGATGGATGTCTACCTGCCAGAGGACCTCCTTTGGAGGCATACCCCACCACGGGTGCCTTCCCGTCAGCCCTAAAGTCCTGGGTGTTGAGAAGAGCAGATAGCATTTTTGACCCCTAAATCATTATGCAAAGAACATACATGGGATTGGCCTTTGAAAACTCTGGCAAATGTGTCAAAGTATCCAGCTAGGACTGGGCAGGGGAATCCTTCATTTTGGCCTCAAGGTCCTCTCCTCTCCTGCCTCGGACCTGCTGGGTGATCAGGGAGGTTGACTGGTATAAATGGCATCCATTGTTCTCTGGCTTCTGGTTGGTTCAGCTATTAAAGGAAGCCAGCAGGAGGGTAAAGAGTGAAGGAAGGGTATTTAATCCGTCAGCAACTTCCCTGCTGAGTCACTGCCTCTACAGAAGGCTACAACCCACATCAGACAACTCATTCAGCCAACTCACACTTGTACTTCCTGTGTGCTCCCCAGCCCACACCTCCTCAACACACACCTGGTCATCACTCCCTCCCCTTGCTCTCATTCAAGTCCAGGTGTGGTCAAGCTCCTGCTGTTAAGAGCCACAGGTACCGCACCATACCTGATGGTTTTTCCTAAACTCTGTCCTCACCTTTGTAAAGAATTCCTTTATTAAGCTCTGTCCAGTTACCCAGCTCTGAATGGGCCATGAGACAGGATTCCGACCGATACACCGACTAAACTCACCATTGGCAGTAAAGTTGTTTTTGTATTTCTTTACTTGCAGGCAGATTTTTAAGAGGAATTGGTGTAGCGGTTTCCTAGCTTGTGATGAAAAAGAAAGGGCAAGATGACCTCCTTGTGGGAGTCAGTGAGCAGCAGGGGTTGAAGGTGGAGCAGAAAACCAGGGCCCTCTGCCTCCACACCCTGCCATGGTGATAACAAGAAAAAGCAGCCTAGGCCAGGTGTGGTGGCTCATGCCTGTAATCCCAGCACTTTGGGAGGCCAAGGCGGGCAGATCACCTGAGGTCGGGAGTTAGAGACCAGCCTGGCCAACATGGTGAAACCCCATCTCTACCAAAGATACAAAAATTAGCTGGGCATGGTGGCGGGTGCCTGCAATCCCAGCTATTCAGGAGGCTGAGGCAGGAGAATCGTTTGAACCTGGGAGGCGGAGGTTGCAGTGAGCCGAGATCGCACCACTACAATCCAGCCTGGACGACAAAACAAGGCTCTGTCTCAAAAAGTAAAAGAAAAAGCAGCCTAGAGACATGGCACAGGCTCGGGAGACTGCCATCTCTCTGCCAGGCAGGCCCACTCCTGCCCCCAACGCCTGTGTCAGTGGCACTGCTGTAGCCGGAACACTGGAGCCCCAGCACTGCTGGAAGTGCAGAAAGCAGCAGCAACTTGAGAATGAACAGAGACGTGTTTTGTTGCTGCTTTTACACAACTTTTACACAACCTGTCAGAGCTACTCTTTGGCAAAACCCTTCTGTTACTGGGAGAGATGGATTTTTTGCTGCCAGCAACCACATGCATTCAGGAAATTAACTCAGTGAAAAAGAACCAGAGGCCAGTAGTGGACTCTGTCTTCTCACAACCGTCTTCACCTTTACATTCCAGAATCTGTATTTCTGCTGAAGCTCGGCACACCCTGACTCCCTGATATTTGGCAAGACTCCCTTGTTTCTCTTCAGTGACTTCCACAAGAAACCTCATTGCTGTACAAGGAGATCAATGACTTGGTGGTGAACATTCATCAGTGAATATTCCTCAAGCTTAGTTATAAGCAACATCTTATGTATGGATCATTCTATAGGCAGCTTGGTTCTCAAAGATCTGCTCTGAGGATTCCTGTCCACCCTTCCTAACCTAAACTTCCCAACCTAAATTATCCAATCTTTTCAGATAGCCCACATCTACTAGCTGACTGTCAGGTTACTTTATACTATATAGACCATTCTTCCATCTATCCATTCATTGATTCATTCATTCAACGAATATGTATAGTTTGCTAAGTACTGGGTCTGTATCCAGTTATAAGAAGAAATAAAGCCACCGATTCCTGACTGGAAGAGCTCCAATCATTTTTGGGAAAAGGACAAGTCAGTAACTGCCTGGAACCCAGGGAGCATTTGAACAAAGGGCTGACAGAGGAGGAAGCAACTGATTCTGCTCGGTTGGGGATGGGGCTGGTGGGGTCAGCAAAGGCTCACATGGAGCCTGGTTGAGACAGTGTGTCAACATTGGAGTGATGCCATTTGAATTGGGTTATGAAAGATGATTGGGATCTTACCAGTCAAAGAAAGGGAAGAAGAACACTAAAGACAACAGGAATAGCATGAGTGAAGGTGTAAAAATATGCTTCACCAACCCACCCCTAGTCCTTTGCTTCCCTAACAGCCTCCAAACATTGGGGCCCTTGGGCCTTGGTCCTGGGTTCCTGTCTGCCTTGCATCACATGTTCTCATTAGTGAACACATCTGATCTTGTGCATTAAGTCTCTGTGCAGGCACCTCCAGAATGCTCCTCTGTGTTCCAGGCTCATATATGCAACTGTTGAGCTGGCATTTCCACTTGGATGTCTATAGGCATCTGAAGATGATCCTCTCAATAAGGGGCCACACAGTTCTGAAGAAATTTGAGTCTTCTTTTGTTCTTCCCTCAATTTACCCGTGGGTCCTGTTGGCAATACTGCCAAAATATGCCTCAAATCCATTCATTTTCCCCACTTTCATTGGCACTCCTCATGTCTAAGCCATCTTCCTATCTTGTCTGGACTACTGGATGAGTATGAAGACTGATGTCGCCAGTTCTGTTTTGTTCTCCATACAGTATGCAGGCTGAAGGTTTTAAAGCATAACTATTTTACTCTCCATCTTAAAACCCTTTAATGACTTCCTATTGTCCTTAAAATACCCCTCAAGCTGGCTTGAGAGGGCTGCAGGATCTCACTCCATCCACCTCTGTCAGGTACCTAGAACCAGGTGCTGCATCTCCTCCTCCAGAGGTCTATCTGGCTGCCTCCTCCTCACCCCTCATGTTTTAACTGTAATGTTTCATCCTCAGAAAGGTTTGACTACGTTGCCTAAAATACTGCCCTGTCCACTGACTGTCCATGATACCTCCTTGTTGATTCCTTTCTAGAACTTATAAGTATCACATGGATTTTTAGCTTAAAACATATGTGTCCCCCTCACTGAAATGTAAGCTCCCCAAGGGTGGGAACCCTAACTGCCTAGTGCTCCATCATATTCCTAGGGACTGGATCAGTGCCTGGCACAAGGCAGGTTGTACATAACTAGGTGTTGGTGAGAAAATGAATAAAATGATGGTTTTCCCTCTCTTGGCTAGCCCTAGATCCTCACCACTGAATCCTTACCCCCTTCCAGGAGCACCGTCCTGTAACTTCAATCCTGCACCAGGTTCCACGCAAACTGACTGAGGCACAAACTGGTTCCTTTCAAGATTCAGATGTGGGACAAACATCACAACATTTGGAGCTCAAAACTCCTCCATTTGCTGCAAATTTAGAAAAGATCTAATGACCATGGGACTGTCTCCTAGATTTTTTTGAATCTAAATTGAAACTTGTCTCCATTTTTCTGCTCTCCAAATCCCCTCTTTCCCATGGACAAGAGTTCATGATGGCTCAGGGCAGTACTGACCTACTGCCCTGGCTTATATTTCTGACAGGTTGGATCAAAGTGCTTTCAATAAGAGAAAAAGAAGGATGAACAAACTGGTGAGTTACCTGCCAACTGAGGAAGGCCACAGCCTGACTCCAGCTCTCACCTGACCCAGCTCAGTAGAAAAGGAAGGCAAAAATAAAGATAAAACATGAGTGAGCAGATAGGACAGGATAACAAATGTTAATATTATTTGCTCCCCTAGCAACACTATGAGTAGCCTTCTGCTGGTTCCATTTCTACTTCCAAATTTTTAAAAATTATTTTTAATTTTCAAAATGATTTGAATAGACTTGAGAAGAGGGAGATAGCTGTTTAGGTAATGTGTCATTCAATACTATGTTCAGTCCAACCATTAGTTGATATTCTACTTTCTCAATTCATGTTCATCACAATCTGTTGACTGTATGTGTGCACAGTATAGTTTATGGTGGTTCATCCTTTTTTTTTTTTTTGAGACAGAGTCTTGCTCTTTAGCCCAGGCTGGAGTGAAGTGGCATGATCTCAGCTCACTGCAACCTCCAACCCCCAGGTTCAAGCAATTCTCCTGCCTCAGCCTCCCAAGTAGCTGGGATTACAGGTGCCTGCCACCATGCCCGGCTAATTTTTTGTATTTTTTTAAGTAGAGATGGGGTTTCGCCATGTCAGCCAGGCTGGTCTTGAACTCCTTACCTCAGGTGATCCACCTGCCTCGGCCTCCCAGAGTGCTAGGATTACAGGCAGGGGGAGCCACCACACCCGGCCTAGTGGTTCATCCTTCACTGGGTATTATTATATGCTGTGTAATAAGCATACCAGGCACAAGGGAAATAAGGATGAATTTGACACCCTATCTGTTTCTAAGGAAGTTCAAAACGCAGGCAAACATGTAAATGATTAATTAAAACAGTATGGTGCCTGCAATGGTAGGAATGTGTGCAAGGAAGAAAAAGGGTGAGTGTATTTTGCACATGAGAGAATTATAAGTAATTTTTGGCCAGAGATCGGACTGAAACACTTTGTAACGTGGTCTCTGAATTCTTTGAGACTTCTCCCATCAAGAGAGCATGTCTGAGTCCCCTGTCCTTGAGCCTGGATCTTGTGACTGATTGACTGATAGAATAAGACAGAAGTGATGCCATGTTGGTTTCTAAGCCTGGGAAGGCCCAAGAAACTGCCAACTTCCAATTCCTGCTTCTTAGGTCACTTGCTCTTGGAAGCCACCACATGCTTGGCGGAAGCCCAAAGTAGCCCACCTGGGGTGAACACACGGTGAAGCTGAGACATCGTGAAGACAGGGATGTGGCCGGTCTCCACCTGCTCCAGCTCCTCACTGTTCCAGCTTCAACCACTGTCTGACTGGGTCCCACCAGGAAGTTCTTCTGCTGGTCTCACTGGGGTGTCTCCTACAAATGCACTTAGTGGATGGCTGGGCTGGAGTCATGTGAAGGCTGGACTGCAACAGAGGGACGGCTGGCTTCTCTCCATCTCCATGCAGCCTCTGTGCCTTCCACGTGGCTACCCCTGCCTTCCTCACAGCATGGAGGTATCAGGGTAATTGGGCTTTTCTCACGATAGCTGGCTTCTCCAAAGTGGAAGTTGCAAAGAACAGGACAGAAGCTGCGAAGTCCCATGCCCTAGACTTGAAAGCCTCTCTGCCAGCCCAGATTCAATGCTGAGGGCACTATTCAAGGGAGTGGCTACCAGAAGACATGGCTCAATGAAAGGGGCATCTTGGAAGACTAAGTGGCAGCTAAGCTATTATCCTGTAGATAATGAGGAGTCATTGAGGCTTTTAAGTAGGAGATGGATTTGATTTCAGTTTTGTTTCAATCATTCTGGGACTAAGTGAACTAGACTGGGAAGGGAATGACCCATTTCCTTTCTGGGCGACACCAAAGATATCTGGGGAGGCTTGGAGACCTCTCAAATGCCTAGAGGGGTTACAGAGCCCACATCTCTGTGGTCCCAAAGCAGTGAGTCTCCATCCATATAGATAGAACAGCAAGTGCTACATCAAGAGAGAAGCTTCACATGATTTAAATTCTCTCGGCCACACTCCAACATAACTCCCTAATGTCCCAGAGGAAGCAAAGAAATGGCAAACTATTCAAAACAGAGTCGGGGCCTGGCGCGGCGGCTCACGCCTGTAATCCCAGCACTCTGGGAGGCCAAGGCGGACGGATCACGAGGTCAGGAGATTGAGACCACCCTGGCTAACACGGTGAAACCCCGTCTCTACTAAAAAAATACAAAAAATTAGCCACGCGTGGTGGCGTGGTCCTGTAGTCCCAGCTACTCGGGAGGCTGAGGCAGGAGAATGGCGTGAACTGGGGAGGCGGAGCTTGCAGGGAGCCAAGATCGCGCCACTGCACTCAGCCTGGAAGACAGAGCAAGACTCTGTCTCAAAAACAACAACAACAACAACAACAACAAAAACAAAACAAAACAGGGTCGGTAGAACGTGAAAGCAGCTACATAAATTGTACACCATGTGTCTTGGCTCTATTTGTTCCATGACAGTGTGGACGTGGTAATGAGGGGAAGTGGAAGGTTGGTGGAGGTGGCACTAAACTAGAAACTAAAAGCAAGAAACAATTGTGACTCCTATCCCATGACAGGAGTCTGCACCTCATTTTCACACCAACCTGGCAGGTTTTGCTTTTGAGGAGTAGTCAGCCCAACTGGGACTTAGGGGTACTTAGGAGTACTTAGCCCAACTGGGACTTAGGGGTAGTTTGGAGTACTTAGCCCAACTGGGACTTAGGGGTACTTAGGAGTACTTAGCCCAACTGGGACTTAAGAGAGCAGACATTGGTGGGAGTGGAAAGGCTGCCCACATCATCACACACCTGTTGGATACCAAGCCCTGGCTCACTTCATTGCAAATATTATTTTGTTTAATTCTCAAAAGAGCTATCCAGGGCAGGAATTATCGTTGTGTTTTTTGAGATGAGGAAGCTGGAACATAACTCCCCCAGATCACCCGCCTTACAGGAACAGAAACGCTGGCTTCTGACCCCACAGGCATGCTATCTCCTACATGGTTTTGTTATAAGCTCCTTTTCAGCATTTTGTTGTCAGAGTGTTTGCAAATGAAGAATAAAAGGACTTTACAGCTGAGGGTAGTTCCCTGACTACCATACTGTCACCCTGGCCACAAGAAGTCTAATGACAGCTTTGAGCTACAGGCATGCAAGCTCAGAACTTAAAATTCTTTTATTTTATCAGCTCTCTTTAGGGAAAGAAATCCTTCTAATCTCCTATAAAGAATTCTCAGTGGACATCAGCTGGAAAAACTGGCAAATGCTACTTTTATGGCTTCGATTTCTCTTGTTTCTCCAAATGTCTCTATTGCATGGGCTTTTGCATAAAACAATGTTTGGCAGGACCAGAGGTTTTCAGCAGTATCAATTGCACTAGGCTATAGTGGGTCTTCATCACCGTGAAACTGGGGCATTTACAGCCCAGCAACACTAAGTCTTGTTTAATGCAGCTCAGAATTCTCAGAGAGGCTGGAAAGTCACACAGGTGTCAGTCATTCATAGTGGCTTCATGGTACCTCGTATATCATTTAGTGTCCAGCCAAGATACTGAAGCCACACCAGCTATTTTAACAGAGACCTTTTAGCATAAAGACCCGTTAACTAGAAATTGAGGAACTGAAAAGGCAAAAAGGGAACACTAAGATATCACAGAGGTAGCAGGAAGCAGCTGCCTCCCCTACGACTAGAGGTAGAGATTATTAAAGCTTAGAAGCTTGAAGAAGAGGCCCCACAGTGCTGGGATGCAGACTTCTGAGGAGGGACACCAGCTGGCTGGTGCAGGCATCTCTCACAGGGTGAGATGAAGCTGGTTCTGAGTGCTGGAAAAGCTGCAAACTAGGTCCGGCTGTTACTACTGCAATGAACTGCTGCTGTCTGCATGAAGAGATGAGGCTGGAGTGACACTGCAGGAACAGGAAGCAAACTGGAAGGAAACAGGAAGGAGCCAGGTCCCCCTTTCCACCTCCAAAGCACAACTTCCCTCTAGCACCGCCTATTGGCAGAGTTGATCAGAGAAGCCACTGGAAAGGTAAAGTGTGGTTTGCAGAGTCCCAGCCCCAGCAACACAAAACCACACAGAAGTGGGTTTGAAGTTGACAGACAATCGCCTAATAACTGGCATCTTTAGCAAGATTTTAAAAATAAATTTGACACCAAAAACAAAAAAAAAATTATAGCAGTAAAAGACACTCATGTGGGAAAATGTTTTGAATTTAACCACTTGCTTTTTATATTAAGCCATTGCTTTGGTATTGGGAGAAGGAAAAGTGTTACATTATTATTGGAAACCCTGAATTCAAGTAATGCAAATCTGTCTTCGAGTTCATTTAACAAAGTGACATTTAAATTACTAAGAAGAATGGAATAAACTCTATGTTATTTGCACTCTCCCAATACACTGGGATGAAATTGTCCTGGGATCAGCAACTGATTAAGCTGATTATATACTTCATACATGGAGGATGTGGTTTTCAACCGGCCACAATCAAAATACAATTTACTTCTGTTAGTATAATAATGTAGATGCTATAAAAGGCATCTCTCGGTAAGTGTTTTTCATGTACATTTCTGCTACTATTAGCAGGGTATTTTCACAGCCTCGCTCTATCTTCTCCTTCCTTTTAACTCCAAACTCTAACCGTAGAATTTTTCAGACTTCTCAGAATAGATACAGCAAGGGAACCCTGACACATGGTGAGGAGGAAGGGGGCCACACTGGGGGCTGCTGGGAAAATAGGCATACATATGCTGGCATGGAAAATGGCACTCAAAGATGGGTGGCTCATGAAAAGGTGTAAGGCAAAAGGTAAGCCAGGCTAACAGAGCAGTTGGAAGCAGTGCCAATAGAAAGGGATCTACCAACAAAATAAAAGGCATTGTCTGTGTGCACCTGTTCTGAAAAGAAATAATCATGAGGGCAATGGTTCCCATGAACAATGGCTTATCCAAAAGGAAGGAGCTTATTTCCTTACTCACTATTTGGATGACCAGACTGATGCCTGGTGTCTCTCCTCTAATTAGCATGCTAGCAATGAATGTACTGCATACCTCCTCAGCCAAATTCTGTAGAGGAGATGCTGCAGGAACTTATGAAGTTCCTGACTCACTTCTATTCTGACTCACTTCTAGTTGGTCATGCCTAAACATATGTGTAGCCCTAAGCCTTCTCTCCATTTCTACAGCAACACCTCCATCCATGCTGTCATGATTCTTGCCTGGACTTCTGCAGTCATCCTTCACCTGGTTGTATTAGTTAGGGTCTTCCAGAGAAACAGAATCAATAGAAGATGTATATATGTCTCTCGCTATATCCATCTGTCTATCTATCTATCTATATGTCTCTCTCTTTGTGTGTGTGCATGTGTGTGTATGTATATATATATATATATATATGGAGAGAGAGAGAGAGGAGATGTTTATCTATTTCTACATATATAGAGAGACATAGAGGATTATATATATATAAAATCAATAGGAGTATAATCAATAGGATATACATATATATAGAGAGAGATATCTCTCTCTCTCTATATATATACAGAGAGGATATATATATATAAAGTCAATAAGAGTATAATCAATAGGATATATATATATATATATATATATATATATATATAGAGAGAGAGAGAGAGAGAGAGAGAGAGAGAGATTTATTGTAAAAGTTTGGATCATGCTATTATGGGGGTTGAGAAGTCCCACGATCTGCCATTTGCAAATTAGAGAACCAGGAAAGCTGGTGGTGCAGTTCCAATTTAAGCCCAAGTCCTGAGAAGCAGGAGAGTCAGTGGTGTAAGCCCCAGTCTGAATCTGAAGGCCCCCAAACCAGGATCTCTTGTTTCTGAGGACAGAAGAAGCTGGATGTCTCACCTCAAAAAAAGAGTGATTTGGAATGTGTTTTTGTTTTGTTCAGGCTCTGAATGGGTTGGATGATGCCCATCCACATTGGTGAGAACAAATCTTTGTTGCTCCGTCTGTGGATTCAAATGCTAATCTCTTCTGGAAACACCCTCACTGGTACACCCCCAAATGATATACTACCAGCTATCTGGCTATTCCTTAGCCCAGTCAAGTGGACACATAAAATTAACCATCATGCTGGTCTTTCCAATCCTATTCCTATCCCCTTTCAATCTATTCTCCAAAAAGCAGGCAGAGTTAGTCTTTAGGAACTCAAATGGGGCCATGCCCTTTCCTTATCGAAAAGCTTTCAGAAGTTTCCATTTCACTTACAGTAAAATAAAAAATTGGTTAGCAAAAATTACAAGGCCCTCTGTGATCTCATCTCTGGGTAGCCCAATAGGTTCAGTTGGTGCCATCCTCCTTGTTCACTCTGCTCTCGCTGGTGCCTGCTGCTCTTTCTTGTTGCCTCTCTCTGAAATGTTCTCTTCCCCATGTCTTGCATATACAACTCCTGCTCATTCTTCATCCCTGGGCTCAGGAGTGAAAGAAAGAAAAGAAAGAAAAGAAAGAAAAGAAAGAAAGAAAGAAAGAAAGAAAGAAAGAAAGAAAGAAAGAAAGAAAGAAAGAAAGAAAGAAAGAAAGAAAGAAAGAAAGAAAGGAAGGAAGGAAGGAAGGAAGGAAGGAAGGAAAGAAAGAAAGAAAAGAAAGAAAAGAAAGAAAGAAAGAAAAACACACATAGCAGGTCCCTTCCTTTGCCTAATGGCCTAATGTTCCCTACCAATGAAGAACGGAGACCAAATCGTCTGAGCATGGAGCCAGTCTGAGATAGAAGTTAGAAGCTCTAAGAGCCTCTCCCATTATGGTCTTTTCTTCATCCATGACCTAAACTCCAAGGAAATCCTTCTAGAAATAACTTCTGAGCACCCACAATGATGTGTATAAATCATGACACCAGAACTTGCGGGAGATACCCAGAGAGCACGGCTTCTCCATCAGGGAGGCTACATTCCAGGCAGCAAGGAGCTGAGTGTACACAAATGAGTCTGATGTGAGGCAGGAAATGTTAGGTGACGTACGTGAAAAACCAGCAAAACAGGACAGGGTTCAGAGCAGGAGAGAGTGCTTCTCTTGAGACCAGTCAGGAAAGCTGTCTGAATTAAGGGATTGTGTTTTAACTGGACCTCGGAAAACAGTAAAGAGCCGGACATGTGATAGAAATGTCTACCAGAGGGCTTCCAAGTGGAGGAACCAGCAGAGCAGAGGCTTGGCACCACAACGCTGTGTGTTAGTGCAAGAAGGAATATTAGGAAACCTACTAAAAGTCCACTGGAAATCTTTGCTTGGTGAGGACAAACAAATATATTTCAAGGAATGCTTTGTTTATTGTGTCCTGCTAATCTTGTCGGAACCATTTCATTCCACGTGAAGAGGTGAATCCACATTTGGGAATGTGGATTCCCAAAGAGCTCAGGGAGATACCTGAGCTCCTGGGCTCAAGAGTCACTTCCTCAGAAGATCCCTGCCTTGCTCTCCCCTTCCCTTTTCCCCAGCCTAGAGAAGGTCCTCACATTGTTCATTTCTTTTCAGATCCTAATCATAACTTAAAATCCAAGTGTGCTTATTTAGTTAATATCCTGCTCCCCTCTAGAAAGTAAGCCCCAGGAAAGTAGGAATATTGGATTTTTCTTTTTGTAACTAGCTGTTGTATTCCTTGTGCCTAACACAGGGCCTGACAAATAATACATACTCAATAAAGGTCTGCTGAATGAATTAGCGGTGCAATAAAATGTTATTAGACATAACTATCCTCAAAAGCCATTGCCATCCCCTGACATTTTTGTTAGCCAATTTTGACCCTTTGGGCCCAATTTGTTGCCATCTTTCAAGCCACTTTCCCTCTCGGGTGCCCTTTTCTCTCTCACTACCTGCTGGCTGCTGACATCCAAAGTCACTAGTTCATCCTCTGCCTCAGATAAGCTTTGCACCGCAGTGGACCCTAAACTAAGCACCAGGCCTGCCTTTCCACACTCTGAAATTCACTGCGGTGATCTGTCAGACTAAGGACTCATTCATCTGGTCTCTACCTTTAACACCATGGGAGGACCTATGTTTGGGCCCAGGTTCCTCCAACACTAGTTTCTATAAGTAAAGAGAATATTGTTTGATTAACGTTCTTTTCCTTTTCCAACCTCCTGAACAATTTTAGAGCCATTAAAATTTTACTTCCCAGCACATATGTGGTCTATGTGTAGTGTGGTCATAGGACAGGGATTTTGTCCCAGAATTGAGAAAAGCTTAGCCACTTTAAGGGGGAGTCATCCAAGTGCCAGATACAATTTTGGCTAACCAGGCATGCCCTGCCCTTGCTGTATGGAGCATGCGTTCCAGCGGATGATGGAATAAGTGGAGGGGCTTCCCTTCCCATGGACTCAATAAACACTGAAATGCTGATTTTCAGCAAATTCATCTCATTGGTTAAGTTCCCAAAATATGCCAAAATATTTTAAAATTCAGGGCTGTAGGCTTTATATTATGAATATTTCATTTCTCATTTTCAAATATTCTAGCTAAGGTAGATGCTGTAGAGAATATTTTACACTAGATAAGGAAGGATTACATTTGCATGCATCATCCTCACTGTCTTAGTCCATTCAGGCTACTAGAGCAAAATAACATAAACTAGGTGGCTTATAAACAACAGGAATTTATTCCTCACAGTCCTGGAGGTGGGGAAGTCTGGGATCAAGGGACTGGCAGTCAGTGTCTGGTGAGGGCCTCCTTCCTGATTTATAGATGGCACCTTCCCTCTGTGTCCCCACATGGTGAAAATGGTAGACAGGCTCTCTTTCGTAAGGGCACTAATCCTATTCATGAGGGCTCCACCCCCGTGATTTTAATCGCCCTCCAAAGGCCCCATCTCCTAATCCCATCACCTTGGGAGTTAGGTTTTCAACATATAAATTTAGGATGGGGGTTAGGATTTTAACATATAAATTTTAGAAGGGAGACACAAAAATTCAGACCATAGCACCCATAAAGAAAAAATACCAAATACGCTCAAGGGAGTCTACATTATCTTGCCAATGATAACAGTTCACCTAGCTCTGAAAAACTGAAAGGAGGTGGCAGGATGACTTTACCTCCAAAAGAAGAGTTTAAAGTACACTGAAAGGTTTTATAAATTAATGGTTTAGGCAGAATTAACATTTCAGTGTGAACCAGTAAAAATCCCTTCAGCAAGAATCAAATTCTGCTTTTTTCTGCCAACCACAATCAGATGAAATCGTCTCAAATTGAAGACACCCCTCCACAGTGACATGAGCAGGCTCCTCCATGGGAAATCTGCGGGCGTGGGAGCTAGATTCTAAATGTAGCACTCAAAATGGCAAAAGCCATCAGGCCTAAAGACAGAGAAAAAATATGCTTTTTTTTTTTTTTTTTTTTTTGAGATGGAGTATTGCTCTTGTCACCCAGGCTGGAGTGCATGGCACGATCTTGGCTCACTGCAACCTCCGCCTCCGGGATTCAGGCAGTTCTCCTGCCTCAGCCTCCCGAGTAGCTGGAACTACAGGTGCCTGCCACCACGCCTGGCTAATTTTTGTACTTTTAATAGGGACAGGGTTTCGCCATGTTGGCCAGGATGGTCTTGAACTACTGACCTCGTGATCTGCCTGCCTTGGACTCCCAAAGTGCTGGGATTACAGGTTTGAGCCACCGTGCCCGGCCAGAATATGCATTATTAAAGCACTATCAGATGGAAATGTTTGACACAACAATGATGGAAAAGCCTGTGAATTTCCACTCTGGCCAACTATAAACAGTTTGTCTTAGTTTTTTAGTTTAAATGATTAAAACAAAATATAATCAAAATAGAACAATCAGACATGGAACTTCCATAAGCACCTTCCCTCTCATAGCTTTTTGCTATTTGATGTAATGAAGGCATTTTTGCTACGTTGAGCTCTAGGTAGGAAGCAGGCACAGAGAGACAACCAGCAATCTATCCCGGGTCATGCGACTGGTGGCCAAGTTTGAGGCAGGTCCTTGGCTTCTCACAGACACCTTGGCCACAGTCACTGCGTCTGCATTCTCCGATCTCCTGCCATTCAGGGAGAAAGGGGGCTTTTCAGGATTAAGCCTAGGAGAGGGCTCCATGGAGTATAGAGACTGGTTGGTTCAGATTCTATAATTTAAAAGAATTTTTAAAAGGTTTTATTAGGGGGATTCTTGATTTAAAGAGGTACTTCAGGAAGTAATCAACTGTTTTACTGTCATATTGAGATAATAGCTACTTCTCAGCCTGTGTAAGCTCAAATAATATTAATACCTCAGCTGAAGCACAGGAGAATGGAACTTGTGAGAACAGACTGAGGTGGGGGCCTTCCCAGCTAAAACCCACAAGACTCTCTCACCGGGATGGAACACATATTGATCAAGGAGGTGAGATGGGGGCAAATTTTATTGACATCAGTTTATTTCTCATTACTTGATAAAGAGAAAGAAAAGCAGAGTGAGTAAATAAAAGGAGGCAAGAGAGAGAAAGAATAACAAAGAATGGGGGTATAAGAAAACCAGCCCACTGGTGTCCAACACAAAACAGATCTTCGTTATTCTGGGACCTCCAGTTAATTCACCCAATTTCCTAAATTAAAAGAAAGTCATTTAAAAGTACTTTTGTGCCTGGGCACGGTGGCTCACGCCTGTAATCTCAACACTTTGGGAGGCCAAGGTGGGTGGATTACCTGAGGTCAGGAGTTTGAGACCAGCCTGGCCAACATGATAAAACCCCATCTCTACTAAAAATACAAAATTAGCTGGGCATGGTGGTGCATGCCTGTAATCCCAGCTACTTGGGAGGCTGAGGCTGGAGAATTGCTTGAACCAGGGAGGCGGAGGTTGCAGTGAGCCAAGATAGCACCACTGCTGCACTCCATCCTGTGTGAGAAGAGTGAAACTCCGTCTCAAAAAAAAAAAAAGTACTTTTGTTATTACGATTCCTTTGCTGATTATTTGATTTTCTATCCATTTCTAAAACCTGTAAAAATATTGAGACCCAGCGTTTGGGCTCTTATGTTCAGTCACTCATTTAAAGCCAGCACTTTAATTTTGAGCCAGATCACTTTGGTGAACCCATTGAGCCATAATAAACACATCACCACTGTCAGCCCCAGCACCACCACCGTCACCACTACCAGCAGGATCACCATCACCACCCACCGCACCATCATCACCACCACCCTCATTATCATCACCGTCACCACCAACACCACCACCAGATCCCAGCCTACCATGACGTCTCTGGACCTTTCTCCCAACTCTCTTCACTGTGTCTTTGGATCCCAGAACAACTTCTACATCTCTAGCAGCCAGAGGACAAATTCTAGGTTTTTTCTACTCTATTATATTCTGTTAAGATAGATTCAACTGCCAGGAAGAAAGAACACCTAATTAAAACTACATGTTGCCTACTTAATCAGAAGTTTGAATATTAAGTTATCTCAGAGTTGGTTCCACAGCTCAACCACATCATGAAAGATCATGGTTATTTCTTCTTTCTAGTCCAACATCCTTAAAGTACTGGCTTTTCACTCTATTATGGGCGGAATGTTTCTGTACCCCCAAAATTCCTGTGTTGAAATCCTAACCCCCTAGGTGACGGTATAGGAGGTGGGACCTTTGGGAGGTAATTAAGTCATGAGGGAGTGGAGCCCTTGTGAATGAGATTAGTAGTCTTGTAAAAGGTACCCCCAAGAATTCTGTCACCCTGCTTCTGCCATATGAGAATAAAATGAGAAGTCAGCAGTGTGGAACCCAGAAGTGGGCCCTCACCAGAACCCAGCCATTCTGGCACTCTGATCTCAGGCTTCCAGCTTCCAGAACTGTGAGAAATAAATTTCTGTATTTTGTAAGCCCCCCAGGCTCTGGCACCTTGTTATCATAGCCCAGGCTTGCTGAGACACACCTTCATGCTGGTGGCCTTCTGTTGCAGGGTGGCTGCTGTGGCTCCAGCCATCTCATCCATGTTTCAGACAGGGAAAGAAGCAGCACCAGGTAACTCTCCTCTTATGCCAATCTTATCATGAAAGGAGAGCTTTCCAGGACATTTTTTATTGGATAGAAAAGGGTCATATGACTCTGGAAAACTGTGTGCCTGAAAAAGGAAAGCAGGATTGTCATAATGGCTCATTTCTGCCCTGAATAAAATATGGATTCTAGTAGCAAAGAAAATAGGAAGTGGGACAATCACCAATGTTTGGCCTAGGGACTATGCCTTCATCATCACAAAGGACAACTGGGGTTTGTACCAGTCAGTACCTTTCATGTTTCCTCCGCCTCTCATTTCCTTCTCCTCTGTGTGTTGCCTTCCTTCGCTCTCACTACTAACCAGCTTCCTCTACCTCATGAAACAAGCTCCCTGATTTTACATCTCATGCTTCTGCCACAGGAGAAAGGGACTGCTCTCCTCAGAACTAAATAAAACAAACAAAACAAAATAACAGGAAGGACTTGGCTTGGGCCAACCCAAGACCAATCAAGTGCCATGGGGGTGGGAGCAGGACTAAGAGTCAACAGCTCAAATTAGGTACATGACCCATTTTGCAGGGGCCTGAGACGTAGGACCATAGAAGAAAGCAGAAGCCCCTGAGATGGGCTTGTGAGAGGGGACCAGTTTCCAGGGGAAGGAGGAGAGAAGGCTGCCAGGAGTCAGCACCCCAGAAATCCATCACAAGCTGCCTCCCACTCCCTTACCCCACAAAAGCAAAGGGAGCCACTGTCAGCACTGCTCAAAATAGTGTCCTGGCCAGGGTTCCCTAGAAAGCAGAGGCTGAGATCAAAACATTTGAGCAGCCACTTTATTAGGAAATACACTCCTAGGGAATTAAGAGGATGGAAAGAGAGCACGAAGAAAGGAAGGTGGAGAGCTTTTCTGAGAGGATGCTGTCAGAACGGACAGCTTCATCTCACAGAAGCATCTTCTGAAAACCCCATGAACTACAGTCTCCAAATGGGAAGGGGAGAGAAGGAGAAGAATGCATCCATAGCTCCTAGCTCCTATCTATCAAGGTTTGGCCCAAGAATGTTAACCACCTGCACTGGACTTTGGTACCACGTGGGTCCTTCCACCTCCCAGGCCTTGGAGGCAGGAGGGGATAAACACAGGGGAGGCAGCATGTGGTCCACCCCTGGGAAGCCTGCAATGTTGGGGCTGCTGGTGGAGCCCCAGCTGAGCTGGTGGACATGGCTGCTGTGAGAGAAAACAAGCTGCAAAGAGTCCTAAAGGTAGTGAGGAGGCTGACAGCATCCGAGGAAGTGCCTAGGAAGGGTCAGAAACAGATACTCATCTCTCTTTCCATTTCAAGTCAATGTTCACTATAAACATGCTGTGTGCACAATGCTCCCCAAGGATGGAAACACCAAGAACAGGACAGTGTTCTTGGCCTCAAAAATGAAAATCTAGTTAGGAAGGTCAGATAGGCACTCAAGCAAAGATAACTAACAATATAGGTTAGCACATGGAAAAGATACATTTATGCAAATAATGAATACAGAAATACTTGCACTTATTCATTTGTACATTCAAAAACATTTATTGAGTGCCTATTGCTTACCAGATAATGGGGGATTTGAAGATACATGGTTTCAGAAATCTTAGAATATAATCGTACTTTCTTTTTTTTTTTTTTCCACAGGGCTAAACCATGTAATGTCTCTTAATTAAGCTGATGGCATCAAATTTCAGTGAAAGAAATTCAAAGGGAATGGAGGAGACCCAGCAGAGGGGGCGAAACAATATAGTACAGTTATATAATCGTACTTTCTAATAACACTTACAATCACAAGATATTTTAAACCATTTCCGTTGGAATTTGTGCATCTGTATAAGATCTATGTTCATTTCTCTTGAAGGGCATGAAAAGGTGATTTTTCAAGAACACCAAATGTTAATTTTTTTCAGATTTTCTTTTTGAAATATTTAAATTTCTGATAGAAAAAAACAGGATAATATTTTATCAATATAAATAGAACTGTAAGGCTGGGCATGGTGGCTCACGCCTGTAATCCCAGCACTTTGGGAGGCCAAGGTGGGCAGATTACCTGAGGTCAGGAGTTTGAAACCAGCCTGGCCAACATGGTAAAACCCCGTCTCTACTAAAAACACAAAAATTAGTCGGGTGTGGTGGCACAGGCCTGTAATCCCAGCTACTTGGGAGGCTGAGGCAGGAGAATTGCTTGAACCTGGGAGGTGGAGGTTGCAGTGAGCCAAGATAGTGCCACTGCACTCCAGTCTGGGCGACAAAGTGAGACTTTATCTCAAAAAATAAAAATAAAAAATAGTACTGTGAATATGCCCCACTCCTGACACCTGAACCACCTTTCAAGAATAATGGGAAGAGAATGGGGGAGGAGTCAAGGGGCCCGATTTAGAATCTCCACTATTCCACTTGCCAGCTATGTGACCTCGCACACATCTCAACCTTGTGAGCCCTCAATATCCTTGTGTAAGATGTGGGAATATGTCATGCCTGCTTTACAGAATTGCATTATGATAGGATCTTACATCTGTGCAAATTACTTACAGTTAAAAATGCCTTCCCAAAATTTAGGCCAACAGATTCTTTATTGCTCTTGATTCTCTCAAGCATGAAAGATATTAATATAACATAAAGTGTTGTGTAAATTTTGAGGTCCATTTTCTATCAAGGAGTTCTTCTAACGTAGAAAAGAATAATTTAATTTAATAATATAATATTATAATATTGTTCTACTATAAAGACATATGTACATATATGTTTATTGCAGCACTATTTACAATAGCAAAGATTTGAAACCACCTGAAATGCCCATCAATGATAGACTGGATAAAGAAAATGTGGCACATATACACCATGGAGTACTATGCAGCCATAAAAAAGAATGAGTTCATGCAGGGACATGGATGAAGCTGGAAACCATCATCCTCAGCAAACTAGCACAGGAACAGAAAACCAAACACTGCATGTTCTCACTCATAAGTAGGAGTTGAACAATGAGAACAGATGGACATAGGGAGTGGGATGGGGGGAAAGGGGAGGGAGAGCATGAGGACAAATACCTAACGCATGCAGGGTTTAAAACCTAGATGATAGGTTGATAGGTGCAGCAAACCACCATGGCACATGGACACCTATGTAACAAACCTGCACGTTCAGCACATGTATCCCAGAACTTAAAGTAAAAAATTTAAAACAAAAAAGAGAAAGTGCATTTAGTCAAAAGAATGGTTGCTATAGTAGATGAACAGTTCAGACATTATAAGTAGTATGTGAAAAAAAGCAAATTGCGGCTTTCCGTATTTTCAAAACTTTTAATTAAACTTCTCTTACTATAAGAAAATAATAATAATATACCTTGCATTTGTATAACAAAATTTTGTAAACTGTACAAATTTGGAGATGGATTCAGGCCTCCCTGTGGACAAGGATGGCACATGGTGGAGACGTTCCCTGCGGAAGTCTTTGATCATTGTGTTCATAATATTAGACCGCAAAAGTACCTTTCCATTCACATGGTGAATATATAATAGCACTTTAAACTTAAACTATGAATTTGGCCAAGCACAGTGGCTCATGCCTGTAATTCCAGCTCTTTGGGTGGCTAAGGCAGAAGGATTTCCTGAGGCTAGGAGTTCAAGACCAGCCTGGGCAACATAGCGAGATCCAGTCTCTACAAAAAGGTAAAAAAAATTAGTTGGGTGTGGTTGCATGTGCCTATAGTCCTAGCTACTTGGGAAGATGAGGCAGAAGGATTCCTTGAGCCCACGAGTTCAAGGCTGCCATGAGCTAGGTGACAGAATGAGACCCCGTTTCTAAAAAATAAAAATAAATACATTGTGAATTCTTCCTCAGATTTTAAAGTACTTTTACCTTAACTGACGTTAGTTTATAAAACATGACAATATTGTTATAAAAGAGTAGTAATTTTTCTTCTTCATATTTTTCAACCTGAAAACAGAAAAGTAATGAGAGTCCCTTGAAATTTCATTGCAAATTATTGGCAAAGGCAGAAGGGGAAAAACCCCAAAAAAAGCAAACAAAAATTCCTTTCCACCAGATCACATTGCTTACCAATTCTTAATAGCATCATTGAAATTCCTTCCAATCTGAATTCAACTCTATACATATGGAGAGCTTTAAAAAATCAAGACACATTTCTTACTAAATTTTAAAACTTCCTCAGTGCAAGGAATTATAAAGCTAAATATTTCAGTTCATTTTTCATTCAGTGAGTAATAAAAGCAGAAGGATGACAAATTGACATAATCAAGACGTTGACTCGAAAATAAGACTTCTCTTGCCTTTCGGGTTCTACAGAGGGCAGGTGCCCTTTCAGTTACCCTTCAGCATCTAGGTAAGTGAGAGTTTAGTGCAAATAAGTCGCTTTCGTTCTGATTAAAATAGTGTTTATTTTACATTTCAAGCTGCAGCATAATACGTTGGCTATATTTACAGCAATAATCCTTTTAGAGATTCTGGCTTAATTTTTTTTTTTAGCTTTGGAAAGGTCTTCAAGAGCAGTTAAATACTTATTCCTCATTTGCATGAGGAAGAACTATCACTTCAGAGGGAATATATGCTTTCATTCACTAATCCATCCATTCATGTATGGGTGGAGTGCCTACCATGTGTTCTAGGCACCGGGGGATACAGCTGCAGGGGTGAAAATCATGTACACTCACAAGTTTCATGCCTTACCTTCTAGCTGGGGGAGAGAGACAATAAACACAACGAATAACTATATTCTAAAAAGGCATCAATACTTTGAAGAAAAATGAAATGATGAGGGAAGATAAACCTTGGGGCTGCCAATTAAATAAATAATGTGACCCAGGAAAGCCTCATTGAGAAGGGAACATTTGAATGCATTCTTTTTTTTAATTTATTTTTTTATTTTTAATTTTTTATTATTATTATTTTTTGAGACGGAGTCTCCCTCTGTCACCCAGGCTGGAGTGTAGTGGCAGGATCTCAGCTCACTGCAACCTCCGCCTCCCGGGTTCAAGCGATCCTGCTGTCTCAGCCTCTCAAGTAGCTGGGACTATAAGCATGCGCCACCATGCCCAGCTCTTTGTATTTTTAGTAGAGATGGGGTTTCACCATGTTGGCCAAGCTGGTCTCAAACTCTTGACCTCATGATCTGCCCGCCTCGGCCTCCCAAAGTGCTGGGATTACAGATGTGAGCCACCTTGCCCAGCCTTGAACACATTCTTGAGGGAATTAGTTGACCGCATGAATATCTGAGGCCAGATGTGAATATCTGGGGTAAGGGGAACACAGAAAGAGGGAGAGGAGACAGCAAAAGCCCTGCACAGAAGCATGTCTGACATATTTCAGAAACAGAACAATAACAACAACAAAAAAACGAGCATGGCTGGAGCAGTGTGAGTAAGGCGGTCCTGGTAGGAGATGAGGTTGGAGGGTAAGTGCAGTTTTGGGGAGATGGGTAGGTTGATCTCGTAGGGTCTTTGTAGATGATTGTAAAGACTTTTCTTTCACTCTGTGTGAGGTGGGTTTTGAGTAGAAGAATGATATGTTCCGACCAACATCTAAGACAGCAAGAGCAGAAGAAGAGCAGTCACTTAGGAGGTGATGGCAACTCTCCAGATGAGAGACAAGAGTGGCTTGAACCAGACTGGTGAGCAGTGGAAGTGATGCAAAAGGAGTGGATTCCCGGTCTACTTTTAAGACAGACTCAACAGGAATTCTTGATGGGCTGGATGTGGGGTGTGAGACAAGGAAGAGGGAGTCAAAGATGACTCCGTGTTTTGGTCTGTGCACTGGAAAGGCAGAGTTGCCATTACTGATAGGAGGAAGAATGAGGGTTCCGCAGGGCTGGGAGAGGGGGCCACAGATCATCAGTTCACTTTGCTTAAGTCAGATATGTCTACTAGGCACCCAAGTGGGGATGGGGGGGCGTGCAGGGAATAAGATTTCCTAGTCTGTAGTTCAGAGGGGTAATCAGGACTGAAGATTTAAATTTGGAATTTGAAGCCACAACAGTGCACGAAATTATCAAGGGGATGAGTGCAGTTTGAAATGAGAGGTTCCACAACTATGCTGTGAGCACTCGAAGATAAAGAAGTGGAGGAGTGCCCAGAGCCTGGGACCTAGTAGTCCTGGGGTTAATTGACATATCATTAACACCCAAAGTTCATAATTTACATTAAAGTTCACTCTTGGTGTTGTACATTCCATGGGTTTTTGAGAAATGTTCTAATAACATTTTTAAATAATTTAAAATTAATTAATGTAATAACTTTTTATGATGGTAAAAACACTTAACATGAGATCTGCTTTCTTAAATTTGTAGGTGCACAATACAATATTGTTAAGAATAAGTACTGGCTGGGTGTGGTGGCTCACACCTGCAATCCCAGCACTTTGGGAGGCTGAGGCAGGCAGACCACATGAGGTCAGGAGTTCGAGACCAGCCTGCCAACGTGGAAAAACCTTGTCTCTACTAAAAATACAAAAATTAGCCAGGCATGGTGGTGGGCACCTGTAATCCCAGCTACTAGGGAGGCTGAGGCAGAAGAATTGCTTGAACCTACGGGGCAGAGGTTGCTGTGAGCCAAGATCGTGCCACTGCACTCTAGCCTGGGCAACAGAGCAAGACTCCATCTCAAAAACAAACAAACAAACAAAAAAGGAATAGGTACTATGTTGAACAGTAGATCTCTAGGAATTATTATTATTCATCTTGCAAACTTATACTTGGTGAACAACTTCCCACATCCTCCTCCACCAGCCTCTGCAACCACCATTCTATTCTCTGTTTCTATGAATTTGACTACAATTTTTAAAAAAATTATAATAAGTATTGGCGAGAATGTGGAGAAATTGGAATCCTTGTGCACTGTTGGGAGTGTAAAACAATGCCACTGCTATGGAGAACAGTATGGGGGTTTCTAAAAAGTTAAAAAGAAAACTACCAGATGATCCAGCAACCCCATTTCTGGGTATATAAAAAATAAAGTAAAATTAGTATGTTGAAGAGATATCTGCACTCTCATGTTCATTGCAGAATTATTCACAATAGCCAAGATGTGGAAACAATTTAATCGTTCATCATTGGATGAATGGATAAAGAAAATACCATGTTTTATTGTGCTTCACTTTATTGTACTTCACAGACATTGCATTTTTTTTTTTCAAATTGAAAGTCTGTGGCAACCCTGAATCTAGCAAGTCTATGGGCGTCATATTCCAAAGGCATATGATCACTTCTTGAATCTGTGTCACATGTAGGTATTTCTTATAATATTTCAAACTTTTTTATTATTATTATGTCAGTTATAGTGATCTGTGATCAGTGATCAGTGTTACTATTGCAATTGTTTTGGAATGCCACAAGTCTCACCCATATAAGATGGCAAACTCAATTGATAAATGTTGTGTGTTTTCTGACTGTTTCAACAATAGGCTGTTCTCTCATCTCTCTCCCTCTCCTTGGGCCTCCCTATTCTCTGAGACACAAGATTGAAATTAGGTCAATTCATAACCCTACAATGACCTCTAAGTGTTTAAGTGAAAGGAAGAGTCACACATCTCTCACTTTAAATCAAAAGCTACAAATGATTAAGCTTAGTGAGGAAGGCATGTTGAAAGTCAATACAGGCCAAGAGCTTGGCATTTTGTGCCAAATAGCTCGCCAAGTTGTGAATGCAAAGGAAAAGTTCTTGAAGAAAGTTAAAAGTGCTACTCCAGTGATCCCAGGAATAAGAAAGCAAAACAGACTTATTGCTGATCTGAAGAAAGTCTTAGTGATCTGCATAGATCAAATCAGATAAACTATTTCCTTAAGCCAAAGCCTAAGTCTTTTCAGCTCTATGAAGGCTGAGAGAGGTGAAGAAGCTGCATAGGGGAACTTTAAAGCTAGCAGCTGTTGGTTCATGAGGGTTAAGGAAAGAAGCCACCTCCACAAAAATGCAAGGTAAAGCAGCAAGTGCTGATGTAGAAGCTGCAGCAAGTTATCCAGAAGATCTAGCTAAGATCACTGATGAAGGTGGTTACACAAAACAGCCTTATTTTGGAAGAAGATGCCATCTAGGACTTTCATAGATGGAGAGAAGAGGTCAATACCTGGCTTCAAAGCTTCAAAGGACAGACCGACTCTCTTGTTAG
The DNA here is from genome assembly GCF_000001405.40 of Homo sapiens. NCBI lineage: Eukaryota > Metazoa > Chordata > Mammalia > Primates > Hominidae > Homo > Homo sapiens. The sequence continues at coordinate 104,993,116 of NC_000002.12, forward strand.
GGGCTAATTGCCTTTAAGTTGAAGCCAATCTCATTTACCATTCTAAAAATATTAGGGCTCTTAAGAATTATGCTAAATCTACTCTGCCTATGCTCTGTAAGTGGAACAACAAAACCTGGATGACAGCACATCTCTTTACAGCATGGTTTACTGAATATTTTGAGCTCACTGTTGAGACCTACTGCTCAGAAAAAAAAAAAAGATTATTTTCAAAATACTGACCGTGCACCTCAGTAACAGTGTACCTGTCCCCCAAGAGTTCTAATGGAGATGTACAAGGAGATTAACGTTGTTTCCATGCCTGCCAACACAGCATCTATTCTGCAGCCCACAGATCAAGGAATAATTTTGATTTTTTAAGAGATACATATCATAAGGCTATACCAGCCATAGATAGTGATTCCTCTGATGGATCTGGGCAAAGTAAATTTAAAACCTTCTGGAAAGAATTCATCATTCAAATGTCATTAGGGTATAAGGAGGGAGAGGATCAGGAAAAATAACTAACGGTACTAGGCTTAATACCTGGCTGACAAAATAATCTGTACAACATATACCCATGACACAAGTTTACCTATATAACAAACCTGCACAGTACCCCTGAATTTAAAAGTTTTTTTAAAAAAGAACATTTGTGATTCATGAGAGAAGGTCAAAATAGCAACATTAACAGGAGTTTGGGAAAAGCTGATTCCAACCATCTTGAATATCTTTTAGGGATGAAGATTTCAGTGGAAGAAGTAATTGCAGATGTAGTTAAAATAGCAAGAGAACTAGAAGTGGAAGTAGAGCCTGAAGCTGTGACTGAATTAGTGCAATCTCACGGTAAAACTTGAATGGACGAGGAGTTGCTTCTTATGGATGAGTAAAGAAAATGATTTCTTTAAATGGAATCTACTCCTGGTGAGGAGGCTATGAACATTGTTGAAATGACAACAAAGGATTTAGAATATCACATTAACTTACTTGAGAAAGCAGTGACAGAGTTTGAGAGAACTGACTCCAATTTTGAAACAAATTCTATTGTGGGTAAAATGCTATCAAAAATCATCACATACTACAGAAAACTCTTCGTGAAAGGAAGAGTCAATCAATGTGGCAAACTTCATTGTTGTGTTATTTTAAGAAATTGTCACAGCCAACCCAACCTTCAGTGGCCATCATCCCGATCAGTCAGCAGCCGTCGACATGAAGGCATAGATCTCCATTACCATAAAGATTACAAATCACTGAAGACTCAGAAGACCTTTAGAATCTTTTATCAATAAAATATTTTTAAATTAAGGTATGTACTTTTCGTAGACATAACTCTATTGCATACTTAAAAGATGACAGTGTAGGGTAAACAACTTTTATATGCACTGAGAAACCAAAACATTTGTGTGACTTGCTTTATTGTGATATTTGCTTTACTGTGGTGGTCCAGAACTAAATTGACAACATCTTTGAGGTATGCTTGTATATGTGTGTGTGTGTGTGTGTGTGTGTAATGGATGTAATAGATCCATATATATGTAATGGATGTCTTAGTTCAAGCTGCTGTAATAAATTAACATGGACTGAGTGGCTTAAATAACAAACATTTATTTCTCATTGTTAGGGAGGCTGGGAAGTCCAAGACCAAGGTGGTGGCAGATCCAGTGTTTATTGAGGTCCCACTTTTTGGTTGTAGATGGCTGTATTCTTGTTGCAGCCTCACACAGTGGAGAGGAGAGAGAGGCAGAGGAAGTTCTCTGGCCTCTTCTCATAAGGGTACTAATCCCAGTTTCTAAGTGCTCCACCCTCATGACCTAACCACGTCCCAAAGGCCCTACCTTCTAATACTATCACATTAGGGATCAGGGTTCAACATGTGAATTTTGCAGGGGGTTGAGGACATAAAAATTCAGTCCATAACAATGTAATACTATTCAGCCTTTAAAAAAATGAAGAAAATCATACCATATGCGACAACATGGATGAATCTTGAGGACATTATCCTAAGTGAAATAAGCTAGCTACAGAAGGATATAGTATGATTCCACTTGAATGAGATATCTAAAACAGTAACGTTTCCACAGTAGTGGCTATTTTCACGCTGCTGATACATACCTGAGACTGGGAAGAATACATACCCGAGACTGGGAAAAAAAGAGGTTTAATTGGACTTACAGTTCCACATGGCTGGGGAGGCCTCAGAATCATGGTGGTAGGTGAAAGGCACTTCTTACAAGGCAGCAGCAAAAGAAAATGGGCAAGAAGCAAAAGCAGAAACCCCTGATAAATCCATCAGATATCATGAGACTTAATTCACTATCATGAGAATAGCATGAGAAAGACCATTCCTCATGGTTCAATTACCTCCCCCGGGTCCCTCCCACAACACATGGGAATTCTGGGAGATACAATTCAAGTTGAGATTTGGGTGGGGACACAGCCAAACCATATCAGTGGCATTGTTTTACATTCACAACAGTACACAAAGATTCCAATTTCTCCACATTCTCACCAATACTTATTATAATTTTAAAAATATATATAGTCAAACTCATAGAAACAGAATAATTTAAAATAATTTATAAAGTATTAAAAATAATTTAAGATAGTTTTAAAAATAATAATATTTTTAAAATGGTCATATTTCATCAAATATAACCACATGGGCTACTCAGGGTAAAAATTATCAACTGGAGTTGATAATTTCACAAAGCAAAGTAGCAGCCTCCAGCCTCCGAAGGCAATGCTTTCCCCATGACACCATATAGAGAGCAGACAGCTCAGAGCTCAGTCCCCAGTGAGCCCAGCGCATGTCTCCAGCTGAGGTAAGTGCTGCTGGTGAAGCCATGATCAGAAATACGGGTGTGCATTATGGAACATGGAAACTGGTAGAATGTATAAACTAAATGTTTAATAGTAAAAGAAAAATGTAAAGTACATAACTAAAAGATGAACTATAGATATAAACATAGACATGTTCTAACTGTGCAAAGTACAGTTATAACAATATCTATGATTTATAACACACCTACTATCTGCTAAGAAATGTACATACCTTATCACTAATTATTACCAACCACTTGCATAGTTGGGGCTATTGTCTTATGCACACAGAGACAGGGTCATAGAGGTTTGGAACTAAACAGTGGCCGTTACCAAATTGTTGTCATCTGACAGCAGTGCCCACATTTTTTTTCCTTTGCACCTTGATACCTTACAAAAAAAAAACCCACAAATAAGTAGCTTTATGTTTACTATACACAAAAATATTCCTGGGAAAAATGAGTATTGTGCATCTCAAGAACATAATGATACTTAAAAGAAAATGGATAAAGGTAATTCAGAAGTCTGTAGCATTCAATGCATTTTGTTCTTTATGCAGAATATTGAGAAAGCTCAAAAGAAGCCCTAAGAACAGTGGCCAGCAAGAGGAGATGTTCAAATACTTTCTCAACTCAGCTGGTAAGATTGTGGATATTTGAACAGGTCCCTTCTGAGATCACCATGAAATGTTACTACATTGTGGCCAAAACAGCAAGTGTCCTTGTTATATACTTCTCAACAATTTGCACAATTCTGTTCTATACTCAGAGATACAGACACAGACAATACTCAGCAAATTATGAAATCTAAACTGGATGGGTCAAGTTTCCATCACCAACTTATATCACATTCTATTGCTATTTCAGCAATAATGTTAGGAATATATATTAGCTACATGCCTAAATGCTGGCTTGCATGTATAATTTAAATATATATCATACTAAATAGTGTAATTGTGCAAAAGCCAAGAGGTATTCAGTAATTGGTGTTTTCCCCCTTCCTGAAACACAAAGAGGCTCATTCCATTCTCCAGTATGCAGGTGTAACACTGGAAAATGCCTTGAAAATTCCACCCATGCATTTGCCTGAGAAAAATAACTGATTTTTTAAGTTATAAAAATATGCTTTCTCTTCCATCTGAGTGGGTGGATAGATATGGGTAGAAATGTATCCTTTTCAGCTGACATGCTTATGCATTGAAACTTTGAAAACATTTCAACATAAACAGTCATAAATAGTTAGGCTAATTTAAATTTTGCCCCAAAATCTTTGTCATACTTGTTGTTTTGCATTGAACCTTCACTTGTACACATGAAAATTAGCTTAAGTTTATTTCAGTACATCTTGAACTTGTCTTTTCAAAGAGTTGCTTGCTGCAAAGTCAAGAACATCTCAAATATCTTCTTAAACTCTTAAGTGCAATGAATTCATGGCAATAAAGGACTTTTAAAGAACCTGGATGGGAGATGATAATCATACACACACACCTCCCCTACCCACATTGAGTGCCAGATAAACATGGAGTATTATGCAGCATCTGTATGCAGCATCTGTACACGGTAACTGCAGTTGAACTTGAACTTGAACTTCATCGTGTTCACTACTGCAAAATGGTCTCAGTAAACAGGTTGGGTTATTTACAGAAAGCCTATTTCAGTTCCCCTGAAGCCAAGTTAAACAGTCCTAGAATATGGTACTTATAAAGGGAAATTTAAAAGACCTATTTATTTCATATTGTTGACCAGAAAGAAAAGATATAAATGGCATTAATTGCCCATCTTTCTAGTCTTACTCGTCTGCTCCAAAGTGGCAGTGTCTCATTCTCTGAACATTCTTACTCTGCATGGGTGTGGGTGGTCAAAGAAGTGATGTTAATGCTGTCTCTTATAGACTGACATGGTGATTGCCAATCCCCTATTTCCTGTTCCTGGCTTATGCTCTTCGGGGTGTTGAGAAGAAGGTATTTAGGTTTCAAAGCATTATGGTCCATTACTAGAAGTAGGCACACGTTATTTGTAGCTCTTCTCATTTCCCCACCATTTAAATCTGGGATGCCTCATGACCTGCTTTGAATAAGAGAATGCAGGTTCTAATAACCCAAGCTTTCCCCTTTGTTGCTTCAGTACTAGAAGTGTTAGCTGCCTCCTGAAGTTACTATCTCTGGGTTAACTTGGTGATCACTTTTTTTTCTTTGCCCCAGAATCTGTTTAATCAATTTATTATATTAAATTTGCTGTGCTAAAATAACTGGTGGAGTTCTGTTTTCCCAAGTGGACTCTAATATGAAACTCACCATTCTCAGAAGGAAGAAACACATCCTGAAGGGCAAAATTAATAGTGCCTGAGGGCTGGTTGATGGAATTTCCCTGGACTTGGATTGATGGGAAGTTTCTAGAAGCAGGAAGGGTCATGCTGGATAAACCATCACATAGGCAGACAACAAGTGCAGCAGGATGTGCCCTGATGAAGTGGGAGGGAAGGAAGGAGGCTCAGCCCTATGAACCAGCTACGTTCATTGTCCAGGGAGAGGTCACATGTAAAAGAACACCACACAAAGCTCTCTGTTTTTTGTTGCTGCTTTTTGTTTTTTATTTTCATTTTTATTTCAATAGCTTTTGGCATACAGGTGGGTTTTTGGTTACATAAATGAATTATTTAGTGGTAAGTTTAGATTTTAGTGCACCCATCACCTGAGTAGTGCACACTGCACCTAATGTGTAGTTTTCTATCCCTGACTCCCCTGTCGCCTCCTCCTTCTGAGTCTCTAGAGCCCATTATATCACTGTCTGCACAAGCCTCTCTGTTGCAGGAATTCTTGCCAACCTGGAGCATGACCCTGCCTGCTCCCTGCTGTGTACCACCTATAGATAACTGGTCCAGGAAGATCTCATCTTATTTAAAGGAGAACAAAAGTCCAAAGGGAATGTGATATAAATTATATGGAGGTACATGCTATGTCCTAGGTGAGGAAAGAATAACATAAGAATCTATCTGAAATTAGCAAATAAACATGGAATGGAACAGGAAAATTAAGCAGGAGATAAAGAACTCTGAAGCAGAAAAATGTTGCTGCAGAGCAGATGAAAACTGTAACTAAACATTTTTAAATTAGTGATTATATAAAAAATGCATTTTATAATAATATGAAAAGGCAAAGGAAAGTAATATAAGTTCAAGAAGAGACAATATGAGCTGGCAGTTGTCAGAAATTAAATGGAGGGAAAATAAATGAAAACAAAATTGAAAGCAGCACTAAAGAGATTAGACACTGCTTCAAATACAGAGAATAGAAAATAAGACTATAGAAGGGGAGCAAAATGAGACGGAAATTAACAAGGAGATAAACGAATCAGATAAAGATGATAGATTTCATGTTACTAAAAAAATGGGGGAAAGGCTGGACATCATGGCTCACACTTGTAATCCCAGCACTTTGGGAGGCTAAGGTAGGTGGATCACTTGAAGTCAGAAGTTCAAGACCAGCCTGGCCAACATGATGAAACCCTATCTCTATTAAAAATACAAAAATTAGCCAAGTGTGGTAGCGCATGCCTGTAGTCCCAGCTACTCAGGAGACTGAGGTAGGAGAATCACTTGAACCCGAGAGATGGAGGTTGCAGTGAGCCAAGATCATGCCACTGCACTCCAGCCTGGGCAACAAAGTGAGGCTCCATCTCAAAAAAAAAAAAAAAAGAAAGAAATCAAAGACATAATTCAAGAAAACTTTAAACACTTTTTAAAAAGTCAATGAAATCTACAGGTTTAAAAGTTATACAATATCCCTCAAAAAACTAAAAGATTATCAACAAAGAGGCATCCTAGTAGAGTCACTGGACCTAAAAAGAAATAAAAAATATTTTTTGAATTTTTCTGGCAGAAAGGACCAGTCACCTTTAAGCAAAAGAACTTAGTTTCAACTTCTTCACAGCTTCTCTGGAATCGTTGTACTTTGGGACTCCTTGTTTTTGCAGGATAATATATTTTCATCTTTTCTGCGGCCTTGTTTTAGTTACTTGTTTATGTCCTGTGATGCAAAATGACCACATTTCTAAGAATAAATATCCAAAGAATAATAATAAGTAGCCAAAGTTCTTTAAAAATTAGCATATACAATCAAGCAGCATACTTTAAAATGTTGTAAAATAACTAAATTGGATGCCTTCTTGCATTAATAAGGTGCTTCAGCATTCAAAAACTGGAAACATAGTATGTTACATCGATAAATCAAAAATAAAAGCCAAATGGCTGGTGGTGATTGAGTTTTTTCAATAGATACAAAATATTTAATAGAATTCTGTATCCATTATAAAAATGTTTGGTAAAATAAAAATAAAAGAATATTTCTTAAATATTTTAAACACTATTTATCAGAAATTAGTAGTAAACTTTGTGTTAAATTCTAAAATTTAAAAGCGTTCTGACTAAAGCCAGGAACAAGATAAGTATGCTTACTGTCTGTATTACTAAGTACTATTTTGTACAGGCTACAGAATGGAGGAAATATAACAAATAAATGAGGAAAAAATTGAAGAAAAGACAACATTTACCTAAGATATGATTGAAACTGCAAAAATTTAAGAGCTATCACTTTTAAAACTCCATAAATATTTACAAATCAGTATTTTTTCTTCCCAACTACTCATAACTAGTTAGAAATGAAATAAAAAATATAACCTCATTCACAAAAATGGCAACTAAAAAAATTCAACTGCTGGGCATGGTGGCTCACGCCTGTAATCCCAACACTTCAGGAGGCTGAGGCAGGCAGATTGCCTGAGGTCAAGGGTTCGAGACCAGCCTGGCCAACATGGTGAAACCCTGTCTCTACTAAAAATAAAAAAAATTAGCTGGGCATGGTGGTGCATGCCTGTAATCCCAGCTACTCAGGAGGCTGAGGCAGGAGAATCACTTGAACCCAGGAGGCGGAGGTTGCAGTGAGTGGAGATCATGCCATTGCACTCCAGCCTGGGCAACAGAGCAAGACACCATCTCAAAAAAAAAAATCCACCAGAAAAAGGTATGTAAAGGTATAAAGAAAATTAAGCAAATGTACAAACAAGCATAAAATGAGGCCCCAAGTGAATGAGGAAAATACTACCCTCCTAGATAGGAAGGCTCAAATAGCATAAAGAAGTCTATCTTCCCAAAGCAATAGATAAACACGGTGTTTTTTCAATGAGAATATCAAAGGAACTTTGAAGGAATTTAATTGATTTTCAACTTCATCTGGAACAATAATGATTGTTGTCAATTGTCTGTTAATCTGAAACAACAATTATTGTTGTTAATTGCCCCAGGCTCCAGGCCAGCCCCCTTAACTCTAGGCACCAGTCTAATACCTGTGGACCCAAATCCAAACCAGCCCTTGCAGACCTAGACTTCATACTTGCCCCAACACCAGGCTAGTCCAAGGCTCCAGTGGGTCCTGGGTCCAGGGTCCAAGCCCATTCCAATAGACCCCAGCACCAGGCCAGTCTTCATGGACCAAAACTCCAAGAACATACTTGTAGATCCAGGCTGTATGCTGGCCTCCACAAACCAAGGACTAAGGCCCACCCCCAGCACTAGGCTGGCCCATGGACCCAAAAATCAGGCTAGTCCCTGCAGATATAGGCTCCAGGCCTGCCCTGATAGTCTTAGGTCCCACACCCACCCATATAGCCGTCTTATCCAGGCACGTCCCATCAGACCCTAGTTCGAAGCCCACCCCAGTGGACCCAGACTCCAGGCTCAACCCTGCAGACCCAGATGCCATGTCCTGTCCACACACCTGCTGACTCTGACACTGGGCCAGCCTGCCCAAGGACTCCAGTGGCAAGCCTGCTGAAGGATCACAGTAAGCAGCCTGTGTGAATCTCTGATGAAGGGCTTTCCCTGCCTAAGCCCGTCTGTAAAGACTGAAATAAGAGACTACTTCTTCAAATGTGCAGATACCAATGCATGGCCACAAGGATCACAAACAATCAGGGAAACATGACACCACCAAAGGAAAAACATAAAGCACAAGTAACCAAACCTAAAGAAATAGAGATTTATAAACTGCCTGACAAAGAATTCCAAATGGTCATCTTAAAGAAGCTCAGTGAGTTATAAGAGAGTTACAGGAAGACAATTAAACAAAATCAGGAAAACAATACATGGAACAAAATCAGAAGTTCAACAAAGAGGTGGAAACCATAAAAAAGAAACAAACAGAAATTCTGAAATGAAAAAAACACAATGACTGAACTAGAATGGTCCTGGGTTGGTACTGTAACCAGAAATCTGGCAAAAGCAAACACAAATCCTCTCTTAAGAAACGCACCTGTATCACAGATCCCAAGCAAATTCTCCTCCCTTCTCTCCCCTCAAAAATTCAAGGAAAATTAGCAATTCTCAATCAAAACAAAACAACAAAAACAAGCACCATAAGTGAGAGAGATCAACAACAATGGTTAGAAAAGTGAGGTATACGAATACTTATATATTTTTATGTATTTTTATAAATGGTATAGAATGAAGTACAGAGGCATAAAGAAGAGAAAACATTAAACAAGGGTTAAAAGATATGAAGTAGAGACTAAATATATATAGTCCACAATCTATGTAAAGAATTTTATAAAATACCTAAATGATATAATTAATAGAATTGAATTAATGTGTACACATTGAACTCTGTACTCAACAAACAGACATCCAAAGTCACAGAGGCCCTTTCCTGGGCACAATATTGAGGAGGCTACAAGCACTTGAGAGAACTCCAGCTTTGAGCCCATTGCCATCCAACAAAAGATAGGCCATAGCATATAGCAAAGGCTGAAGGTAGAAAGGTAGGCAAGTAAGCCTGCAGCATTGCTAGAAAACAGCAAGAAAAAAAGAAAGTCAGGAAGAATAAGGGCTTATATCCACACCAGAAAGGCAGAAAGCCTAAACGGGTTGTTTAAAACATTGGATTAGACTGAGGCTACTGGGGTTTTTTTATTTTCATTACTTTTAACAAATAAACATGAGAACTATCAAATTTCAATTAGGCTTAAAGGGAAATGACAGACTAAGAGGCTTGGTCTTTTATTATAAGAGAATTTAAGACATATATTTACTAATAAATTGGAGGGTATGGGTTAAAAGTTTTTCATCATAAGCAATCAGTACAAATAGTACTTTCAAACAGTATTATTAATTTACAATATGCAGGCTTCGTTTGCTTTAGAAAGTATATGATTAAAATTAACATCTAATTATAATGAAAAATAAGAAGTCTTATAAAACCAAAAACAGGGTTCTACCTCCTAGACATGAGAAAGAATATCTAACTCAAAACAATGCCAACATCACAAACCATCCAGAGATTACCACTTTCACAAACCACCCAAGAGATTACCATTAAATAAAGAATAGGTCTACAATGGCTGCTATCTGTAGATTATTTACACTCTTCTGAGAGTAAAGCAAAGAAAATACACTAAACAACTCTACCAAATGAATGTATAGATCATGAAAATTTAAAAGAAATTGAGCAGAACTGGTAAATTTTACCTTTGTCTTTGAGGTTCTTCGATTTTACTATACTGTATTTAAATGTAAGATTTTATTATCTATCCTGTGAACTCTTTCAACCTGAGGTCTTTGAACTCTTCTCTCTGAAGTCTTTCATGTTTCCTTCATTCTTGGAAATAGTTTACCATGTTCTAGTTAATACTATGCAAGTATATATATATAAAACAAAACAAAACAAAAAAAACCCAGCAGGGCAGGGTGGCTCACACCTGTAATCCCAACATTTTGGGATGCTGAAGTGTGAGGCTTGCTTGAGGCCAAGAGTTTGAGACAAGCCTGGGTAACATAGGAAGACCTCATCTCTGCAAAAGATTTAAAAATTTAGCCTGTCACAGTGGCAGTGCCTGTAGTCGCAGCTACTTAGGAGGCTGAGGAAGGAGGATTGCTTGAGTCCAGGAATTTGAGGCTGCAGTGAGCTATGATCTCACCACCACACTCCAGCCTGGGCAACAGAGAGAGACCCAGTCTCTAAAAAAAAGAAGGAAAGAAACACAGTAGAGATACTGCTTACAAACTGTAATTACTGAAATAAAGAACTTGGGTTGATGGTATGCACATTAGAATGGATTCCACAGAATGAAGATTTTATGAGCAGAAGAGCAAGTCAAAGAATCTTTCCAGAAAGCATCGGGGGTAATAAGTCGACTTCCAGGTAATAGGAGTGTCAAAAGGAGAGGGGAAAACAAACAGAGGGGAGAAAATACTTGAAAAAAATTCATAATGACTTAAAATTCCTAAAACTTTCAGAGAGAAAAAGCAAATTACAGACAACAGACCAAAAGACATCAGGCTTCTCAACAATATTATTGGCACCAAGAAGACATCAGCGAGACTTGTTTTTTTGTTTGGTTGGTTATTTTTGTTTTTGTTTTAAGCAAGATCTGGCTCAATTGCCCAGGCTGGAGTACAGTGGTGTGTTCATGGCTCACTACAGCCACAACCTCCCAGCCTCAACCAACCCTCCCACCTCAGCCCCCTTGAGTAGCTGGGTTTACAAGCGAGTGCCATTACACCCAGTTAATTTTTTTAATTTTTTGTAGAGACAGGTGTCTCACTATGTTGCCCAGACTGGTCTTGAACTCCTGGGCTCAGGTGATCCTCATGGCCCCACCTCCCAAAGTGCTACAATTACAGACATGAGCCACTGCACCCGGCCCAGCAGTGAAACTTTAAAGAGACCCAAAGAGGCTGGCTAAATGGGTCTGCATAAAACATGGGGAGGAATTTCTTCTTGCTTCTGAGATATAGATAGATCAAACAGATGAAAGAAATGGGGAGAGAAGGTAGTGTTGGAGAGTGAGAAGGTCTGAGGGTGGAGACTTTATGTGGTGAGATACACCCACAAGAAATTTCCCAGTGGTGAAGTAGCCAAAGGAGATTTAAGTATAAAAAAAATTCAAAACTTAATTTAAGGTGATTTATATTGCTACAACATAAACTACTTTCTCATGCTCCCACAAACCTCAGAAACTGATAGTAAAATATTTTGTGCTCCTGAATACTTTCTATGAGTATGTGTAAGAGTGTGTGTGTGTTTGTGTGTGCATAAAATTCATGGAAGGGGTTGAGTGTAACAACTAGGCTGATGTGTCTGGACTAGACGCAGTCTCACCAAAATGAGGAACCTGGAGGCAGAGACAACGGAAAGGATGAAAGCCCAGCATTTGTAGAAATCTTGGGAGGGAGAGGTTAGACTTCCACAGAGTTTTGAGCCAAGCCCATCTGGATAAGCCAGGACCTGGAAAACTTCATTCCAGCTGACACCTGGGTTACAAAGTACTTCCACCTCCAGAACAAAAACATTCTCTCCAGGATGCCTCCTGCACCTTGGGTTCTTTGTGTATGAACTCTCTGACAAATATGCCTCCCTTTCTTCTGGGTTCTCAGACCTCCCCCTCTGCTGCCTTGTATTCAGCCTTTCACCTCCATTAGCATGCCTTGATGCTTTTTCATTGTCAAATCCAACATAAGCTTCCCAAGTACATCTCTTCTGATTTCCCCAGGCCACTGACTCATGGGGTCACCCCCACTACTCTCACAGTTTCATGGTAAGTATACAACACTACCCTGAACTTGAGGCGCCTGAACATCATCAGCAAACTCATGTGCTTGAAAGGAAGGAGCATTTTATTGTAACATTCACTTCATTTCAAACTTTTCAAACTTTTTATGTTATGTTTAGTAACTGTTTTAGATTTTGCAAGCCATACGGCCTCTGTTGCAACTATTCAGCTCTGCCATTACAGCAAGAAAGCAGCATAGATGATATGTAAACAAATGGGCAGAGCTGTGTGCCAGCAACATTTTATTTACAAAAGGCAGTGAGCAGGATGAAGCACACAGGCCTTAGTTTGCCAAAGCCTAATCTAAATAAGCACTTGCCAAGATGAATCTGACTCCCCTAGGTGATTAAGTACAGGTAAGGCCTGTGGGCAGCTGGATCTGGGTAATGTTGACATAACATTCCTGTGAGTGTCCAAATCTCTCCTCAAACTTTTTAAAGATTTTGAGATTTCTTAAAGTGGATTTTAGCTCTAGACTTCTGCTCTGGCCTGGGCTGCCTCTGGTCCATACTTGGTCTACTCTGATTTATGCACGTAAGCTGTGCACTGATTTACACACTTCCTAAACCCCTTTACTACATTTTGGTGAGTGTCTTAGTTGGCTTGGGCTACCCTAACAAAGCACTACAGACTGGGTGGTTTAAGCAGCAGAAAATTATTTCCTCACAATTCTGAAGAATGGAAGTCCACCATCAAGGTGTCAGCAGGGTGGGTTTCTCTGGAGGCCTCTCTCCTTGGCTTGCAGACAGCCACCTTCTCCCTATATCTTCATGAGCGTGTCCTGCTGTGCATGTCCGTGCCCTAATCTCCTCTTCTTATAAGGACAGCAATCATATTGGACTATAGCCCACCCTCATGACCCTATTTTAATCAACTACCTCTTTAAAGACCCTGTCTCCAAATACATTCACATTCTGAGGTACCGGGAGCTAGGATGTCTGTTCAGTACAAATTTGAGAAGAATGCAATTCAGCCCATAACAGTGAGAATTTAAACTTTTATAAAGAGCATGGTTATAGGAAAGAGTTGCCATGCATACCACGAAACAAAACTTTAAAAATTGCTGTTAGCTGTTCTTATTGTTAAAAGCCTTTTTGTACCTGCCACTGTAGTCTCTAATCAGTCTCTATATCCCAAGAAGTATCCAGAGTCCCACCACTTAACCAGCATCCCTCTAATACACCCCTTTTATCAAATCTTTACCTCTGTCCCTCTGGATTGCAGTCACACAGTGTCAGTTTGCTTTAAGACTGAGGTTAAGCACTCAATCAATCCATAATGTCTATGTGATGAAGACCCAATAAAAACTCCGGACACTGAAGCTTGGGGGAGTGTTCATGGTTGGCAATCTTCTATGAACGTTATCACACATTGATGGTGGAGGATGAATGCATCCTGACTACACACAGAGAAGGCAACAGAAGCTCCACATTCCACTTCCTCCTGGACTCTGCCTGGCGTGCTTCTTCCTGGCTGATTTTTATCTATACCCTTTCCCTGTAATAAACTGTAACCATGAGTATAACAGCCTTTTAGTGAGTTTTGTGAATCTCTCTAAGAAATTATTGAACCTGAGAGTGCTATTAGGGACCCTTTTAAATTTGCAATTGATGTCAGACGTGAGGGAGAGCTTGTGTGGACTAAGTTTTTTTGTGTGTAATACCGCTCATATTTCCTTGAGACCCAGCTCAAAAAGAATTTGTTCCAAGTTCTTCAAAAGAAGGCACACAAAATAATGAGAGGGATACCATCAGAAACTGAGATGCAAAACCTTACTGGTACCTCTGAGAGGAGAAGAGAGCCTGCTAACTTCTCTAACCCTCTAACTTCAGAAACAGATTCATCAGTTGCCATGCAACTAGACACTGCAATGCAAAGTAGAACCAATATACAACCCTGAAAGCAAAGTTATTTCTTTCAGAAAATCAATAAGATTGATAAATCACTAGCTAGACTGATCAGGACAAAAAAGAGAAGACAAAAAATCAGTATCAGGAAGGAGAAAGGTGACAATTAATACAGACTCTAAAGGTAGGGAATGATATTAGGTTGGTGCAAAAGTTATTGCGGTTTTTGCCATTACCTTCAATTTAAACTTTGAGCCAATGAATTTGCTAACTTATAGAAAACAGACTGATTTTTGAAAGACATAAACTACAAAAACTCACTCTAGATTTACAAGCTTGTCCAACCTACCTTATTTTTGTAGTTGTTGTCTTTCTGTTTTGTTTTGTTTTGTTTTAGGCTTTTAGCAGCCTGAAGCCATGGTTTTTAGTTTTTGTCTCTAGTGATAAGTGGAAAACAAGGATGAGGAAGGGGCTTCACTGGCCCAACCAGAAACAGAAACTAAGAACCCATGACTATATTCTGTCCCTTGGACATCCCTGCAAAAAAAAGAGATAACCTGAATATCTCTTTATCTATTAAATAAATTACATTTGTAGTGAAAACTCCAGACCCACAGGGCTTCAATGATAATATCCCAAACATTTAAGGACAAAAGTCACCAACTCTAAACAAATTCTTCCAAAAAATTGAAGAGAAAGGAATATTTCTCAATTCATTCTATGAGGCCAGAATCACCCAAATACCAAAACCAGAAAAAGACATTGAAAAAAAAAAACAAACCCTAAAGACCAATATATGCTTTATGATCACAGATTTAAAACTCTTTATACATTTTTAGAAAATCAAATACAACTCTCTCTCTCTCTCTCTCTCAACTAGAGTTCATTCCAAGAAAGCAAGGTTGGTTGAACGTTAAAATCAACCAATAATTCACCAAATTATCCATCTAGAAAGGAAAACTATATTAATATCTCCACAGATTCAGGAAAAGCAATTAAAGAATCCAACATCTATTTCAGATAAATTACAAACTAAAAATAGAAAGAAATGTTCTCAGGCTGATACAATAAGTCTTTGAAAAGTCTCTAGCTAACATTATGAAAGATTGAATGCTTTCACTATAATATCGTAAGCAAGGCAAGACCGTTCACTATCTTCTATTTAACAACATACTGGAGGTTCTAACTGATGCGTAAGTAAAGAAAAAAAAAGACATCCATATTTCAAAGGAAGAATTAAAATTGTTTTTATTCTCAGATGGCATGATCAGATATATAGCTAAGCAGGTGGAATCTACAAAATAGCTTCTAGGATTAATATGTAAGTTTAGCAAGATTGCACCATACAAGATAGATAAACAAAATCAGTTGTAGTTCTACATAATAGCAATGAACAATCATAAATTGAAATTAAAAATAGAAATACCATTTACAATGGCATAAAAAATATAAAATACGGGAGGCAGAGGTGGGCAGATCATGGGGTCAGGAGACCGAGACCATCCTGGCTAACACAGTGAAACCTCGTCTTTACTAAAAATACAAAAACTTAGCTGGGTGTGGTGGTGGGTGCCTGTAGTCCCAGCTACTGGGGAGGCTGAGGCAGGAGAATGGCGCGAACCCAGGAGGCGGAGCTTGCAGTGAGCCAAGATTGCGCCACTGCACTCCAGCCTGGGCGACAGAGCGAAACTCCGTCTCACAAAAAAAAAAAAAAAGGAAGAAAATATATATGTATTTATATGTATATATGTATTTATATATATATATATATATATATATATATATATATATATATATATATATATATATATAAAATACTTGGGAATAATTTGACAAAATATTTCCAAGGCCACTATACTTAATACTACAAAGCATTGCTGATAAAAATGAAAGAATACCTAAACAAATGAAAAAATATATCTTGCTCATAGATAAGAGTTAATATAGTTAAAATATAGAGTCTTCAAACTGGTATGCAAAATCAATGAAATTCCAGTCAAAATTCAACTGCCTTTTTTTATAGAAATTGAAAAAGCTCATTTTAAACTTTATATGGAGGTGCATGGGACCTAGAAGAATCAAAATGATGCTGAAAAAGAATAACAAAGATGAATAACTCAAATATCTGTGTGTAAGCTTTACAATAAAGCTACAATAATCAAAACAGTGTGGTATTGGTGTAAAACTGGACAAACTGATCAATGGGATAGATTCTAGAATATAGACTAACATATGTATGGTAAATTTATTTTCAACAATAGTGCTAAGTTAATTCAGCAGGAAAAGGATAATCTATTCACCAAATAGTTGTTAGAACAATTGGATAGCCATATACAAAAAATAACCATAACCTTTCCTTCACATTTCCATCATATAAAAAATTAGCTTTATTCTGCTGAGCAGTCAAGGGAGGAAAAGAATTAACTTGAAATGGATCATATATGTAAATATAAGAGCAAAAACTTAAAAATATCCAGAATAGAATACAAAACAAAACCATAGTAACCTTGGATTCAGCAAAGAGTTATTTTTGTTGCTGTGTTTCCTTTCTTTCTTTTTTTAGATATGGGGTCTTGCTGTGTTCTGTAGGCTGGGCTTGAACTCCTGGCCTCAAGTGATCCTCCCCACTCGGCCTCCCAAGTAGCTGCAGACTACAGGCACATGTCACCATACCCAGCTAGAATTTGTAAATATGACACAAAATGTATAAACTATAAAAAGAAAAATGAGAACAAGTGGATTTCATCAAAATTTAAAACTTTTGCCCTACAAAAGACAATGTTAAGAAAATTAAAAGGCAAGCCACATACTAGAAGAAATTATTTGAAAAAAGTGTCTTACAAAGAACTTCTATATGGAATACATAAAAAGCTTATGATTCAAAAATAAGAAGACAAACCATGTTTTTAATGGGCAAAAGATTTAAACAGATACTTAGCCAAATAAGGTATACAGATGGTAAATAAGCACATGAAAGGATGTTCAACCTAGTTATCAGGGAATTACTAATTTAAACAATAAGACACCCCTACACACCCACTAGAATGGCTAAAAGTGAAAAGATTGAGTACATCAAATGTTGGCAAGGATCTAGGGCAACTCTCACACACTGCTGTTAGGAATGTAAAATGTCACAATTACTTTGGAAAACAGTTCAACAGTTTCTTAAAAGGTTAAGCATACATTTGCCATATGACCCAGCCATTCCACTCTTAGGTACTTATCTAATTAGGAGTAATGAAAGCTCATGTCTACACAAAAACTTGTACACAAATGTTCTTAGTAGCTTTATTGATAATAACCACAAGCTGGGAACAACCCAAGTGCCCATTAACTATTAAATGGATAAACCAAATGTGGTTAATCCATGCCAAGTAATACTACTCAGTAATAAAAACAAAAAAACTATTGATACAAAAGAATACAGATTAATTTTGAAACAATTGTCTGAGCTAAAGCAACCAGATACCCTCCCTGCCACCACCAAAAATGAGTATGTACCACATAATTTCATTTATATAAAATTTTAGAAAAGGCAAACTAATCCACAGTGAGAGAAAGCAGCCCAGTGATTGCCTGGGATCAGGGCTGGATGGAGGGATTACAAAGGGGTATGAGGAAATTTGGGGGCATGATGGACATATTCATTATCATAATTGTGGTGAGGGTTTCACAGGTGTATTGCATATGTCAACATTTATCAAATCTACACTTTAAACATCTGTAGTTTATGTATGTCAACTATACCTGAATTAACTTATAAAAAAGAACTATGAATTAGTCACTGACGTCAGGTAAAAATGAAAATAAATACGTGTGTCACACACAAAAATAAAAAATATTATAGCTCATTGTCATGGATAATGAAGGAGACTAATTCTGCCTGTGAAAACTTCACGCCCTGCAGGACAGGAGCTCTGTGAGAGAGCAACTAGTGGTCTGGAAGACTGGAGGAAGCCAGAGCCCAGTGAGTGTATTAGAGAAATTCAAAAAAAAAGAGGTCAGTTCAAGGAGGAGAAGGGACACCTCCTCTGAGAATTAGGGAAGACCTTGAGGAAGAAGCAAGATTTTTAATTTTTTTTTTTTAATTTTCATAGGGTTTTGGGGAACAGGTCGTATTTGGTTACATCAGTAAGTTCTTTAGTGGTGATTTGTGAGATTTTGGCCTACCCATCTCCTGAGCAGTATACACTGAACCCAATTTATAGTCTTTTATCCCCAGAGTCAATTGTGTCATTCTTAGGTCTTCACATCCTCATAACTTAGCTCTCACTTATAAGTGAGAACATACGATGTTTGGTTTTCCATTCCTGAGTTATTTAACTCAGAATAATAGTCTCCAATCTCATCCAGGTTGCTGTGAATGGCATAATTCATACCTTTTTATGGCTGAGTAGTATTCCATCATATTTATATACCACAGTTTATCCACTTGTTGACTGATGGGCATTTGGGTAGGTTCCACATTTTTACAATTGTAAATTGTGCTGCTATATACATGAGTGAGCAAGTATCGTTTTCGTATAATGACTTATTTTCCTCTGGATAGACACCCAGTAGTGGGATTGCTGGATCAAATGGTAGCTCTGCTTTCAGTTCTTTAAGGAATCTCCATACTGTTTTCCACAGTAGTTGTACTAGTTTATATTCCCACCAGCAGTGTAAACGTGTTCCCTTTTCACTGGATCCACGCCAATATCTATTATTTTTTGATTTTTTGATTACGGCTATTCTTGCAGGAGTAAGGTGGTATTGCATTGTGGTTTTGATTTGCATTTCCCTGATCATTAGTGATGTTGAGCATCTTTTCATGTTTGTTTGCCACTTGTATATCTTCTTTTGAGAATTGTCTATTCATGTCCTTAGCATGCATTTTGATGTGATTTTTTTTTCTTGCTAATTTGTTTGAATTCATTGTAGATTCTGGATATTAGTCCTTTGTTAGATGTATAGTTTGTGAAGATTTTCTCCCACTCTGTGGGTTGTCTGTTTACTCTGCTGACTGTTCCTTTTGCTGTGCAAAAGCTTTTTAGTTTATTAAGTCCTAGCTATTTAACTTTGTTTTTATTTCATTTGCTTTTGGGTTCTTGGTCATGAAATCCTTGCCTAAGTCAACATCTAGAAGGTTTTTTTCGATGTTATCTTCTAGAATTTTTACAGTTCCCGGTCTTAGATTTAAGTCCTTAATCCACCTTGAGTTGATTTTTGTATAAGGTGAGAGATGAGGATCCATTTTCATTCTTCTATATGTGGTTTGCCAATTATCTCAGCACTATTTGTTGAATAGGGTGTCCCTTTCCCACTTTATGTTTTTGCTTGCTTTGTCGAAGATCAGTTGGCTGTAAGTATATTTGGGTTTATTTCTGGATTCTCTATTCTGTTCCATTGGTCTGTGTGCCTATTTTTATACCAGTACCATGATGTTTTGGTGACTATGGCCTTATGGTATAGTTTGAAATCAGGTAATGTGATGCCTCCAGATTTTTTCCTTTTGGTTAGTTTTGCTCTGGCTCTGTGGGCTCTTTTTTGGTTCCATATCAATTTTAGGATTGTTTTTCCAGCTCTGTGAAGAATGACGGTGGAATTTTGATGGGAATTGCATTGAATTTGTAGATTTCTTTTGGCAGTATGGTCATTTTCACAATATTGATTCTACCCATCCATGAGCATGAGATGTGTTTCCATTTGTGTCATCTGTGGTTTCTTTCAGCAGTGTTTTGTGGTTTTCCTTGCAGAGGTCTTTCACCTCCTTGATTAGGTATATTCCTAAGTATTTTAATTTTTTTGCAGCTATTGTAAAAGGAGTTGAGTTCTTGATTTGATTCTCAGCATGGTCACTATTGGTGTATAGGAGAGCTACTGATTTGTGTACTTTAATTTTGTTTCTTTTGTGTGTGTGTGTGTGTGTGTGTGTGTGTGTGTGTACGTTAATTTTGTATCCTGAAACTTTGCTAAATTCTTTTATCAGTCCTAGGAGCTTTTTGGAGGAGTCTTTAGTGTTTTCTAGGTATACAATCATATTATCAGCAAACAGCAACAGTTTAACTTCCTCTTTACCAATTTGGATGCCCTTTATTTCTTTCTCTTGTCTGATTACTCTGGCTAGTACTTCCAGTACTATGTCGAATAGAAGTGGTGAGAGTGGGCATTCTTGTCTTGTTCCGGTTCTCAGAGGGAATGCTTTCAACTTTTCCCCCTTCAGTATTATGTTGGCTGTTGTTTGTCATAAATGTCTTTAATTATATTGAGGTATGTCCCTTGTATGAGAGTTTTAATCATAAAGGGATGCTGGATTTTGTCAAATGCTTTTTCTGCATCTATTGACATGATAATGTGATTTTTGTTTTTAATTCTGTTTATGTGGTATATCACATTTATTGACTTGCATATGTTAAACCATCCCTGCATTTCTGCATTTCGGCATTCCTGGTATGAAACCCACTTGATCATGGTGGATTATCTTTTTTACATTTTGCTGGATTTGGTTAGCTAGTATTTTGTTAAGGGTTTTTGCATTTATATTTATCAGGGATATTGGCCTATAGTTTTCTTTTTTGGTTATGTTCTTTCCTGGTTTTGGTATTAGGGTGATATTGGGCTTTACAGAATGATTTAGAAAGGATTCCTGCTTTCTCTATCTTGTGGAATAGTGCCAATAGGATTGGTACCAATTCTTCTTTGAATGTCTGGTAGAATTCAGCTGTGAATCCATCTGGTCCTGGATTTTTTTTCTTGGTATTTTCTTTTAATTATCATTTCAATCTTGCTGCTTGTTATTCATCTGTCCAGGGTACCTAATTCTTCTTGATTTAATATAGGAGGTTTGTATCTTTCCAGGAACTTATCCATCTCCTCTAGATTTTCTAGTTTATGTGCATAAAGGTGTTCATAGTAGCCTCGAATAATCTTTTGTATTTCTGTGGTGTCAGTTGTAATATTTCCCATTTCATTTCTAATGTAGCTTATTTGGATTTTCTTTCTTTTTTTCTAGGTTAATCTTGCTAATGGTGTATCAATTTTGTTTATCTTTTCAAATAAGCAGCTTTTTGTTTCACTTATCTTGTGTATTTTTCTTCTTCCAATTTCATTTAGTTCAGCTCTGATCTTGGTTATTTCCTTTCTTCTGCTGGGTTTGAGTTTTGTTTGTTCTTGTTTCTCTATTTCCTTGGGGTGTGACCTTTGATTGTCTACTTGTTCTCTTTCAGACTTTTTGATGGAGGCATTTAGGGCTATGAACTTTCCTCTTAGCATTGCCTTTGCCATATCCCAGAGGTTCTGATAGATTGTGTCAGTATCATCATTCAGTTCGAAGAATTTTTTAATTTCCATCTCGATTTCATTGTAGACCCAATGATCATTCAGGAGCAGGCTATTTATTTATTTATTTATTTACTCACTTATTTATTTTTTATTTTTATTTTTTGAGATGGAGTCTCGCTCTGTCACCCAGGCTGGAGTGCAGTGGTGTGATCTCAGCTCACTGCAAGCCCCGCCTCCCAGGCTCAAGCAATTCTCCTGCCTCAGCCTCCCAAGTAGCTGGGTTTACAAGCATGGGCCACCACACCTGGCTAATTTTTGTATTTTTAGTAGAGATGGGGTTTCATCATGTTGGCCAGGCTGGTCTCAAACCCCTGACCTCAGGTGATCCAACCACCTTGGCCTCCCAAAGTGCTGGGATGACAGGCATGAACCACCATGCTCAGGCAGGAGCAGGTTATTTAACTTCCATGTATTTGCATGGTTTTGAAGGTTCCTTTTGGAGTTGATTTCCAGTTTTATTGCACTGTGGTCTGAAAGAGTACTAGATATAATTTCAATTTTCTTAAATTTATTGAGACTTATTTTGTGGCCTATCATATGGTCTATCTTGGAGAAAGTTCCATGCGCTGGTGAACAGAATGTATATTCTGTGGTTGTTGGGTAGAATGTTCTGTAAATATCTGTTAAGTCCATTTGTTCCAGGGTATAGTTTAAATTCATTGTTTCTTTGTTGACTTTCTGTCTTGATGACCTGTCTAGTGCTGTCAGTGGAGTATTGAAGTCCCCCATTACTATTGTGCTGCTATCTCATTTCTTAGGTCTAGTAGTAATAGTTTTATAAATTTGGGAGCTCCAGTGTTAGGTGCATATATATTTAGCATTATGATATTTTCCCATTGGACAAGGCCTTTTATTGTTATACAGTGTCCCTCTTTGTCTTTTTTAACTGTTGTTGCTTTAAAGTTTGTTTTATCTGATATAAGAATAGCTACTCCTGCTTGCTTTTGGTGTCCATTTGCAAGGAATGTCTTTTTCTACCCCTTTACCTTAAGTTTATGTGAGTCCTTATGTGTTAGATGAGTCTCCTGAAGGCAACAGATACTTGGTTGGTGAATTCTTTTCCATTCTTCAATTTTGTATCTTTTAAGTGGAGCGTTTAGACCATTTATATTCAAACAATCACTAATATTTGTGTGTTTACCTCTAGGATTTTAATGCACTTCTTAATATGGTGGTGATTAAAATACATAAACATTTTTGTGTCCTACTAAGATTATTTTGTATGTACATAAGGGTAATTAATTAGGTGACTAGGTTTATTTCCACTTTATATCTGGGGAATTACATATGCTCACATACACAGGATTTATCAGTGCACTATATCATTAAGAGATCATCACACACCACAATGAGCTATCATCTTTTTTTATTTTTGTGTGTGATATATGTATTTATTTTAATTTTTTACCTGAGATCAGTCTTACATGGATGAGTGTCTAGATGGATAAAGGACAAAAATTAAAGCAGTGTTAGTTACAGACAGCATTTAATATTAAATTATTTAATAGTAACTACATTAATATGCTCATCTAAAATCAGCTAATGGAGAGTTAAGCATTAGCAAGTCCTGTCTGGAGACTTAGCAAGAATTATCAGCTTCCTGATAGTCAACTTTTGGGTTGAAGAGGTTTTTCAATGGAAATGTGTGCATTTGATGAATGCTAATTACATGGTTCAAAATCTTCTTTAGCCAATCCGTTTGCAGCTGTTATCCAAGTTATTTTATAAATGTCTGAAACAGCTGTCAACATTCTGAGGGGAAGCTCTTCAATCAATGAATTGACAGAAATGCAATACTTAGATTTTTCTGAGCAGAAGGCAAGAGAACATAATATACATATCTTTAGTGATGTAGCCAGCAATGAAAGGGAACGATTGATACTGCCATTGTGTTTTAAAGTGTTGAAGAAAATGTTCATGCTCATGGGCATGGAAAAGATATTATAAGACTTGGATGGGAGACCCACAAAGTCAAATGGGGTGTTAGAGTGTCCTAAGGATACAAGCAAAGCAATCTTATTTTCCGTCAATAAGAATGCTTCTAGTGGTGTATAGCAACATTGTAAATCATATTTTAATTAAAATTTTAGTACTTGTTGATGTTATTTGTTTATTGTCTCAATAAAGCATTTTTAACAGATGACATCTGGACATTTTGCTTAATTTCTCTCTCTCTCTTTTTTCTCTATAAAATTCTTTAGTAAATCTAATTGTCGAGAAAGGCACCAGACTGACAGCTCTGGAAAATGAAGCCTTTTATTCAGCTTCAGAATTAGTGTATTCAGAAAAGAACTGCCTTTATGTGGCTATTGGCCTCAATTTCGCACTAGAGAGACTACTTCTTAAAAGAGGGCTTAGGTTACTTTTATTCTTGCTATAGTATTTGCTTCTTGGTTAAGGTTGCAGCCTTAAGTGGAAAAATGAGCAACTGTTAGGGCAATGCTTTCTGGATCCTCATGAATCAGAAATTACATTGAACCCACTATGTCATTCCATCTGCAAGTGATCCCAAAGTGATTCTTGAACCACCATGACCTACTTAAAAGTAACCCAATATTTTCCTTGCAAGAATGGGAGAATACCTTGTCGGCTCACATAAAAGGTATGGCATGCGACGATATGCCTGGAATTATAATGTAAGGATAAATGTGCATGCAGAAATCATGAGCTCTGTCATAAAAGAAAAATATAAAAAAATCTGAGCATCATATGTTGAGTAGCATGCTCACTGCCATCAGAGAAAAAAAGGCATAGAGCAGAGATTCCTATGCCCATTAGAATTACTTGGGAAACATTTAGAAATCCCAAAGCCCAAGTCATACCCCAGATCATTCAACTAGAATCTCTGGGCCTGGGACCACACATGTCTGTTTTCAACATATATCTTTTCAGCCTGTACATGTAGCCAGTGTTAAGAAACTTTGGCATAGAGAACAGTCTCAATATTGATGGCACTTGCAAAAAGATGTAGTTTCTTTCTTAAGATGTCTT
This sequence comes from Homo sapiens, assembly GCF_000001405.40. Lineage (NCBI taxonomy): Eukaryota > Metazoa > Chordata > Mammalia > Primates > Hominidae > Homo > Homo sapiens. The sequence goes on from NC_000002.12 coordinate 105,017,672, forward strand.
TTGTTTATAATCTGGAAAACAAAACATTCTGCCCCTCAATACAATAACATGTTAATAGAAAAATGTCTTGCTTTTGGCAAAAAAAGTCATCCTTTTTTCCCCATTAATATATTACTTGGTATTTATTGAAAAATTATTTAGCTGGTGCAGGGACAAGCTATTAAGAATTTTGTGGAGATTTACATAGAGAATATTTTATTGTTTTGAAATATGAAATAGGAGGTTGCGGTGAGCCAAGATCACACCACTGCACTCCAGCCTGGGTGACAGAGTGAGACTCTATCTCAAAAAAATAAAGAAATAATTAAAAAATGAAAAAGAAAAAAGAAACAAAAATTTACTAGGGGTCGGGCTCAGTGGCTCATGCCAGCAATCCCAGTACTTTGGGAGGCCAAGGTGGGCATATTGCCTCAGTTCAGGAGTTCGAGACCAGCCTAGGCAACATGGTGAGACCCTGTCTCTACTAAAAATACAAAATATTAGCCAGGCATGATAGCTCACGCCTGTAGTCCCAGCTACTCAGGATGCTGAGGCAGGAGAATCACTTGAACCCGGGAGGTAGAGGTTGCAGTGAGCTGGGATTGCACCACTATACTCTAGCCTGAGTGACAGAGCGAGACTCTGTCTCAAAAAAAAAAAAAAAAAAAAAAAAGAATTCACTAGGGATTCAAAGGCAGATTTGAGCAAAAAGAAGAAAGAATAAGTGAACTTGAAGATGACACAATTGAAATTATTGAGTCTGAGCAACATGAAAAAAAAAGAAAAAAAAGATTGAGGAAAACTGAACAGATTCTAAGGGCTCAGTGGGACATCTAGCAGACCAATATATGTATTGTGGGAGTCTAAAAGAAGAAGAGAATGCAGCAGAAAAATTATTCATAGAAATAACGGATGAACTCTTCCTAAAGTTGACACGAATATAAATATTATATTTAGACATGAATATAAATATTCAAGAAACTTGGCAAACTCCAAACAGATGAACAGAGACCCACACCAAGGCAAATTATAATCAACTATAGAAAGCCAAAGGCAAAGAGAATCTTGAAAGCAGCAAAAGAGAATCAATTTGTCACATATTGGTATCCTCAATAAGATGGTCAGCAGATTTCTCATTGGAAACTTTAGAGGCCAGAAGTCAGTGGGCTGATATAGTCAAAGTGCTGAAAGAAAGACTGCCAACACAATCCTATCTTTAACAAAAATGTCCTTCAAAAATGTGGGAGAAATTAAGAGATTTCCAGATAAACAAAAGTGAGAAGTTTGTAATCACTAGACCTGCCCTTCAAGAACTGCTAAAAGGACTACTGCAGGTTGAAATAAAGGACAGTAGACAGGAACTCAAAGCTGTATGAAGAAATAAAGATGTCAGTGAAGGTAAATATGTGGGCAATTATAAAAGTTAGTGTTGTTGTAACACCAGTTTGTAACTCCACTTTTTGTTTTTGTACATGATTTAAGGAACTAATACATATTTTAAAATTATTAGTATAAAAGTTAGTATAATTGTAACTTTGATTTGTAACTTCACACTTTGTTTTCTAAATAATTTAAGAGACTAATGCATAACAACACAATTATCAGTTTGTGTTTTTGAACGCATAGTGTATAAAGATGTAATTTGTTACATCAATAACTATAAAAGGGTAGGGATTGAGCAGTTAAAGGGGAAGAGTTTTATTTGTTATTGAAGTTAACCTGGTATAAATTCAAACTAGTGTATTATAGCTTTAGGATGTTAAATATAATCTACATGGTAACCATAAGGAAAATATCTATAGAATATACAGAAAAGAAAATGAAAGGGCAATTAAAATGTTTCACCACAAAAAATCAATTAAAAACAAAAAAGACAGCAATTTGGGAAATGAGGAACAAAAGAATCTATAAGACATATAGAAAACAGGTTGGGTGCGGTGGCTCACACCTGTAATCCCAGCACTTTGGGAAGGCTGAGGCAGGTGGATCACTTGAGGTCAGGAGTTCAAGACCAGCCTGGCCAACATGGTGAAACCCTGTCTCTACTAAAAAACACAAAAATTAACCAGGTGTGGTGGCAGGCACCTGTAATCCCAGCTACTCAGCAGGCTGAGGCAGGAGAATCGCTTGAACCTGGGAGGCAGAGGTTTCAGTGAGCTGAGATCACACCACTGCACTCCAGCCTAGGTGACAGAGTGAGACTTTGTCTCAGAAAAAAAAAAAAGAAAGAAAACAAAGAAAAATGACAGAAGTCTCTCCTTATCAGTAACTACTTTGAATGTAAATGGATTAATTAAACTCTCCAATCAAAAGATAGAGATTAGCAGAATACAGAAAAAAATAAAATAAAACAATCCAACTACATGCTGTTTACAAGAGACTCACTTTAACTCTAGAGACATGAATAGATTGAAAGTGAAAGGCTGGAAAAAGATTTTTGATGCAAATAGTAACCACATAGCAGCACTATTCACCATAGCCCAAATGTGGAAGCAACCCAAGTGTCCCTCAGTAGATGAATGGATAAAAAATATGTGGCATATCCATACAATGGAATATTACTCATCCCTAAAAAGGAAGGAAATTCTGAAACATGCTACAACATGGATGAACCTTGAGGACATCATGCTAAGCAAACTGAGCCAGTCACAAAAATACAACTACTGTATGATTTCACTTGTATAAGATTCCTTGAGTTGTCAAATTGAAAGAGACACAAAGTAGAATGATAGTTGCCAGGGACTGAGGGGAAAGGTGGAATGGTGAGTTATTGTTTAATGGGCTCAGAGTTTCAGTTTTGTAAAATAAAAAGAGTTCCAGGAGGAACTCTTGGAAGGTGATAATGGTTGCACAACGATATGAAAGCACTTAATAGTACTAAATGTGCACTTCAAGATGGGTAAAGTGGTAAATTTTATGTTTTGTATATTTTACCACAATTTTTTAAAAAGATAAAATTAAAGAGACACCACTATCAAGCTGAGAGAGAAATGGTTTATGTGGAGAGGATAATAAGCCAATCAGGGAAAATGGCAAGGAAATGATGGAATATCCCAGCAAATTGTTTTTTTTTTTTCTAAATCCTCATTTACTCACTCTTGTTCTGAATTTGAAGAATAAACTTGATCCATCTGGCCAAAGGAACATTCCATGAAATGTGGATACCAATCCTTAGGGCAAATTAGTGTTTGTGGTGATGAAATTATTTCAAAAACTTTTAAAGGATTTTCTCATATTATTTAGAGTGCTTTAGATTTTTTTTCTCTCTCTCTCTCTCTCTGTGTGTGTGTGTGTGTGTGTGTGTGTGTGTATGTGGGAAGAACTTAAGAACATCTAAGAAATTTAAGAGATTATTCTGTTTTCTCGACCAATCTAGCTTGATAACATTTTTGTTTTCTTTTGAAGTATTTAATTTTCACGATATGAATAGGTAGCATTTTTTCTCTTTTTTGATGATAAAATAACACCTTTCCATTGTTAACATGTGTTTTTAGTGTTTAAAACATGCAAGCCAGTGCATCCAAACTTAACAGTTTCTGGTATGTTTTAAATCTAATTAGATCATTGTAAGACTCAAGGTAAAATATGAAAAACATAAATTATTGAATAATAAAAGTATGAATTTAGTTCTTAGTTACAAATCTAATTTTGACAAAAAAATCTTACACAGTGGAAGTCTGTAAAATAAAACATGGAGCTGTGTATAATGTGCAAGAAATTCACTTTAGGTGAATCTTAAAGGTGCTGAACTTCGGGTACTTCAATTAAATAATCATTACAATACTTCATTTACAGAAATACACAGCTGCTGGGTCTGCATGAAAAATAAAATGGAGGTTTCTACACATGTCTGAACAGAAAATAAAGCACCAATGAGTTTTTTTTTAGGAGAGGAAAAAAATCGGTTGTTCTTTATAAGTAAAAAATATGTAAGAAAAAAACCCTATTGTGAATATGGTCATAACGGACCATTTGCCAAACAACTGGCACTTCTCCTTGTTTAGCCTTCACCTGATATCTCAGAAACAAAGCTGAATCAAGGACTTGCTGCTCGAAACTGTCATTATGACCATTATAATCCAATTAATCATGCTGTGTTTGCCTTGCTTTTGAGAGCTAAGGTACCATTTTCTAAGGTTAAAAGGAAGGCATCTTCTGTGGGGGTAAAAATATTCAATGATAATTTGCTGTGCAGTAAAAATAGAGATGAACCCATTAGACAACCACACACAGTCACTGTAACAGCCAGTCCTTCCCCGAGTTAACTAAGCACCAAAATAAAGTTAGCTTTCAGTATAGAGAAAGTGCACAAAAACATATAAATTCTCAATTTGTATTGCACACATCCTCAATTAGAAAAAGGAAACTAAATGATAAAATTATAAAAGATAATATTTGGTTTGTGCAAAAGTTATTGTGGTTTTTGCCATTGAAAGTAATGACAAAATATAATATAAATATATTTTGTCATAAATATCTATATGACACCAAAAAAAATGGAAGAATATGAATGTTTACCACTGAAAGATGGTGGAGATAGGAGTAAAAGGCAACTGATGTGTACACAGTCACTCATTTTACCAAGTGTTTATTGATTGCCTTGTATGTGCCAGGCATATTTTGGGTTGGGGATACTATATAAACAAAACAGACATGGATCCTGCCCTCAAAGCATTTGAAAATGACCTCAAATTCCTCCCATCAAAACCATCTAGTAGACATTGAAGACCCCTCTGCAATATCCGCATTAAGTGGTTGTTACAAAAACTGTGGATTAGCTTGCTCAACATCCATTCCAATTCATTCCTTCAAAAACATTTATGTTCCAGGTTCTAGTCACCAGGCACTGTTTGGAAAATTGTTAGGAATTACAGCAATGAGTAAAACAGTTTAAAAAAATAACTTTCCTACTGTACAGTTAATGATGAAAAGTTAAAGACTCTCTTGCGAGCTAGAGTTCTAGACTTGATTTAATTTCTACTGATCAGAGACACTCACATGAGACTTCAATTTGGAACCGAATTAAGTAGGAATAGGTGGGCAGAGAATGAGGCATCCCTTGGCTGGTGCAGTTCATGGCAGAGGCCATGTCATTTCAGGGGCTAGAGGTGTTCCCAAAGTTCAGCTAAGGATTGACCCAGCTTCCCTTACAGTAATTTTATATGGTTAATACCTGGTATAAATTCCTTTCACTGAAACCAGTTAGAGCTCTTTCTGTTGCCTGCAGCTGACCACAATGGATGTGCCGTTTCTGACCCAATGCTTGTGCCTACTGTTTAGCAGAAATCTCTCTCTGCTGCTAGGATGGTGTGTGAATCTAAAATACTGACGATTTTTTGTGTGATTACAACATACACAAGAAACAAAAGATGGCAAAAGCTACAATTCCATTGCTTTTTTAACATTCTCTCTTTCCAATAATGAGCCAAATGTGTGTATATATATATATATTTTTTAATCTAGACGTTATGCTAATTTGTCCTATCAGTTTTAACTTCCCTGCTATAAACTGCATGAGCCTGTTGAATTTCTACATTGAACTCCAATTTTCACAACATAAACATTTTGCCCAACTGGATAAGAAGTTACAGAAAATATGAATATTCGACAAGTGCATGCCCTGAGGTCAGCAATCTATATCTAAATAGTGCTGGACACATAATTTAGATGACAGGAAAACATGGATTTGCCATATAAACAAAAATATTTCTAAGCTTCAAAGGTTATTAAGAAGGTAATGCTAATAGCTTGGTTGGAAAACTGATACGCTTATTTCAGGAAGTCTGTATTTCCCAGCATAAAATGTTCCTTTGAGTCTAAAGTCAAAATAACATCATGCAGGTGTTTACAATTTAATCACAGCAAACTCTGTTCATAAAGAGATGAGATAGTTTAATCACACACTAGGCTGTGATATGCTCATTGAAATTGGACACAATTTTAAATATCAGATATGATACTTGATTTTGGAAAACACTTGGAAAATGGGCCAAGAATGTTTCTCCAGTGGAAATAAGAAAGGTGGCATGCAAATGTTTAAGAATCTTTTAAGGTTACTGAAGAATAATTGTTAATCACATGATTTGATAAATTGAGACAGAAGATTCTACTTTGTAGGTACTATAAAATGGGATGGGTTAATTGCTTTCAGAGAGCATTTAGAAGTGGTTCTGCATAAGAGTAAAAAAATGAATTAGACAGTTTATTTTGATTTGCAACTCTATAAAACATTTAGGAAATAAAACCATCTTGAACCATTTGGCAGGAAGTAATGTTTTCCTTCTTGAACTCCCAACTTACTTTGTAAATTTTTTCATGACTCTATCATGGTCTTCCTAGGATTATCGTATTCATGTAAATATCTGTTCTTTTTCCATAAGCCAATAAGCCTCTCAAAGGCAGGTATCATCTTAACACCTAGATGGTTCTTGACAACACAGCCTTGCAAAGCATGTGTCACTAAATATTGGTTGATAAAGATAAAATCATCTTTGTGTAGATTAAATTCTTACTTTAATTCCTAAAGTACAAAATTTCTACTTTCCAGCAGGGCAGCAAAGTCAGCAGGAATGCTGGGCAGGATTGTCCATGTCTCCAAATTGTGAAATATCCAGTCCCCCAGTTGGCCTTCCTGGAAGAATCCTGGGGGTCTTAGAGCCCCAGCACTCTGATCCCTCATTGAGTAGGCAAAGCCTCAACAATTCTGGGGTTCATGTTTGCATCTGTCAAGTGTGCATGTGTTGAACTCATGATAGGCACTGTAGAAAGCAAGGCTGTCATGTGAACGTGGGAACACACCACGGGTGCTGGGGACATGGTGAAGGGACATTGTGTGATCAATCATAGCATCCAGGTTTAAATTTCACACACACCCCCAAAACACTGTTCAGGTCATAGAAACCATAGCTGAAGGGTTGCCAGATTTTCACTTCTAAAAAGCAACCTAGACAAATATAATCTCATGTCCTTACACAGGAGAAGACGGAGGTGATACCTGTGAGAACAGCGGGCAGAGTTAACCAGTGGGACTTGGGTGCTGAAGTAGGAGGACAAGTGAGCTGGGTCCCTGAAGAGAAGGGCTACATAGAGCAGAGGGCATGGATGAAGGCGAGGATGAGGGGCTAGGACTAGGAGGTGCCTCAGCTTCCTTACATCTAATGCAAGGATACTAACACTACCTTCCTCACAGGGACAGTGTTATGACTAACAGAGATAAAACCTTTAAGGTACTCAGTACAGTGCTCAATTAATGCCATTGAATTTATTTTTATTTTTATTTTTATTTTTATTTTTTTAGACTGAGTTTCACTCTTGTTGACCAGGCTGGAGTTCAATGTCGCAATCTCGGCTCACTGCAACCTCCGCCTCCCGGGTTGAAGTGATTTTCCTGCCTCAGCCTCCTAAGTAGCTGGGATTACAGGAAAGCACCACCACACCAGCTAATTTTGTGTTTTTAGAAGAGACGGTGTTTCACTTTGTTGGCCAGGCTGGTCTTGAACTCCAGACCTCAGGTGATCCACCGACCTCGGCCTCCCAAATTTCTGGGATTACAGACGTGAGCCACCACGCCTGGACACTGAATGTTATATAATGTTCTTGAAAATTTTTAATGTTATATATAATGTGTGTTGTTTATATGCACATATATGTATAATTTATGTTATTCTCTGTTGTATTTCTTAGAATTGCATCCCATGGTCTCTCTCAATCAATACTCTTTCTCTGATGGAGACACAAGAGATATGTCGCTCTTACCTTTGCTTCCTCAAAAGATCAAGAATGAGGCCAGGTGCAGTGGCTCATGCCTGTAATCCCAGCACTTTGGGATACCAAGGCAGGTGGATCACCTAAGGTCAGGAGTTTGAGACCAGCCTGGCCAACATGGGGAAACCCCATCTCTACTAAAAATACAAAAAAAAAAAAAAAAAAAAAAGATTAGATGGGCATGGTGGCGTGTACCTGTAACCCCAGCTACTCGGGAGGCTGAAGCAGGAGAATTGCTTGAACCCTGGAGGTGGAGGTTGCAGCGAGCCAAGATCGCACCACTGCACTCCAGCCTGGGTGACAGAGTGAGGCTCCATCTAAAAATAAAAACAAATAAATAAATTTTAAAAAAAGATTAAGAATGAAAATTGAATTGGCTGGGTGCGGTGGCTCACGCCTGTAATCCCAGCACTTTGGGAGGCCGAGGTGGGCGGATCACCTGAGGTCAGGAGTTCCAGACCAGCCTGGCCAACATGGTGAAACCCAATCTTTATTACAAATACAAAAATTAGGCGGGCGAAGTGGTGGGCGCCTATAACCCCAGCTACTTGGGAGGCTGAGGCAAGAGAATTGCTGAAACCTGGAAGGTGGAGGTTGCAGTGAGCCGAGATCATGCCATTGCACTCCAGCCTGGGCAACGAAAGCGAGACTCCCATCTCAAAAAAAAAAAAAAAAAGAATGAAAATTACCCACTTCAGAATGTTTCTCATTTTTGGGATCTGAATTACCATCTTCTACTGACTTATATTTTCAGGCTGCATCCACTTCTTAGGGACAATGTGATTTTTAAGTTGCCTCCCTGCTGTGTAATGTGGTACTTCCTCTCTTTTATGCTTGAAGCAGCCTCACTTCGGTTCTAGTTTTTGAAATTTGATTAAGTCTTATTCATTTTCACCATGCTCTTAATGATTTTATTGATTTTAGTTATATTCCTTATTCACGTTCATTTCTTTCATTCAGAAAGTCCTGTTATCCTGAATAAATCCAGTCTATAATTGTGGTCATTCAGTTCTCTTTTGCTAGATCTTCTTTACCTCTACTCTGTTCATCACAGGGGAGTCCCGCACTGACTCCAAATCCATGAATGAAAGAGATGTCCATAACACCATAGAAATTGTCTACACACTGTTATTTCAAATAGAGGAAGCACTCACAATCCCATCACCATTTCACAACAACTACTTTCATTGTCTACAAGCACTTTTAGGGGGCTGTTTGTTTGTTTGCTTTTTGAGATGGGATCCCACTATGTTGCCCAGGCTGCTTTCAAACCGCTGGGGTCAAGCCTTCTTAGGTATCTGGAACTACAAACGCACACTACTGTGCCTGGCCTGCACTTTAAAAAATAATAATAATAACAAAGTCTATGTAAAGTAATTACAAACATGGCCAAAGAAACACTGACCTTAAGCATATTGTCTCTGAACCTGGGTATGTTCGAAGTCATTTTCAATGCACAGCAAGTGGTATGATCAATCTACCTTTAGGTTTCATGTAAATTTGTTTTACTTTTGACAGCTAAACTTGGAGAAATGATGCTTCAAGCATCACAACAGCATTGACTGACAGCTCCCTAAGTGTTGTATCTTTTATAGCAAACATAATTGACAGCTCATAGCTAAAGAGCTGCATATGTGTATGGGTTTGGTCCACGCTGAGCACAGTGAAAAAAAATCAAAGAAGATACTTGCTGTATTTGTTTTTTATTAAGATTCAATTAACATGGTAAAATATATGCATCTTGGGATAGATTTACTTGTAGGCTAGGACAGGTTCCATTTTGAATAGTATAGAAGCTTAATATATAGCAATTATATACTAAAATTACCTCTAATAAATACTTTTAAATTTCAGTGAAATTTACATTATTCATTTTCTTACCCCGTATATATTTATTTAGCTGGGAGTGGTCTAGATCAGCAGTTCCCAACCTTTTTGGCACTAGGAACCGGTTTCATGGAAGACAATTTTTCCACCAATGGTGTTTGGCGGAAGGTTTCAGGATGAAACTGTTCCACTTCAGATCATCGGGCATTAGTTAGATTCTCATAAGGAGCACGCAACCCAGGTCCCTCGCATATGCAGTTCACAATAGGGTTCTCACTCCCATGAGAATCTAATGCCACCACTGATCTGATAGGAGGCAAAGCTCAGGCAGTAACGCTGGCTCATCTGCCACTGACCCACTTCTGTGTGGCCCGATTCCTGATAGGCCATGGACCAGTACTGGTCCATGGCCCAGGGGTTGGGGACCTCCGGCCTAGATAATTAGAGAGTTTTCAAGCTGTAGATTTAAATACCACTCAAGCTATCTTTTGTGGGTATCTTGCTGTGAGGATTGAGTTTAAAAATCTGGCCATTTTAAAAACAAGAATTCTGCAATTCCATTTCTAGGTATATACCCCAAAGAACAGAAAGCAGGGGCTTGAACGGATATTTGTACATCTATGTTCATAGCAGCATAACTCGTAATAGCCAAAAGGTGGAAACAACCCCAGTGACTATCAGTGGATGAATGAGTAGACAAATGTGTATATCTATACAATGGAATATTACTCAGGCTTCAAAAGGAAGAAAATTCTGACAAATGCTACAACATGGATGAACCTTGAAAACATTGTGCTAAAAAGAACAAAGCTGGAGGCATCACATTACCTGACTTCAAACTACACTGTAAGGCTACAGTAACCAAAACAACATAGTACTGGTACAAAAACAGACACATAGATCAATGGAACAGAATAGAAAACCCAGAAATGAAACCACACACCTACAATTATCTGATCTTCAACAAAGCTGACAAAAATAAGCAATGGAGAAAGGAATCCCTATTCAAGAAATGGTGCTGGGTTAACTGGCTAGCCATATGCAGAAGAATAAAATTGGACTCCTACCTTTCACCATATAAAAAATTAACTCAAGAGGGATTAAAGATTTAAGTGTAAGACCTCAAACTATAAAAATCCTAGAAGAAAATCTAGAAAATACCATTTTGGACATTGGCCTTAGATAAGAATTTATCTCTAAGTCCTCAAAAGCAATTGCACCAAAGCAAAAATTGACAAGTAGGACCTAATTAAACTAAAGAGCTTCTGTACAGCAAAATAAACTATCAACAGAGTAAACAGACAATTTACAGAATGGGTAAAATTTTCACAAACTGCACTTGACAAAGGACTAATATCCAAAATTTATAAGAAACATATTTCAGCAAGCAAAAAACAAATAACCACATTAAAAAGTGGGCAAAAGCATAACAGGCGCTTCCCAGAAGAAGACATACAACTGGTCAACAAATATATGAAAAAGTGCTCAACATCACTAATCATCAGAGAAATGCAAATCAAAATGACAATGAGATACCATCTCATGCCAGTCAGAATGGCTATTATTAAAAACTCAAAAAATAACAGATGTTGGTGAGGCCGCAGAGAAAAGGGAATGCTTATAACCTGTTGGTGGGAATGTAAATTTGTTTAGCCACTGTGGAAAGTAGTTTAGAGATTTCTCAAAGAACTGAAAATAGAACTATAATCTGACCCAGCACTCCCATTACCGGGTATATGTCAAAAGGAAAAGAAATCATTCTACCAAAAAGACAGTATGTTAATTGCAGTACTTTTTACAATAGCAAAGACATGGAATCAATCTGGATGCCTGCCAACAGTGGAGGGCTAAAGAAAATGTGGTACATATACACATGGAATACTATGCAGCCATAAAAGAGGAACAAAATCATGTCCTTTGCAGCACCATGGATGCAGCTGGAGGCCATTATCCTGAGTGAACTTACGCAGAAACAGAATACCAAATACTTCATGTTCTCACCTATAAGTAGAAGCTAAACGTTGGGTACACATGGACATAAAGTTGGGAACAACAGACACTGGGGACTACTAGAGGGAGGAAAGAGGGAAGGGGGTAAGGACTGAAAAATTACCTGTTAGGAACTATGCTCAGTGCCTGGGTGATGGGATTATTCATACCTCAGGCCTCAGCATCACATAATATATCCATATAACAAACCTGCACATGTACCACCAGATCTAAATAAAAGTTGGAAAAAAATGGCAAAATGAAAAAAAATTATGCATAGTGAAACAAGTCAGATACAAAAGGACAAATATCGTATATGATTCCACTTATATAAGGTACATAAAACAGTCAAACTCATAGAGACAGAAAGTAGAAGGTTGGGTGTCAGGGGCTAGAGAAAGGAGTTTGGGGAGTTAGTGTTTATTTATTATTTTATTATTGTTATTGTTTTTTTTTTTTTTTATCTGGATTTCGGCTCACTGCAACCTCCACCTCCTGGGTTCAAGCAATTCTCCTGCCTCAGCCTCCCGAGAAGCTGGGACTATAGGCACATGCCACCATGCTCAGCTAATTTTTGTATTTTTAGTAGAGATGGGGATTCACCACTTTGACCAGGCTGGTCTCGAACTCCTGACCTCAGGTTATCCGCCCGCCTCAGCCTCCAGAAGTGCTGGGATTACAGGCGTGAGCCACCATGCCCAGCCGGGAGTTAGTGTTTAATAGGTACAGAGTTGCAGTTTGGGAGAATGGAAAAATTCTGGAAATAGATGGTGGCAATGCTTCTACAACAAAGTGAAGGTACTTAACGCCACTGAATTGTATACTCAAAAATGGTTAAAATGGTAAATACTATGTTATATATTTTTATCACAGTAATAATAATAAAAAGTGTACAGGAATCTGCCAGATGAACAAGATGGAAAAGAACATTGCCAGTGAATTAAATATAATGAAATCTGACCTATTAATAAATTAAATATTGTAAACTAAAACAAACAAACCAAAATAAGAATCTTGAATTATTCAAAGGGCTTTGTGCTGGGTCTCACATCCAGAAACAATATGTTTTTATAGTGACCCAAAAATTTGCATTGCTAACAAGTTCCCAGGTATACAAGTTATCTATTGCTGCATAACAAATTGTCCCACATTTTAGAGGCTGACATGGTTCAGATCTGTGTCCGTCCCTGCCCAAATCTCATGTTGCATTGTTATCTCCAATGTTGGAAGTGGGCCTGGTAAAAGGCGACTGGATCATGAGAACAGATTTCTCACAAATGGTTTAGGACCATGAACTTGGTACTGTTCTCACAATAGCGAGTGAGTTCTCAGGAGATCTGGCGGTTTAAACGTGTGTGGCATCTTCCTACTCTCTGTCTTCCTCCTGCTCTGGGTGTCTGTTCCGCCTTCACCTTCTGCCATGATTCTCAGTTTTCTGAGGCCTCCCCAGAAGCCAAGCAGATGCCAGCATCATGCTTCCTGTACAACCTGAGGAACCATGAGCCAATTAGGCTTCTTTTCTTTATAAATTACTCAGTCTCAGGTATTTCTTTATAGCAATGCAAGAACAGCCTAATACAGTGGCTTAAAACAATGTTAATTATCTCACAGTTTCTGTGGTCCAAGTGCCTGAAATCAGTGGTTCTGGCTCAGGATCTCTCACAAGGTGGCAAGCAAGATGTTGACAGAGGCTGCAGTCACAGAAATCTGTGGCTGGGGGACCCACTTCCGAGATGGCTTATTGACATGGCTGTCAGCAAAAGGTTTGAATCCTCACTAGGTAGGCCTCTCATAGGGCTGTCTCGGGCATGACATCTGAGTTCTCCCAGAGTAGTTCCTTCAGCAGAGAAAGAGAGCAAGCAGGAAGCCACAGAACTTTTTGTGACTAGTATCCAAAGTTATACACCAAGACTTCCACTTTCTTCTGTTTTTCAGAGACAGGTTGTTAAATTCAGCTCATGCTCAGGAAAAAAGGTTCTACCTTTTGAAGAGAGAAATATCAAAGAAATTGGTGGATGTAAGAGTTAAAGACAGAGGAAAAGTGGCTCAACAGTCAAAGACAGGTTTATTCTGGAGAATAAACCTGAGAGGGGCTTCTCGCCAGTTTTGATCAGGCATACTCTCTCTTACAGACTAAATGTATTTAAGGGTTCAGGCAGAGAGCTTATCACAGGTTGGAATGTTGCTGTGTGGAGGAGAAGTTTATTGTGGGGTTGGAATGTCTCTGGTCGGAGGGGAGGTTATCTTGGAGCTGACATCTCTCCGACTGGAGGGGAGGTTATTTCAGGGCTGGCATGTCTCTGGTCGGGGAGGGGTTTATTTTAGGGTTGGAATGTTTCTGGTTGGAGATGTCATTTGTGGTTTATGGTCATGCTCACATTAGCTATTAGACTGATGCCCTTTGGGTTGGATTTAGGTGGTTTTTGATCAAGTGGAACTTTAAAATGGCCGTGCTTGTCGAAGATGGCAATGATCCTGCTCTGTCAGTGGACTTTTAAAGCCCATACACTAGATGTATTCCTGAGTCTGCTGTAACAAAGTACCATACACTAAATGGTTTAAACAACAGAGATTTATTGTCTCACATTTCTAGAGGCTAGAGAGCCAAGATCAAGATATCAACAGGATAGATTTCCCGTGAGGCCTGTGAGAGAGAATCTGTTCCAGGTCTCTTTCCCAGCTTATGGTAGCCTTGAGTGATTCTTTGCTTGAGGTTGGCCATCTTTTTCCTGTATCTTCACATTGCTTTCCCTCTCTATGTGTTTGACTTTGTGCCCAAATTTCCTTTTTTGTAAGGATGTGTCCTATTGAATTAGGGCTCATCCTAATCACTCTATATAACATAATTATTTCTGTAAAGACCTTATGTCCAAGTCAAGTCACATTAGGAGGTATAGCAGGTGGGACTCTACCATCTTTTTGTTGGACACAGTTTAACCAGGTAATGCTGATGCTCCTGCTCTGGGAACCACCCTTTGAGAATCACTGGTCTAATCTAACTCCCTGATTACACTGGTGAGAAATGTAGGGTTCCTCTAAGCTAAATGACATGCAAATGTCAGAGTGATTCTGTGGCAGGGTCAGATGAGAACCCTTATTTCTTGGTCCACATTTAAGGCACTTTTCATAAACCACTCAGTGTTTGGTAATCTTTGACCCAATGTTCTCTGAAGATCTCACTTGTCTGTGGAAACCAGTAAGTCTTTGTGTTTTTTTCCTAAGCTTAGATTTTTGTATTGATCCCCAAAGTTCTGCAGCTCCAGGGACACTTTTCAGGAATCCTGTAATGCAGGGCAGAGCAAGGGCATATCAATTTTTTTGAGGACTACATCATTTAGCTATGCTCACTAGGTAGGAAGAGGGGAGGAGGATGGGGAAGAGGTGATAAAGGAGACAGGAATAAGGAAATAAGGTATGAGGAACACAGGAGAAAGAAATTACAATTGTGCCAATTTACATTGGTGCCACAGCCTGCCATACCTTTCAGTGTGAGTCAGAGACAGATGCAAGGTGAAAAACAACTCTTCCTGTCAGAAGTATATAAAACAAGTATGTAGCATTTCAAGAATAATGGTAAGTTGCACACTTATGCATCCACCCGTCATCTAAAGATAAAAAACATTGGCACCTCCTGTACCCTTCTGGAGGCATTCTTCTCCCTTCTCCCAGAGGTATTTACTACCCTGGATTTTGTGTTTATCATTGTCTTGCTTTTCTTTACAGTTTTACTATGTAGGGATAAACCCTTAAACAATATCTTGCTTAGTTTTGCCTATTTTTTGTAAATGGAATCCTACTGTGGCTATGCATATGTGACTTCCTATCTTTTGCTCTACCTCAACCATATTCATATGTATAGTTAAGGTTCATTCATTGCCATTGCTGTATGGTGCTCCTTTATCCATCCATCCTCCTATCAACAGACAAGTTATTTTTGTTGTTACCAAAAAAAAATATTGCTATGAACATCCTAATACATGTCTCCTGATGCACTGTGCAAGACCTTCTGCAGGGTATATATCTAGGAATGTAATCGATGAATTGTTGGGTGTGCTCATCTTAAGTTGAATAGGTTACTAGTTATGTGGTTGATTTCATGAGAGTTGTACCAATTTACACTAGTATCAGCAGCATCTAATAGCTCCTGCTACCCCACATCTCAACAACACTTGGTGTTAGTACAACATTTTGATTTTCCTGATGTTCATTTAACAAGCTGACTTTAGAACAAAACCCTCACATTAGACATGACCCCACTATATTGGATTTTTAGGACCTAGGATTCCCGATGCCTACAATAGGTGCTCCATAAGTGAGAACAAAACGAAAAGAATCTAAGCTTTAGCCATTTGGTAAAGTACATTTTTTTTCTTTTCTTTCTTTTTTTTTTGAGACAGAGTCTCGCTCTGTCGTCCAGGCTGGAGTGCAGTGGTGCGATCTCGGCTCTCTGCAACCTCCGCCTCCCGGGCTCAAGTGATTCTCCTGCCTCAGTCTCCTGAGAAGCTGGGATTACAAGTATGTGCCACCGCTCCCAGCTAATTTTTGTATTTGTAGTAGAGACGGGGTTTCACCATGTTGCCCAGGCTGGTCTTGATCTCCTGACCTCAGGTGATCCACCTGCCTCAGCCTCCCAAAGTGCTGGGATTACAGGCATGAGCCACCACGCCTGGCCCCCTTTTTTCATATTTTAAAGATTAATCAGCACACTTCAATCTTTCCTATGTCTCCAAATTATGAACCTAATGTGAACACATAGCAGTGCATTTGTTCCCAAATTCAAAGGTTACACAGGAAATTTAATGCAGGAGTACAAGTATTGCTCCCAGAGGTGGAAAATATACTACGTTTGCTTTACTGTACGATCATGCATTCTGAGAAATGTGTCATTAGGTGATTTTGTCACTGTGCAAACATCATTGAGTGTAGCCACACAAATCTCAGTGGTGTAGCCTTCTATACATCTTGGCTGTATGGTACAGCCTATTGTTCCCAGGCTACAAATCTGCACAGCATGTTACCGGAATATTGTAGGCAGCTGTAACTCAATGGTAAGTAAATGTGTATCTAAACATAGAAAAGGTACAGTAAAAATACTGTATAAAAGGTAAAAATGGTACATTTGCATAGGACACTTACCATGGACAGAGCTTGCAGGGCTGTAAGTTGGTCTGGGTGAGTCAGTGAGTGAGTGGTAAGTGAATGTGAGGGCCTAGAACATTACTGTTTACTACTGTAGACTTTACAAACACAATACACTTAGGCTACAATAAATTTATTAAAAAATTACCTTTCTTCAATAAGAAATTCACCTTAGCTTATTTTAACTTTATAAACTTTTTGATATTTTTAAAGTTTTTAACTCTTTTGTAATAATACTTAGCTTAAAACATAAGCACACTGTACAGGTGTACAAAAGCATTTTCTTTCTTTATATTCGTTTTCTTATTCCTTATTCTATAAGACTTTTTCATTCTTTAATTTTTTTTTAGCTTGTTAAACATGTCTGTTAAAAACAAAGACACAAACACACACATTATCCTATACAGGGTCAGGATCACCAACATCACTATCTTTTACCTCCACAGTGTGTCCCACTGGAAGGTCTTCAGGAGCAATAAGACGTATGGAGCTCCTATGACAATAATGCCTTCTGGAATATCTCCTGAAGGATCTACCTGAGTTTGTTTTACAGTTAACTTTTTCTTTTTATAAGTAGAAGCAGTAGACTCCAAATTAACAATAAAAACTATGAGGTATAGCCTGGTAAATAAATAAACCAGTAACATAGTTCATTATCATGTATTATGTATTATACATAATTGTATGTCCTTTAATAGGACTGGCAGTGCATAGATTTGTTTACACTATCATCGCGACAAATGGGTAAGCAATGCGTTGTACTATTGTAGCAGGATGAGCCGCAGACAACAACCCCTCAGACACCGAGTTGTAGAAGGAAAGGGCTTTATTCAGCTGGGAGCATTGGCAGACTCACGTCTCCAAAAACCAAGCTCCCCAAGCGAGCAATTTCTGTCCCTTTTAAGGGCTTACAACTCTAAGGGGATCCATATCAGAGGGTCATGATCGATTGAGCAAGCAGGGGGTACCTGAGTGGGGGCTGCATGCACTGGTAATCAGAATGGAACATAACAGGACAGGGATTTTCACAATGCTTTTCCATACAATGTTTGAAATCTACAGATAACACAAGCAGTTAGGTCAGGGGTTGATTTTTAACTACCAGGCCCAGGGCCCAGTGCTGGGCTATCTCCCTGTGGATTCCATTTCTGCCTTTTAGTTTGTACTTCTTTCTTTGGAGGGAGAAATGGGGCATAAGACAATATGAGGGGTGGTATCCTCCCTTACTATGATGTCTTGATGGCTATAAGGTCATTAGGAGATAGGAACTTTTTAGCTCTATTATAATTTTATGGGACCACTGTCTTATGTGAAGGTCACTGTTGACCGAAACTGCATAATGCAGTGCATGACTGCATGCTAGTAAAGGACTGTGACATGAATTTCAAAAAAGGGAAAAATCTCCACCACTCCTAACCTTAATTTTAGTACTTAGTTCTTATATGGTCCAATATCAATAATTTTTTAATAGTATAAATCCTGCTTCCACATACTCACTGTTTTCTACTTGGTTAAATTTCCACAATTAAGATTTTAAAAAATTTTTAAATAATCTCACAATGTGTAGGAACTGCTGTTTAAAGACATCTATTTTAATGAGCTATAAAGTCTTGGTTCTCTGCTGCAAGCGGTGGCTCACGTCTGTAATCCTAGCACTTTGGGAGACCAAGGCGGGCAGATCACCTGAGGTCAGGAGTTCAAGACCAGCCTGGCCAACACGGCGAAACCCTGTCTCTACTAAAAACACAAAAATTAGCTGGGCATGGTGGTGGGCACCTATAATCCCAGCTACTCGGGAGGCTGAGGCAGGAGAATCGCTTGAACCCGGGAGGCAGAAGGTGCAGTGAGCCGAGATCACATCACTGCACTGCAGCCTGGACGACAAGAGCGAACTTCCATCTCAAAATAAATAAAATAAATAAATAAATAAAGTCTTGATTCCCAAATGCTAGTTTATCCATCCGTTGACAAAAAGAGTCGAACTCTGTAAAATATTTTGAAGAGATTTATTCTGAGACAAATATGAGTGATCATGGCCCATGACACAGTCCTCAGCAGGTCCTGAGAATTTGTGCCCAAGGTGGTCAGGGCGCAACTTGATTTTATACATTTTAGGGAGGCATGAGACATCAATCAAACACATTTAAGAAATACATTGGTTTGGTCCAGAAAGACCTGGGACTGATAGAAAGGGAATGTTCAGTTTAAGATAAAGATTGTGGAGACCAAAGTTCTCTGTAAGTCTTACAGTGGCTGCCCTTAGAGACAATGGATGACAAATGTTTCCTATTCAGATCTTAGTTAATCTCTTTAGGATTGGGAGGGTCTGGAAGAAAAAGATCTAGCTATGTTAATACAGATTCTTTACAGATGCATATCCCACCCCTCCAAGGACAGCTTTGCAGGGCCATTTCAAGATATGGCAAAGAAACATGTTTTGGGGTAAAATATTTTGATTTTCTTCCTTGTCTTGTAATGTTATGCCAGAGTCAGGTTGGAAAGTAAGTCACCATATATAGGGTTAAGTAAAACCCATCTAATAAGAATTTATGATTTGTAGGGCATGACTCCCCAAATCCTGTAGATAGGAATCTTGGGCAAGATAAAAAAATCAGAGTTTAGTCCTCCGACCTCTGCCAATTTCTCAAGATATCTTTTGCTAGTCTAAAAGCTAATAACAAAAAGAACAACAGGATGAGCATTTTATACAAGTAAATGTATTCCATTTAAAAGATTTTTCTTTATTGTGAAATTCTGCCATTCTACCTTTTTAATGCTAAAAAGTTCTGTTTCGTGAAATGATGGTGATAGTAGACGGCATTTATTTGCTTGACAACTTTGTATGATCTCAGATTTTCTGTGTGTTTTACTTTTACTGACCCTTCAAATCTAAGTGTGTGTAAACCCTTTTAAAGTGCGTTACTACATCATTTAGTATGTGTTTCGTAGAAAGCAACCTGGGAGTTAACTGCCAGGAGCACGCAAGTTTCAGAAAGCAAGACATACTCATCTCTATTCAACAATTAATCAGTTCTGATTGGGTTTCAAGTAAGGCTTAGTACCAACGCTTAGGGAGGGGCGTGCAAAAACGAGAAAGGTAGTGTTTGACCTTACCGGTTTAAGGTTTATCCTGTGCATTATACAGTTAAGAAACAACGCAGGAGAGTGCCAGGGAACCGAGAGGGGCTTGACAGTTGCTGCAGGAGAGTCTTGACTTGGAACCAGACGAACGTGGAAAGTTAGAGGAGGGGAAAACCCCTACTAGGATAAGGCAGACAGGAATCAAGGCTTGGAGCGCATCTGGGGCCCCGGCCGCCCTGCCCAGGTGGAGGAAGAGCCGGCTCGAGGTGCAGCAAGGGGGCTGGGAAGGAAGGGCTGGCTAAAGCGCCACGTGGATGTGAGTGCCAAAGAGACTAGGAGAGCGTGGAAGTGAGTCCCGAAGAGACTGAGTTCAGGACGTGAAGAGAAAGAGGCCGAGAAAAACGACCCACCAGCGATCCTTCTTGAGGTCGACACCGAGCAGGGGTGGAGTCGGATACGCCCCGCGGACACCATGCACCCAATCAGCGACGAGCTGTCGCGGATCGCGGGACACGCCCCCTGATCCAAAGGCCCGAGAAGCTCTTGCACAGGACAGCCTCTGGAACCCCGCGCCATTAGCGCCTGCGCCGTCTCTAGGCCCCGCCCCCTCACCCCTCCGGTCCTGGAGCTCCCACAGCTAACATGGCGGCGCCCTGTGTGTCCTACGGCGGAGCAGTTTCGTACCGGCTTCTTCTCTGGGGTAGGGGTAGCCTCGCCCGGAAGCAAGGCCTCTGGAAAACCGCGGCCCCTGAGTTGCAAACAAATGTCAGATCCCAGGTAAGGCCTGGGAAGACTGGAAGCGGCTTACCTCTGCCGCGCGAGGATGTGGAGCCAGCGCGGACACCTTCCCCCAGCGTCTCGCGTGCCTTCAGGCAGGGACTCTAGGATCTTAGGTATTTAGTGGAGGTCTGAGGTTGGGGGGGAGGAGGTGGGTATTGGCGTGCAGTAGCCGCTCTAGAGGTTGTTACTTGTTTTTTTGCGGGGTGCAGCGAGGGGAACTTACCTGAAGGTAGAAGTGGAGCGACCTCCTCCTTCATTTGGCTGCTGAGCTAAGTAAGGGTCGGTGCCTAGGTCTGTGTTGGGTCCAGTCCTACCCTGCCCTGCTGTCTAGGGAGGAGGAGGGCCGCGCCAGAGAAGAATGATGGGAATTGGATTCCTGCAGGTGCCTGGAAGACAATGGAGAAAGTCACGTTGTGTAGAGGACAGTGACTTTTTGAAAGTGCCTTCAATATGCGCAATTTCTGGCTTCTTAATTTTCCCGAATCCCCCTCTATGGAAAGATGCAGGCCAGAACTTGTACGTTTCGTTTAATCCAGGGAGAAGTGGGGAGTCAACAGCTGGATGGCTGATGATGCCAGTTTACTGACATGCGATCTCAGAGCAGGAAAAAGATTTGAGAGGGAAGAAACGAGTTTAGTATGGGATTATGTTTTTAGGCATCTGGGATTTCCAGTAGGTCTACGGATAGTCAAGTGTATAGCTCAGGAGGAGAACTGATTTCGAAATGCCCTGTTACCTTGTAAATGGTAACTGAGGCCTTGTAAACAAATTAAATTACCTAGGGAGAGTGTACTGAGGAGTAGGCAGAGGGACAGGGCCCTGAAGGACAAATAAGAAATAAGAGGCCTCAAGAGATTGAGAATGAGGGACCAAAGAAGCAGGAGAGAAACCAGCCAGTGTGGTGTCATGGAAAACAGGTGAATGTTTCAAGGAGGGAGAGTGATAACAAGTACCAATTATTGCAGGAAAGTCAAATACCATACTTTAAAAACTATATTTAAAAAAAAAAACATCTTTTTGTATGTTCTTTCCTTTATATTTTAATCTAGATCAACCAGTCCATTCTATCTATTCATGTGGACATTTGTTTTTTTTTTTTTTCTTACTGGAAAATGTGCTAGAAATTTTTATTTTTTCATGCATCTCTTTGAGTATATCTTTGCTACATACGCATGATTATGAGAGGGACTATATCATACAGAGTATTTTTATTGTTGACATTTAATGTATGTATTGGGGGATGGCTAACTTTCTGTCCCTCCTGGTATCTATTCTTCTATGTTTTTTCCATGTTCTTATAATCATGCATAAACATACATGCACAGGTGTACTTTACAAAAAATGGTACCATATTTGATTGCATTTTACTTTCTGCTTTTCTCTTGTACATATGCAGTATATTGTAAAGTAGAAATCCTTCAGGGTCCCCTATTATGTTTTTAAAAGCATTTTTAACTGCTGCATACTATTCCATGATAAGAATATATCAAAGTTAATGTAACAATTGATGGACATTTGCTTTGTTTCTACTTTCTTTGCACTAATAAAGTTTCAGTAAACATCTGGTCTAGTTCTTAAGTACTGGTTTAGTAAAATGGATGAAGAATGATTTCTCCTGTTACTTTAATTTTCATCTCCTTGACCATTCTTGAAACAACCTCTTTCCCCCATATGGCAAATGTTTACTGAGCACTTTACCTGAGCCAGGCACTGTGAAGTAAACAATTTAAAGTCAAACAATTACAAGATAGTATCCACCCTTAGCACTCTTAAGGGATGGTCCTGAAATGGCTGAATCCCCAGATTCCTGAATACTACTACAGCATATATTTTACCACATTAAGTACAGCTCAGATATAACTGAAACACTTAGCTGACCCCCCTTTAGATTCTTATGATTGCATACATATACCTAAAGACATTGATAAAGCTTTTTTTTTTATCGTGGTGCAGAGCTTATCTGTCTTAAACATTAACATTTTTTCACTTCTGCCTCCAACATTAATAGATAGATTTCTCTTGGTAGCCCATGTTTTATAAAATAATAAAAATTTTAATCACTTAATGAGTGACAAAACACTATACCTGGTCTTTTGTTTGTTCCACTTTTAATTTCCTTAATTACAAAATCTCTTCAGAGGTTACAGAAAACTTGAAGGGTGTGGGAGAATAGAATAATAATAAAGTGCATTTCATGCAGAGTATTTTTGCATTTTGTTTATATATGTAAATGTATACTAGGTGGTGATATAAACAGTAAATATTACAATGGGTCACAGTTTAACAAGTTTGAGAAACACTGTTACAATAAGGAAAAAGAAGCGAGTTTTGTTAAGCTATTCCTAGGTTCTCAGTTGAGACCTTCACTAGCAGACTACCTCTTGCATAGCAATCTTGTGGTATGCATGTTTTGTATTAATGCCTCAATACAATTGCAAATGTCTGAGTGTCCCAAATTTGGGGCAGAAGAGGCAGTCTTATGAATGGCCAAACTTTTCAGATTGTATATCCATGAATATCAGGGATCTATGGTGTACTGTGATATTTACAGAGGTAAATACAGAAGAGCACAGAAGTAATATGCCTGAGTCAGACTAGAGTTGTTGACCAGGTAGAGGATTGTCATGGGCAGCTTCCCAGAGGAGGCAAAGGAAAATAGCGTCTTTAGCAGCAAATAGGAGTTATATGAAAACAGAAAGCTATTCTATTCAAGGAAGATATAATAGGTGCATAAGGGTATAGAGATGTACTGAGTAATAGTGGGCTTTGTCAGCAACAATTGGTTATAGCATAGGGTTTTGGTGAGAGAATGGTGCAGAGACAGGTCTGGAAAGTTTGGCAGGAATCAGTATGATCTGTTTTGCTATGCTAAGGTAGCTGAATTTTTTACCTCTCACAAATGAAAATAGTGTTAGCATTATTATGAGCAGTTGACAGTTTCCTTCCATGCTGTACTACAAAGGTTACCCATGAATTCATAAATCCTCTATCAATATAGCTAATATAGGAATGCTAATTTGGTTTTCTATAATATTTGTGATTTTTATAATAAGGAAAAACAAAAGACCAATTGCTATTTTGAAAAATATTTCTACAAAACACTAATAGGGTGTTTTCTTAATTATTCTCTACTACTGAACACTTTCCTAGTGCTTAAATATTCAGTTTTTGCCAAGCCAAGATGCCTTTGTTGATTTAGACCATCTGCCAGAGAAGTGATCAATGACATTAAATGGCTTGGCCCTTTATATTTTGGTTTCCACTGTAAACACATTCCTGTCTCTGTCTAAAGTATCTGTTTTTTTTTTTTTAATCTCTCATGCTTCTGGAGGTTATAATATCCTGTATTTATCACAGCATTCTATTGATCTGCTTTAGTAGGATCTTAATACATTTTTTTTGACAAATGGCTAAAAAACGCTTTGAAAAACAAATTGTATAATTGACTTGAATTTGTATCAGATGCTCTGTACAGCTCTGTAAATTAGTTATGCCCTACCCCGATAATTTTTGAATATATTTATTTTTAATCCCAGTTTATTAGCAACAGAAAAGCCCTTTGGTAGGATAAACTGTTCCCTTTGAGATCTAATCCTGTCCTTGTAAGGATAGAATTGAGTGTGTTCCTCATTGCTGTAATTAGGAAAAATACCTCTACATTAAAATTTACAGTCTTTATTTGGCAATTTATATGTTTCTTATATAATAAGAGCTTGATAATAAATGCTACTATCATTCTCACCTCTCTTTTCCTTGTAAAACAAGATAACTAAACTTTCTTGTACAATGCTTCATTGTAATTAGGATGATGAACGTATCAGTTATTTATTGCTACATAACAAATTATCCTAAAACCTAGCAGCTTAAACAACAGACATTTGTTATCTACAGTTTCTGTGGGTCAGGGTTCTCCAGGCACACTTTGTTGGGTCCTCTTGCTCAGGGTCTCTGGTAAGGCAAGAGTCCAGGTATTGGCCGGGGCTGCAGTCATCTCAAGGCTCCACTGTGGGTGGGGAGAGTCTGCTTCTAGGCTCACTCAGTGTTGTAGTTAGCAGGATTTAGATTCTTGCAGGCTGTCGGGCTGAAGGCCCCAGGTCCTTGCTGGCTGTTGGCCAGAGCCCTCCCTCAGCTCCTGCCACATGGGCCTCTAGGGCAACTCAGCACATCTGGCTTCCCTCAGGCTGATGAAGAAAAGGTAAGCAAGAGAGAAGAACAGCAGGTGGCAGATTCACTGGGAGCCATCTTGGAAGCTGCCTACAACAGTGGAAGACCCACATATACTTATTTTCTTGTTATCTAAGTGTCTCTCTCATGTATTTAGGTCTTTCTTCTATGGTTCTTATGTGTGGGCATATATGGGTACCTATGTGTGTGCACATGTGGGTACATCTGAACACCTGCTGTATCATTCTTTTTGTCAGATAGGATTATTAGCTTAAACAAAACTGCATCTTTACTATGTTTTGTTTTCTTATCTCATTATAGCAACATTCTCACTTTAACATCACTCATTTCTTCTTTACAATTATTTCTGTTAACATTTAATACAGAGCCTGGTCTATAATAATTGCTCAGATTTGTTAAATGAACTTGTAAAGTAGTTTATTTTTAGAATTTTATTCTGCAAAACCAAGCATATAAAAATAGAATAATATAATGAACTCCACAGATCCATCAACCAGCTTCAACAATTATTAATAATTTCCCAGTCTTGTTTTTATTTCTCCCCTCCCACCCCCCAGAGTCATTTAATGTAAACCCCAGACATTCTGTTATTTTACTTATAGGTACTTGAATATGCATCTCTAACATAAAGGTTTTTTTAAAAAAATAGATTCCTTGCCACCGCCATATCTAACAGAATGAACAGTAATTTCTTATCATCTATTACCTATTTCATGTTCAAATTTCCCTGAATGTCCCAACAGTAGCTTTTTGTATATAGTTGGTTTATTTTAATTGGGAGTTAAACAGGGTTTATGCGTTTTATTTGATTGGTAAGTATGTTAAGTGTCTTAATTTATAACAGATTATAGAATTAATGTAAATGGTAAATTTTGTTTAAGTAAGTGGATTTCTTATTTGTTTAACATAGTATCCGTTTCCCCTTCATAGTAGTATCCCAGTTTCCCCAGGAGGAATTAGTTCTTTTTCGCTGGTTATAGTTGAGAAGACCTAGCTATAGTCCCGAATAATCTGGGGCACCTGACTCAAAGTAATCCTCAGATGTTCCTCCTCCTGAGATCCTGAGCATAGAGGCAGGACAGTTGGAATACCGTTTTGTCTTAATGGACACATTCTGATTGAACCTGCATGGATAACTTTTAGCTGATAGAGATCCCTTGGACCCTGCCTGCTTTCCTTTCTTTTTTCTTTCCTTTTTTTTAGAATTTTTATTTATTTTTATGTTTTATTTTTTGAGACAAGAGTCTTGCTCTGTCACCCGGGCTGGAGTGTGCAGTGGTGCAATCTCGGCTCACTGCAACCTCCGCCTCCTGGGTTCAAGCAGTTCTCCTGCCTCAGCCTCCCAAGTAGCTGGGATTACAGGTGCCCACCACCACACCCAGCTGATTTTTATATTTTTAGTAGTGACAAGGTTTCACTTTGTTGGCCAGGCTGGTCTCAAACTCCTGAGCTTGTGATCGGCCTGCCTTGGCTTCCGGAAGTGCTGGGATTACAGGCGTGAGTCACCACGCCCGGCTGCAATTTTTTTTTTTTTTTCTAAGATGGAGTCTTGCTCTGTTGCCCAGGCTGGAGTGCAGCGGTGTGATTTCGGCTCACTGCAACCTCCGCCTTCTGGGTTCAAGTGAGTCTCCTGCCTCAGCCTCCCAAGTAGCTGGGATTATAGGTGCCTGACACCATGCCCAGCTAATTTTTGTATTTTTAGTAGAGATGGGGTTTCACCATGTTGGCCAGGCTAGTGTCGAACTCCTGACAGTTGATCCGCCCACTTCGGCCTCCCAAAGTGCTGGGATTACAGGCATGAGCCACTGCGCCTGGCTGCAAATTGTTCTTAACAGTGGCAAAGCAAATTCCCTTCAAGAATTCTTGGTGTTTTTAGCTAAAGATCTGTTTTTTTCACACTCTTAGCCTCACCTTATTTAATGGATTGTACCAATGAATAATGGACTCCTTTGAATGTAAATATTTTTGTGTGAATTCATTGCTGGAATAATTCTGGACTTTTAATAAACATATTCAATATCCTGCTACTGATGCTGTGATAACTTTGTAAATTTAATATTATAAATTTCCAGAATGCCATACTCTTAAGCAATGTGTAGAAATGTCTTTGAAAAAGATCCTAAGGACTTTTTATGAAAAATAGCAAATTAGGGCCATTTTTTTAAAGCCCTTTCTAAATGGACAACAATGAAAATGTTTATAAATATGTTTAAACCTCAATTATGTTAAAAGTAGGAAAGCCACCACCTTATGTCACAAACTCTGGAGACTATAGGCAGACACAATTTTAAATCAAGTGAAAAACCAAGTCTTCAATAATCGAGACTCTTTTGCTTGAGAAGATGCTAAAATGTTGTAGGAGCAAAAGGAACAGTGTGGAAGAGACAGCTGAAGAAAATACAAAGGGATATTTACCTAACAAAATGGAAGAATTATTTTACCACAGCTACTTAACACTGTCAAGGACATTTAAAAATCAGTTGAGTGAGGAGGAGCTCTATGAGATGGGATAAGACAAGAAGATATGATTAAAGGAAACTGTTGAGGTAAGAATTTTGAGGATAGACCAATGATATAAAAAGCTAAAAATTCATAGTGGCTGCAGTAAGCAGAATTGACACTGTAGAAAGAGGGAAAAAAACATGGAGTAAAGATTTCAAAATCATACAGAATGCAGAAAAGGGATAAGAAATAAGACTAAGAGAAGCTGATCTAAACTATGGAGAACAGAAGAACAGATAATTGCTGTGGCTGAAAAAGAGCTGAATAAGTCAGTAAGAATTCATTGGATATTTATTTTTGAAGTTGATAGTACATTTAAACATTTTATTCAGAGACACATGTATTGTCACTGGTAAAATGAGAGCAAGCTGTATATGGTCCAAATTGCCAGCTCAAAAGCCAAAAAAAAAAGAAAACCCAATTCTTTTTTTTTTTTCATATAGCAAAAGAAAGAAAATAGGAAGGAAGCATTAAAAAATGTAAAGATTAAATAAGATGAATGACAAGACCGAATAGCTGTTAAACCCCATGTAACTTGGGTATTCTCATCTACTAAAATCTCAGATTGGGTTAAAAAAACAAAACCTAAAAAAAATAGTCTAAAACTTAAATGAAAAAGATGGGCAGTGATATTCCAGGGAAATGTAAATAGGAGGTTGAAAGGGTTGCAATATTATGACCCAACAGAATTGAAGAAAAAAAATATTACATAGGAGTAGAAAACTTTGTAATGCTGAACGGTACAATCTACCCTAAGATGTAACTCTCTGGAACTAAATAGCACATTGAATATACCGATGAAACATACAAAAGAAACCAACCATAGGGAAATAAAATTGACAAAAGATTACAGACATTGTATGGATATAGATTCCTGTCTGGAATTATTCTCCTGGCTCACTAGTAATGAGAATTACCTCTAAGTATGAATGAATACTTAAAATTTTTTTCTCTAATTTCTTTGGGAGACAGAGTCTCCCTCTGTTGCCCAGGCTGGAGTGCAGTGGTGCGATCTTGGCTAACTGCAACCTCCGGCTCCCCGGTTCAAGCGATTCTCCTGCCTCAGCCTCCTGAATGACTGGTATTACAGGCGCACACCACCATGCCCTGCTAATTTTTGTAATTTTTAGTAGAGATGGGGTCTCACAATGTTGGCCAGGCTGGTCTCAAACTCCTGACCTCAAGTGATCCACCTGCCTTGGCCTCCCAAAGTGCTAGAATTACAGGCGTGAGCCACCGCACCCAGACATCTCTAATTTCTTTCTGACAGTTTTTCTGTCTATACTTTACAACCACTGCATCACAGTTCTTTGAATATGAGGTGTTCAGTCTGTTAAACCTACCGCCTTTTGCTCTCAGCAGACAGACCATCTTCTATTTCATAGAGAAAATAGAGGGTGTAAGACATAAGTAACCTTGCCTTTCTGCCTACCTTCCCTCACCTACAAACAATTTGTTTCATTACTAGTAGAAGACATGTTTTTTGTCCTAACGCTAATGCTTGCCATTTTTTCTCCTTCTCTTTTAAGTGTCAACATCATGTCTCAGGTGATTAACAGACCTGTATCTGAAGCTCAGGTCTGTCCATGCTCACACCCACAAAGCCACCTGCCTCCTGGACATCTGTCTTCCTGGGATGTCCATCAACATCTCACACACATTCTCAAATTTGAACGCATCACTTTCCTCCCTGATCTTGCTCCTCCTCTGGAATCCCTTCAGTGAAAGGAGCCATACGCTCCAGGAGGCACATTTCCTGAGGGCTGTGGTTGGTGATTGGCAGGGAGTGTGGTTGTAGTGACCTAAAAGAAAGTCTTTGTGGGTTCACCTGTATTAGGGTTGTTTTAGCTGTGAACAAAAACATTTTGTCATGTTATCTATAAAAACCAGCAGTGTAATCATCCTTTTGGCAATGGAACATTTGGGAGAATTATCTACTATATGATTGCTACTTTTTGGCCCCCAAATCACACCTTTGCTATGATTCTTGGGGTAGAAAGATAATTTCTCTTCACTTTGAATATGTGAAGCAACATTCTCCATTGCCCAAAGAAGACGTAGACTCATAAAGAACAAATTTTAAAATCCCCTGGAAAACAGTAAAAACGTTAAGATGGGAACCACTATGGTAGGGAGTTGGTGCTGGTGGCGCTGGGCTGTGGCAAGGGGAGCAGGGGTGTACAGACAGGCTGTGTCTATAAAAGAGCGGACCATGCATTAGCCAGTTGTGGTCATGCTTTTACTCATTGACAGCAATACTGTATCTTCACAAAGCATTGTGAGAAACGATAATGATTGGTTAGTAATATATTTTAGAAGGATGTGATCTCCTAAGTAAAAATAAACTCAAGTTTCAGAGAATTTTAAATTGCCCTTTTCTTACTCATTAAAAAGTAAGAAGAAACTCTATTTTTACTATCTTAATTTGGAAGAGTTTAAAAACATATATTTTTTTCATTAATTGGGTATTGTTACATTTCTCCTGTATTTTTTCTTATATTTTCTTGTGTAACTTTAGTGACAAATTACTGTAGAGGCATCTGAATTTAGGACTCTTGGAAGGGAAGGGGATGGAGGTAGGAGGGATGGTGCCAGTGAATGATGTCTGTCTGAGAGAGATTTATGTTTATGAAAAAGGAAGTGAGTGGATTCCTAAGATTGTGGTTTTAAGGCCTGAATATTGCTTTAAGAGTGTTTAGAATTGTTGGGGCCAGGATGAAGGTTGAGAACTACAGGTTTGAGATCTTAAGAAAAGCCAGGACCAGAAAGATCTGTTCTAGTTATTTCCAGCTACGGGATGCAGCTGAATGTCATTTGAAAACATTTTTCTCGTTTTTTAGCATCTTTGACTGAAGGCGAAATCTTCATGCCTTGGAGGGAAATTCCTAGTGCCACAGCATAAAAGGACCAGCAGCAGCAAGTGTGATATAATTACTGATGCCTTTAAAAGATATGCGAGCCCTTTGGGTATATACCCAGTAATGGGATGGCTGGGTCAAATAGTATTTCTAGTTCTAGATCACTGAGGAATCGCCACACTGACTTCCACAATGGTTGAACTAGTTTACGGTCCCACCAACAGTGTAAAAGTGTTCCTATTTCTCCACATCCTCTCCATAAAGACACATGCACACGTATGTTTATTGCGGCACTATTCACAATAGCAAAGACTTGGAACCAACCCAAATGTCCAACAATGATAGACTGGATTAAGAAAATGTGGCACATATACACCATGGAATACTATGCAGCCATAAAAAAATGATGAGTTCATGTCCTTTGCAGGGACATGGATGAAATTGGAAATCATCATTCTCAGTAAACTATTGCAAGGACAAAAAACCAAACACCACATGTTCTCACTCATAGGTAGGAATTGAACAATGAGAACACATGGACACAGGAAGGGGAACATCACACTCTGGGGACTGTTGTGGGATGGGGGGAGGGGAGAGGGATAGCGTTAGGAGATATACCTAATGCTAAATGACGAGTTAATGGGTGCAGCACACCAGCATGGCACATGTATACATATGTAACTAACCTGCACATTGTGCACATGTACCCTAAAACTTAAAGTATAATAATAATTTTAAAAAAAAGAAAAATAAAAGATATGCGAGCCCTTATTTCTGCAGTTAGCATGTTGAGCCAAATTAATAAATCTTCTCAATGTTCAGTCAAGCAATTTTTTCTTTTTATCACTTTAATATAAGGACCATGGAATAAAGTCTTAAGCTAAGCCAAAAGATGGTTAAAGATAGGACGTATTTTTACCCACAAATAAGGTGAATACCGACAGTGTAAGGTGCTCTTCCTCAGGCCATGCCGTTTGCTGTCGTGTTTTCTGCTTGCTGGTTTCTGGTGCGTGTGTATTTGCCTCCTTAAGGGAGTAGCCTTTTGCTCTTTATCCCATGTGTCAAATATCAAAACTCACTGACATTGACCAATCATTATCAAAAGTGGATGTTTAAAATAGATCAGGAGGTAGCATACCACTTACAGGTATTTTTGGTTTTAATGTATTGAAATGCTAGTAGCTTAAACTGCATTGTAAGCAAGGCTTTGAGTAGGGGACACATTCTAACAACTTTCTTAGCAGGTCCTTTAAACTTGCTTTTTGGACTCCTGTCACTTGAATACCGTAATAAAAAAAGATAACTACTTGCATATACTATTTTATTTAAGGACAATGGCCTAGAAGATCACAGTTTAATTTATTTTCTTTTCTTTCCATCTATATTTTCTGTTAGATATTAAGGCTAAGACATACTGCATTTGTAATACCAAAGAAAAACGTTCCTACCTCAAAACGTGAAACTTACACAGAGGATTTTATTAAAAAGCAGATTGAAGAGTTCAACATAGGAAAGAGACATTTAGCCAACATGATGGGAGAAGATCCAGAAACTTTCACTCAAGAAGATATTGACGTAAGTACAGTTACTCTGTTGAAAAAGTAATTGCTGTAGAGTTTTAGATATTAAAAGCACTTTTCTTCATGAGCCCCTTAGCTCTGTGTTTTAATCAAGCTGTCAGAATAAGGAAAAATGCTGCTATACATTGTTTAAGTTGGAGCCATGGTTTCAAAGACAAATGTGCAGGATTTACTTAGTATGGTGAGTTTTAGGTGTTACCTAGAAATGAGTCTATAAATGCTCATACACTATTGGGAAATGTTTAACCTGTTGTGTAGTCTTAGACTCAGCTTTCTTACAAAATGATATAACAGATGGTAATGAAAATAGAGTCAAATTTATATCAAGTCCCATAAGTAAACCTTGGCCCAGTGTTTTTGTCAACTTAAATATATATCTGAGGTTTCAAAATGGGGGCGTAGTCTAAGTGATTTGAAAATTAGGATCAGAATTCTATTCACTCTTGAATTATTATATTCCTGATAAAAGCAGTAATTGTCGATAATATTTTTGCTAGACATCCTAGAGTAGCTAGCAAAGGAAGTTGAATTTAACAACTTTGAATCTTGTCCTTATTTTTAAAAAGTAACATCTAATATCCCATGATGTTTTATATTTAATCGAAGAACAACATCTTTGTATAGATAATAACATTCTTATACGATTTTAATATTATTTTTAGTCATTTTATGCACTTTAGTTTAATTTCAATCTTTCTGTATACTTTTCCTATTTATAAATGGTACTGTAGTATCACTTTCAGACCAACATTTTTTATTCAACCAGAAGGATTTTTTTCTTTTCTTTTCTTTTCTTTTTTTTGAGACAGAGTCTTGCTCTGTTGCCCAGGCTAGAGTGCAGTGGCACGATCTTGGCTCACAGCAACCTCTGCCTACTGGCTTCAAGCAGTTCTCCTGCCTCAGCCTCCTGAGTAGCTGGGCTTACAGGCACGCACCACCATACCCAGATAATTTTTGTATTTTTAGTACAGATGGGGTTTTACCATGTTGGTCAGGCTGGTCTTGAACTCCTGACCTCTGGCGATCCACCCATCTCAGCCTCCCAAATTGCTGGGATTACAGGCGTTAGCCACCCGGCCCGGTCCAGAAGGATTTCTTATTGCTCTTCTATGTTAGGTGATTTGTAATTAGGGACTTTGTAGCTGCTGTCCTCTTTTTGAGTTTTATGGTAATCTGGACAGTATTGGGGGATATTTTCCATAAAGAGATGCTATTCTTCAGTTAAGTATAAAATACCATGAGATGTTAGATATTACATTTTAAAAATTAGAACAAGATTCAAAGTTGTTAAATTTAAGCTCCTTTGCTAGCTATCCTGGGGCATTTAGCAAAAAAAATTATTGACCATTATTGCTTTTGTCAGGAATGTAATAATTGAAGAGTGCAACAGGAATAGAATTCAGGTCCTAATTTTCAAATCACCTAGAACATAGACTCTCTAGACTCTAAGTTTGCCTACCCCGGACTTTCATATAAGTAGAGTCATACAGTATTTGGTCTTTAGTGACTGACTTGTTTCACTTAGCACAATGTTTTCATGTTTATCTACATTGTGGCATGTGTCAGTACTTCCTTTTTATTACTGAATAGTTTTCGATTGTATGGATATACCACATTTTAAGAATTCAGTCATCAGTTGATGGGCATTTGGATTTCCATTTTTAGTTCTGATGAATAATACTGCTAAGAATGTGCATGCTATAAAGTTCTTGTGTAGACATATGTTTTTATTTCTCTTATGTGTATACCTTAGAAACCATTGCTAATCCAAGGTCATGAAAATTCACCCTTATATTTTCTTCTTCTAGTTTTGTAGTTTTAGCTCTTACATTTAGGTCTTTGATCCATTTTAACGTAATTTTTGTGTGTGATGTGAGGCAGGGATGTAGCTTTGTTCTTTTACATATGGACATTCAGTTGTTCCGGCATCATTTGTTGGAAAGACTATTTTTTCCCATTGAATTATTTTATCACTTATATTGAATATCAGTGTAACTATGAGGGCTTATTTCTGGACCTTATTTTATTCCATTGATCTATACATTTATCCTTATGCCAGTACCACTTTGTCTTGATTACTGTAGCTTTATAGTAAGTTTTGAAATTGGGAAGTGTAAGTAGTCTTCTTTCCTTCTTGCTTTTAAAGACTATTTTGGTTGTTCTTTGCTCCTCGAATTTTCATATGAAATTTTAGGATCAGCTTGTCAGTTCCTGCAAGGAGCCACCTAAGATTTTGATAGGGATTGTGCTGAATCTCTAGATAGATTTTGAGAGTATTCCCATCTTAATGTTAGTTAAGTCTTCTGATCTCTGAACATGGGGTGTCCCTCTATAGATACAGATCCTTTTTAATTTCTCTCAGTGATGTTTTGTAGTTTTCAGAGTCTAAATTTGGCACTTTTTTGTTAAATTTATTTCTAAGTATTAATGTCTTAACTTCTATTGTAAATAGAATTGTTTTATTTTATAATATTTTTGGGTTTCTTATTGCAAGTGAATACAGTTGATTTTTGTATATTTTTGATTTTGAATCTACATCCTTGCTGAACTTACTAATTCTCATAGTTCTTAGTGGATTCCTTGGGATTTTCTAAATACAGGATATAGCAAGATAGCCCATATATAGAAGGGTATAGCAGGATATCCCATATATTTACGAATCCCAAAGAATCCACTAAAAACTACAAGAATTAGTAGGATATTTCACCTGAAAATGGAAATAGTTTTACTTCATTTTTCCTATTTGGATACCTCTATTTCTTTTTCTTACCTAATTGCCTTGGCTAGAATGTCTAACAATGTTGAGTAGAAATGGCAAGAGTGGATGTCCCAATTTTGTTCCTGATCTTGGGGGAAAGCATTCAGTCATTCACCATTAAATATGATGTTAGCTGTGCGTTTTTCATGGGTGCTCTATCAGATTCAGTAAGTTTTTTTCCATACCTAGTTTGTTGAACTTTTTTGTTGTTGTGGTTAGTGTTTTTGTCACGAAATGGTATTGGATATTGTCAGATGCTTTTCCATTTTGATGATGATTTGGTTTTTGTCTTTTGTTCTGTTGGTATGCTGTATCACACAAATTGATTTTTGTATGTTAAACCAACCTTGTGTTCATGAAATAAATCCCACTTCTTTGGTGTGTATACTCTTTTTTTATATGTTTCTGGATTTGGTTTGCTAGCATTTTCTTGAGGATTTTTATGTCTAATTGATATTGGTCTGTAGTTTTCTTACAATGTTTGTCTGGTTTTGATATTGGTAATACTGGCCTCATCGAATGAGTTAGGAAGTGTTCTCTCCTCTTCTGTTTTTGGAAGAGTTTGTCAAGAATTTGTATTAATTCCTCTTTAAGAATTTGGTTGAATTCACCAGTGAAGCCATCTGGGCCTGGGCTTTTCTTTGTGAGTTGTTGTTGTTGGGTTTTTTTAAATGCTTACTTTTTAAAATGGTCCTACCTCCTTGTGGTCTGTGTGTCCCAGAGTAACTGTTCTTAGCAGGAGGATTTCATTACCCAATTGAGTTTACTACTAAGATGTTTTTGAGCAACTCTTAACTACCTTTTTGGTTTGTCTGTTTGTTTGACTGATAAAGACAAGGTCTTGCTATTTTGTTGGCAGGCTGGTCTGGAACTCTTGGCATCAGGCCATCCTCTGACCTTGGCCTCCCAAAGTGCTGGGAGATTAAAGGCATGAGCCACCACGCCCAGCCCCACTTCACTACCTTTTTGGATGTACATGGGGCATATGTAGCTTATTGAAAAAAGCAGAATCATTCAACAATTTTGTAATTTTATCTGAAGGTATAAGTATTTTCACAGTGTAAGTATTAAACATGAATTTTGTTGTTTGGAGTAGTTTGTTCATTGCTTGGATGTTTACCCAGAATATTAGTTTGGGATGTTAATATTATTTTCATGAGGACTTAATTTATATAGAGTAGCTATGGTCTATAATTTAATTCAATTACATAGTTAAAAGTCTAGGCTCACTATAATTTTCACATAGACAAATTAGGCACCGTTGTATTCAGATTAAGCTATTAGTTATTTTATATATTTTAGAAACTAGTTTTTTCATACTAGTTATCCAATTACTAAAATAATGATCGTGAAGACCATTTATGAATTGCATTTGAGCAAAACATTTAAGATTTAAAACAACCCTTTCATATATTAAAATATCTTTTAAAGTATTTACAACAGATACAAACTGGTGATTCCATCTAGAATACGTTTTTAATAGTTAGAGAAATCTAAAAGGATCCTGTAGCTTAGTGAATACATTCACATTCAATCAGGTAGAAACCAATTTTAAACAATGTATTTAGTTCTGGTTCTCAAAATATAGAATTATTTTCCAGAGAAGAGATACTTAACATCACTATGTAAAGATAAGTGGTGGCAGCTATTCTGTACTTTTAAAACTCTGTGTGTGTATATATGGTAAAAGCAACTTGATGTCATCTTGTGTGATTGTGTTAACAGAATATTATAAAAATCTACCTTTAGATTTAGCCAATTAAGTAATCAAATCATGAATTAATAGGAAAAACATCCAATTGCTTCTTTAAAATATATAGACTCTTCTAAAATGAGGTTGAATTTATTGTGTGGAATATAAATGCAGAACATACAGAAAGCTTTATTAGATTGATTTTTTTCTGTCTTTTTATTAAAAATTCATTGTAGTTGAAATGATCTTGTAGAAAAATACAGGACCTGGGATTTAGAGATTCCTTGTGATGTCACTAACTAGTGTCGTTGAGCAAGTCAGGGCTCTCTGTCACTTGATTTTCTTATCTCTAAAATAATAATACCGACTTGTCTACCTCAGAATATATCTAAAAGGCATGAGATTAATGCAGTGTGTTATTATTCCTGTTACTATTAACAGTAATAAATACCATCTGCCATAACTGGAATCATTCTCCAGTTCTCTGCTTTGTCACACAAGTCTTCCATGCCACCTGAGAATGAGTGCTGGGGAGAATCATCTGAAACACTGTTGGGTACATTGATTTATCACTGATTGACTATACGGGAGGTTGCTTTTGTCTCCTGTAGGTTGATATTGTCTCACCTAGCTTGGTATCTAAAAAGCCCATATGGAAGTGAGTGTTAACCGTTTTCCTTGACACCAGTGACATAATTCTGCTGTGCTAGACTTTGCTGCAAGTGATTGATCGGCTTCGCTGACTCTTGTGGCATTTTATTAAATATAGCGGACCCCTTTTGGTATCGCATTTTATTAAATATAGCGGGCCCCTTTTGGTATCGCATTTTATTAAATATAGCGGGCCCCTTTTGGTATCGCATTTTATTAAATATAGCGGGCCCCTTTTGGTATCGCATTTTATTAAATATAGCGGGCCCCTTTTGGTATCGCATTTTATTAAATATAGCGGGCCCCTTTTGGTATCGCATTTTATTAAATATAGCGGGCCCCTTTTGGTATCGCATTTTATTAAATATAGCGGGCCCCTTTTGGTATCGCATTTTATTAAATATAGCGGGCCCCTTTTGGTATCGCATTTTATTAAATATAGCGGGCCCCTTTTGGTATCGCATTTTATTAAATATAGCGGGCCCCTTTTGGTATCGCATTTTATTAAATATAGCGGGCCCCTTTTGGTATCGCATTTTATTAAATATAGCGGGCCCCTTTTGGTATCGCATTTTATTAAATATAGCGGGCCCCTTTTGGTATCGCATTTTATTAAATATAGCGGGCCCCTTTTGGTATCGCATTTTATTAAATATAGCGGGCCCCTTTTGGTATCGCATTTTATTAAATATAGCGGGCCCCTTTTGGTATCGCATTTTATTAAATATAGCGGGCCCCTTTTGGTATCGCATTTTATTAAATATAGCGGGCCCCTTTTGGTATCGCATTTTATTAAATATAGCGGGCCCCTTTTGGTATCGCATTTTATTAAATATAGCGGGCCCCTTTTGGTATCGCATTTTATTAAATATAGCGGGCCCCTTTTGGTATCGCATTTTATTAAATATAGCGGGCCCCTTTTGGTATCGCATTTTATTAAATATAGCGGGCCCCTTTTGGTATCGCATTTTATTAAATATAGCGGGCCCCTTTTGGTATCGCATTTTATTAAATATAGCGGGCCCCTTTTGGTATCGCATTTTATTAAATATAGCGGGCCCCTTTTGGTATCGCATTTTATTAAATATAGCGGGCCCCTTTTGGTATTGCATTTTATTAAATATAGCGGACCCCTTTTGGTATTGCATTTTATTAAATATAGCGGACCCCCTCCACCTTTGTGGCACCTGAGTAGATGTAAAAGCAAAAGAGGACAGACAGTGACAACCGTTACCAAAGAATTAAAATTATATACTCATATGGTTTTCTGTTTTCATTTATGTTTTTTAAACTATTGTTTTTATAAGTGGCTCAGCAGTATATATCAACTGAAA
The DNA here is from genome assembly GCF_000001405.40 of Homo sapiens. Classification (NCBI taxonomy): domain Eukaryota; kingdom Metazoa; phylum Chordata; class Mammalia; order Primates; family Hominidae; genus Homo; species Homo sapiens. The sequence goes on from NC_000002.12 coordinate 105,055,792, forward strand.
GAAACACTATGGCTGATGAGTCAGCATTTCCATGCTGCAACAATGGGTTATTCCTGAAAACAAAAATAATTTATCCAAAATCAAGAAAATATTTTAAGCTTCCTTTGCAATTGCTGTTACATATTTAGAAGTTATAATGGTTTTAAAATGTTTGGCTTTTAATATATTAATTAAGACTAGGTGCAGTAGCTTTTCTCTAATTATTTAGTTTGATCAGGAAGTTAGATATTCCACAAAAGTGAATTTTCCAGATAAGGGAAACCTATTTTTAAGTGTTATTTGTAATGAAAACTACTACCACATACTAAAAACCTTCTATGTTATGTGTGAAGTGCCATCTTGGAGCCGGATGTACATTGCCACATTTTATCTTTGTAAAAACCTTATGGGATAGGTATCTTTTTTTTTTTTTTTTTTAACAATACTAAGGCTGTACACTGTTCTTTCTACTCTTTCAGATTAATTTTTTAGGTAACATTTTCTAAAATAAATTTCAGTCTCCCCAACCTTATTTAGTAGGATATAGTGAGTATAATTTAACCTTACAGTGCTTTAGTATTTTCCTTTTTAGTATGTTTGTTAGCCCCTGACTGTGGCTTGTAGAGCACAACTGTCCCTGTGGTGAATGGCTCAGCTATGCTGTATTACTGATTCTTGTCATCTCCCTTGCTGTCAGGATGTCTTATGTCTACGTGTCTGCCTCTAGCCACCCTCACCTGTCTTCCAACCTTCTGGCATAACTAAACTCGTTAAGTGTGTGAATTAAAACTAAAAGCCATTGGACTCTGAATGAGGCCCTACGTGCCCCTCCTAGTAAGTAAAATTCATGAATTTATGTCAGCTATTGCAGTTCTTTATAGGTCTTTTTCATTGATTTCCAGTTTTACAACTTTACTTCAGAGGGTTAAGTTTGAATAGAAATCTGGCCTTGCTGAATACAGCATATATAATTTATGTGTGAAAATTACACCTAGCTAATGTAATATACTAGTGCTTCCTTAATAAGGTTTATTAAAGAGTACAATGTGAGTTGGTAAAAAGGAATAAGATGGATAAAATTTTTTAATAAAAATAATTCTGCTTGTCACTAGTGGTACTTATTTTAAAGTTTTATCACTTAGAAGATTTATCATTATTAAGGCTACAGGATTCTATATATTTCAGAATTTTTTTTTCCAGAATTAGCTCAAATTGGTGCTCGACCTTTTTATTAAGTTTACAAGAAAAATATTATCTTATTGGTGAAAAAGTAAAGTATTATAACTAAAAAGGAATTAGTAATTGGCAGGTATAGAATCTCTTCATTTCAAAGTAGTTTGATTTTTGCCCAGTTTCTTAAATTATATTGAAACAAAATAAACTACCTATTGTTCTTACCCACTGAACCATGATGGTGCTACTGATAACCTTTAGAAGATCTAACAGGAGGAAAAACGGGTAGCCTCTAACAAAATTAGTAGTGTATATGGTGTTATGCTGAAAGTACTTTAAATGCAGGCTAAATATTTAGCAAATAGACCTTAATGCTGTTATCCTCAACTCCTGTTTCATCAGTCTTTCACAGGTTACTGCCAAATGTTGATCAGTGTGTAAAAATTTTTTTTTGGCTGTTAACAGTATACATAACTGTTAGGAGGAATCTGTCAGTTGGAACCTTGAGCTGAGTGAGTCTTGTTGTTTAGTGTAAAGAAAATTTGGTGTGTATGGAAACTGAAGAACTAAGCCCATGAGTGTGTAACAGAGGCAGCAGAAACAGTTTTCCTTATTGACCCCAAGACTAAAGAACAGCTAGGTGAGGAGTGCAGCAAGTGCCAATGGAACTTTATAGACCTTGTAACATCTCCTTGTGCTAGAGCAGACGTGGGGTAACAATGATTGCTAACCTGTTTAGTGAAGTTTCTTAATCCTGTCATGTGTACCATCAAAAATTCTTTTACTCAAAATCATACTGTAAACACCAAAAAGTTGAGGACCACTGATATTTGCATTTTCCTTTTCCATTGAAGCATGTAGTTGTTATAAAGTTTAGTTGGGAGACCTTTCTGTTATATTGAATATTATGAATACAGACTTGCACTTGCGTTTACTAATGTCTTTATTTGGGAATTAAAAGTTAAGTTCTACATTACTATAGAATTTCAGGAAAAAAGCCAGCAAATTGATATATAGCACTCCTGAAGTCTACCAATTACTTTTTAATTGGTATTATAGACCTCATTCTGAAACCAGAATGTTTTATTCTCCTAAGTGTGAATATGCTGTATGAAGTTTCTCTAATTGATTTGCTGTGCCCATTCCATTTGATGTATCATTTTTCACAATATTTCATAATTTGTGCTCACTTCTAATGAACAGAGTCGTTAGGACAGGCATGTCTAAGTACAACTGACAGCTAACATTAGGTGCCAGATGCAGTTTATAGAGCTATGTAGAACTGTAGAGAACAGTTTAAATAAATTAGCACCTGTACATTAGTCTCACTTGCTGGTAATTTATAAGCGAATCAGTAGAGATGACATTTAGGTAAGTCATTGATCAAGTTAACAGCTGCAAACCCACTGCCCAGCTGGGATGCCTAATTAATAGAGATTGCATTCCTGACCCAGTGCTTCTGGGTTGAGTCTGCAATTCTTTCATACTTTGATTTAAGTCTAAGAACATACTCAAATACTTTGCCTTCATTTTAGGGAACTGTTGAATATCAGTATTCTAGTTAAAACCTAAAAATGGAAGAAACATGTTTACTAATGAGGATTACCTTACTCCATTTCTTATTTGGATTAAATTTTTAAAATTTGCATTCTTACTTTTTCTTTCTTTTCTCTCAGCACTTTTTGTTTTGGATTCACATTAAGTATAGATGACATGCTGTAGTTTAATGAGTTTCTTTTTTTTTTTTTTCGAGACAGAGTCTCTCTCTGTTGCCCAGGCAACAGATCGTGCAGTGGCACGATCTTGGCTCACTGCAACCTCCGCCTCCCAGGTTCAAGCAATTCTCCTGCCTCAGCCTCCTGAGTAGCTGGGATTACAGGTGCCCACCACCATGCTCAGCTAATTTTTGTATTTTTAGTAGAGACAGGGTTTCACCATGTTGGTCAGGCTGGTCTCGAACCCCTGACCTTGTGATCCACCCACCTCGGCCTCCCAAAGTGCTGGGATTACAGGCGTGAGCCACTGCGCCCGGCAGTTTAATGAGTTTCTAAAGAGTTCTGTACTTACTAAATATATGCTCCATTTTTTCTTTTGGAAAAAGCATGGTTTTTTGCTTTTGTTCTGTGGGGTTTTTTTTTTTTTTTGGTGACCAACCAACCATTGAACCTAAATTATATGTGTAACAATTTCTTAAAGTGTAACGTTAGTTTGAAACACCTAACAACTTTGCCAAGTTAAATTTCATACCAATTTTAGAATTGAATATGGGAAATTTTAAGCTACCACTTATTTTGGGAAAATGCCTTTTGTTTTCTATTCCTGTGGCAGATTTTCTTCTGAGTGAATTTAAAACTGAAAGATTAGGACATCGGCAACCTTAAAGAGTAAGGTGATGATTTTTGTATGTAGTTGAGCTGTATGGACGTGGATGGTGAGGATGTTTGAATACTAATGTGTTTACTAGAGGCACCACCAAAATCTGGTTCTTAGACTGGGAAAAAGGTATCTTGAAACACTAATGCTAAACCAAATACAAACCCAAATACCTGGCTAGCAGGATTGTTTTGAAGCTTATGGAAAAACCATTAACTGAGTCCCAATTGATACATATGTTTTCATTTTTTGTTTTTTTTGTTTTTTTTTTGTGGAAGGGTTGGGTATTTCTTAGTTTAAATAATAATTTTTCATGAAGGTTGGTTTAGGAGTGAAAAGGTGTTTATTTCAGATAATTATGAAATTTCTGTTAATTCTGTCATGGTTGGTAAACTTGTCCCAGTGGGCCAAACCACAATTTGGATGTGAAATGCCAATTTTCCTTTAATTGTAAGATGCTTGGGGGCCCAAACCACTTGCTGGCACTTTTTTTCTAGTGCCTAGTAAGTGCCACACACGTTCTGGGGCCAATGAACACTGACAGTGAACAGATAGGTTAACATTAACAGAGAGTCTTTTCCTCACCACCTTCCCCCAGTGATTTTCTGGTTGACCTAATTTTACCTTTCATAATATTTAAATTTTGCATTATTTTTCATGCTAATATAGATGTTTCTGAATCACATAACAGGAAAACTGCTAAAAAAAAAAAAAAAAAAAAAAGACCCTGAAGTATTCTAACATTTTATTTGCCTTCATGGTTCTCATTTTCTTTTCTTATATTTCTGAGCCTTCCCCAACCACATCTTTGCCCTAATCTAAAATTTTTTGTGAAGTAGCCCTATTACCCCAACCATTTTTGTTACTTATTCTTTGTAATTATCTTATTTGAAATACCCTCCTTAGTGTTAATTTTATATTAAGCTTAATGCTTTATGTTGGATTGGGAAATTACAATTGTGTGTTTTTGTTTTTATTTTTTTGAGACAGAGTCTTGCTCTGTTGCCCAGGCTGGAGTGTAGTGGTGCAATCTCAGCTCACTGCAGCCTCCGCCTCCTGGGTTCCAGTGGTTCTCCTGCCTCAGCCTCCCAAGTATCTGAGATTACACGTGGCGCCACCGCGCCTGACTAATTTTTATGTCTTTAGTAGAGACGGGGTTTTACCATGTTGGTGAGGCTGGTCTTGAACACTTGACCTCAAGTGATCTGCCCACCTTGGCCTCCCAAAGTGCTGGGATTATAGGCATGAGCCACTGCACCTGGCCGCTATTGTGTGTTTTGGAAAACCCCAAGGACTCAGGAGATCAGCTCATGGAAGACTTTATCTTCAATGAAGTGTTTTCTCAATATGAGGCAAAGGCTTTTGAGTTTGAGGAGTAAGAACAAAGTTGTCTACCATTTGCAATGAGAACTTGGGAAAGTCTCTTGAGGCATTGGCATTTGAGAGAAATAGATAGAGGAAGCCAAAGAGCAAATTACTGGGGGTAAGAGTAAAGATGAAAAGTTAAATATCGTGCCGGGTGCGGTGGCTCACGCCTGTAATCCCAGCACTTTGGGAGGCCGAGGCGGGCAGATCACGAGGTCAGGAGATCGAGACCATCCTGGCTAACACCGTGAAACCCTGTCTCTACTAAAAATACAAAAAATTAGCCGGGCATGGTGGTGAGTGCCTGTAGTCCCAGCTACTCAGGACTTGAGGCAGGAGAATGGCGTGAACCCGGGAGGTGGAACTTGCAGTGAGCCGAGATCGCATCACTGCACTCCAGCCTGGGCGACAGAGCAGGACTCTGTCTCAAAAAAAAAAAAAAAAAAAAAAAAAAAGTTAAATATTGTATTGGAAGGGCTTGAGCAAATGCCTTTCTACTGAAATAAACCTCAAGTTACAATGCCCTAACAGACCAGCTTACAGGCAGTCAAAACTAAAACAGTCGGATGTGTGGCACTGAGCTGGTTTTGCGTAGCCTGGCTTTGAATTAGGTCTGCATAATCGTGGTCAAAGAAGTTGAAATCTTAACATTGGGCCTTGTGGGGTGGGAAGGCAATCTGAGAGGAAGAAAGCTGGAAAGCTGTTGTGCTCCCTGAGTGGGCCTTGCTGCTGCTACAGGGGTAGTATGGGGTGAGCTTCCTCATACCTGCGGCAGAGACTCCAGTGACAAGAGACAGCAGTAACTTCAGCAAGACAGTGCTAGTAAGATTATGCCTGGCGCTGAAATGCAGACTGCGGCAGATGCATTTTGATGTTTTTCTGACACACAGAATTTCCAATAGTGCATCACTACCCGCAGCAGGTTTAGAGAGAAAGGTGATAGTGCCCCATTCCTCCCCACCATCCCTGCTTTTATAATGGTGATGGGGAAGAGTTATTCCAGAACTGGACTGAAAGTTGCACTGCCTGGGGGGAGGAGCATTGGGGACAGTATTCCCTGGAGGGCATGTTGCAAGTAAGATACTGTTCGTATGGGTGCTTAGAGAGGACATTATTCCTTCAGGTGGACCCTCCTAGAACGTAAGATGGAGGTCTGTGCTTGTCATTTTGCTTTGTTGGTTTTTCTTGCTTATGCTTTGTTCTAGGAGAAAGAAACTGCAAAAACAAGCAGAAAAGGTTTTCAGTATTTGTCACAACTTGATATTTATATGTTTTTCTTTCTAGTAGCAAGTTAAAATTAACTATGATTCAAATGAACAACAAAGGATAGGGGGAAAACTGGAGCTGATCCAGTAAGGACCTCTGAATGAATACAGACTACAAGAAGTCTGATTGGGAAAGTGAAGGCTTTTGTAATATTACTCTCATTTTTACTCCATATACACACTTCTGTTACACACACACACACACTCTCTCTGTCTGTCTTTCTCTCTTACATTTTCCTACTCCTTCTTGTTTGTAAATATTTCCACCCACATACCCAACTTTGAAGTCCAGGCTGAATGAAATAGGGTATCTAAACCCAGTTCTCTTACCTTTACTCTTTAAGATAGTAAAGTTAGGCTATCATGCTTAGTAGCAGAGGGCCTCTGTAGTGTTAAGAGATGTCAGGAAACGCAGCCTTACAGATGGTTGTCTTGATACTGAGTTACCCGTCCAAGCCCTCAAGGAATCGAGTCATAGATCTAAGTACTGAAACACTGCTTCCAGCCTTTTCACTTCACAGGAGATAAAGTTAGGAATGGCCGTTATTACCAGCTTTGTCGTAGAAATCCTCTATTTGGAGACTACTTGGTTGTTAATATTCTGTCTTGTAACAATAGATATGTGTTTGTTAATTTAGACCAATAACATTACATTACAGACTTTAACCTTGTAACCATTTAATGAAGTTTAAAAAACCTTGCTGAAATACACCTCAGTAACATTAGTACAGTGCTGAGTTGCATGATTAAAATTAATTGGCAGTAAATAAAATGGAATTGATAGTAAATAAAATGAAAATTTACTTCCTCGGTTGCACCAAGCACATGTCAGTGAGCGTAGTAGCCACATAGGCTACTGGCTGTCATTTTGAACAGCACAGATTATATAGAGTATTTCCATTATCAGAGGAAGTTCTACTGGACATGTTAGGATTGCGCCCTTCATTTCTTCCCAAGTAAGAATTTATAATTTTTGCTTTGCGTTACTTACAAGAAAGATAATACTTGGAAGTATAAGTAATATTTGTTTGCAGTTTGTATTTTGTCTTTCATTGAAACAATTAAAAACACCTGAAGAATTGGCTTCAAAAACAGTTCAAAAATACTACAAAAGAGAAAATAGAAATTTAGAAGTATAGAACATGGTTGCTTCTTTTATCTGAATAAAACAGCAATGGGCAAGGTGCCGTGGCACATGCTGTAGTCTCAGCTCCTTGGGCGTCTGAGGCAGGAGGATTTCTTGAGCCCAGGAGTCAAGGCTGTAGTGCGCCATGATCACATCTGTGAATAGCCACTGCTCTCCTGGGCAACATAGTAAGACCCAGTCTCTAAAAAACAAACAAAAATTTATTAAAACAATCACAAATTATAGAAGAACAAAAGGTTATATGACTTTTATGTGTATATACATATGTATTTATGTATTAACATGTATGTTGCATGGATGTTGGAACCAGAATTGAGAAATATCAAAACACTCTAATCTAATAGCAACAGCAGTAAATACTAATTTGTGTACTTTTTCTTATGAAAACTTTCATTCATACAGAAAAAGAGAATGTCTGTCACCTGGATTAACTTCTTAACATTTTGCTATATTTGCTTCAACTGTATGTTTTTTGGCTGCACTATTTTATTTTAAAGTAAAATACAATTGCAAACATCATGATGCTTCACTCTTAAATACATCTTCAAAAAATTAGGACATCTGCTTATATAACCGCAATATCACTATCACATCTAAGAAAATTAATCTGAATATAGTCTATAGCAGGAGGTAGAAAATTTTATCTATGAGTTTGTATTTACATTTCCCTAGTTGTCTATAGAAGAGTTCTTATAGTTGGTTCTCTCAAGGGCTCTGCAATCCATTTGGTTGTTGATTTATTCTTTGAGTATCTGCTGTGTTCTAATTCTGAAGTGAGAAATTATTGACTAAGACAAGGTCCTTTGCCTTCAAAAACACACCTGCAGACACGACCGAGGTAAAATCAAAGATTTGGCAACAGCACATAGGAGAAAGAAGAACTGGTAGAAAGCAAAATAAGTTATTTGAGGAACAGTTTTGGATGTGCTGTTTGGATACATAAAGGGAAAAATCCCTAAAGCAATTGACAAATAGTTTAGAACTACGGAAATAGATTTGGTCTCTCTCCCTACAGAAATTTGCTAGAAAGGAAGAGAATCAAAGATGGAACTCTGAGGAAGCAGCACTTAAGGGATGAGCAGAGGTGTGTTTAGGAGAGATCAAGAGGAAACTTTCAGAGAGGTAGGAGGGGAATGTGGCTGCAAGAAGGAAGGGAGACAGCGGTCTCATATGGATGAGACCCGAAAGTAGGTCACAGGGTTTGGAAAAAGCCCTCAGTGACCCTTGACAAAGTAATTACAGGACCAGAATTATGGCTAGGCCAGATTGAAATCTGGGGAAGAAAGCAGTGGGTACTTCAGGGAGTGGGTGGATGCTTCTCAGGACAGGAATGTGAGTGAGAATTGAGTTGTTTATGGGCCTAGATGCCACCAGGAGCACAGTCTTGTTTAGATGGATGCTTCACATGATCCTTGAGGTTGCTCACAAATGTGGCATCATTGGTATGGAAAAGAGAAAGGTGGGCCTCACCCCTTTGTGAGTGCTGTGAGCGATGTGGAAGCTGAAGGCAGTGACAAGGATGGGGAGGGAACGGAATGGCCAGATGGTGTGGACCTTGAAAGAGGCTCGTTCTCTGTTTGACTAAGGTGGCACTAAGAGAAGTAATGGAGAGCCCAGTGGAATAGGGAGGACTTCCAGACAAGGCTGCATTTGGTCTACAATCTTGAAAGATCTTGAAAGACAAACAGCAATGTGTTAAGTGGAGAAGTAGAACAACAGTATTCCAGGCAGACAAAACAATTTGCAAAGGCATTTGTTTAGAAAGGAAGAAATGACTGGTAAAAAGAGAAAGATGCAAAGTATCACTGAAAAGAGTAGATGACCACTCTCCTTTGTACCCTCTGTGTAACCTGTAAGTATTTCTATCATAGGTCCTGTGTATATTATTTTTTCATGCCGTTTTATGTGTACTATTACAGCAGCCCCTATATTTGAGACTATGTATACATCTGTCTCCACTGATAGAATGAGGTCAGGAGCCATATCTTAATTTTTATCTTTCTAAACTAGCAGAGTGCCTAGAACTCAGGTGGGATAAATATTTGTTGAGTAAAATGTATTTAGGTAAATAATCTATTTCTTTCTCTTTAAGCACATTTGGCTTTTTCTCCTAATTTTACTACTAAATAGCTGGATATCCTTGATGTCAGTGAAGAAGTGAATCTGTTATCTGAGAGAAGATTGGTTCCCTGGTGTGGACAAAGGAGAGTACATTATGAAATTAAATTTCAGAAGGTTCAGGTTCTGGCTTTGCCATTTACTTCAGTGTAAGCTACTTAACT